>NC_000005.10:118897685-119200716 GCF_000001405.40 Homo sapiens
ACAAACCATACAAACCACTGGCCAGACCTGACATAAAATGGCTTATCTCCTCTTCCTGTCAGAAAATTAAATTAAAAGTAATTCAAAGGAATCTTTGTGTAAAACAAATGTACTATGTAATATTATTTTTGAAACAGGTACCACTGCATATGACCTCCAGAGTAAAATTAATATTTGAAAATTAAATAATTTCTTTTTTTTGAGACAGGGTCTCACTCCTACGCCCAGGGTGGAGTGCAGTGTCACAATCATGGCTCAGCCTTGACTTCCTGAGCTCAGGTGATCCTCCCACCTCAGCTTCCCAAGTAGCTGGGACCACAGGCATGTGCCACCATGCCCAGCTAATTTTTTAAACTTTTAGTAGAGATGGGTTTTTGCCGTGTTGCCCAGGCTGGTCTCAAACCCCTGGACTCAAGTGATCCACCTGCCTTGACCTCCCAAAGTGCTGAGATTATAGGCATGAGCCACCATGCCCAGCCAAAAAATTAAATCTTAATCCCAGTCTTTTATATTGGTACATTTGAAGTCTTCTAGGTAAACTTTGATACAATTTCATTCTGAAGAAACTATATTACACCACTTGATACGTAATCATTTAATGGTCAGTTGCTACTGGGCAAAAACAAAAAAATTAATGTACAACATTACAATGAATCCCTGATCAGCAAAGAATGAGAAGATAAATTTTATGGCCGAGCACAGTGGCTCACGCCTGTAATCCCAGCACTTTGGGAGGCTGAGGTAGGCAGATCACTTGAGGTTGGGAGTTCAAGACCAGCCTGGCCAACATGGTGAAACCCCGTCGCTACTGAAAAAAAAAAAAATTAGCCGGGCATGGTGGCGGGTGCCTGTAATCTCAACTTCTCAGGAGGCTGAGGCAAGAGAATCGCTTGAACCTGGGAGGCGGAGGTTGCAGTGAGCTGAGATCATACCACTGCACTCCTGCCTGGGCAACAAAGTGAGACTCCATCTCAAAAAAAAAAAAAAAAAATGAGAATGAGAAGATAAATTTTAAAATCTAATAAAGCTTGGCATCAAAACAGTTACGAAAATCTACAGTATGGTACAAAAAAATTACAAAATTGGCACCCTAGAACAGCTCTAATTTTAATCACAAAAAAATTGTTATTAAGACATTTAGTTTAAGAGGAAAAGGTTATCCTTAGCCTACTTGCACACTTGATTGAGAAGTAAATATTTACTCAGGTACTAGCAGCTATGTATTTAGATATTATTTGCCAATTCTGTATCTGTGAAATCGCCTGCTTACTAAAATTTATGTATAAACCCAACATGCACAAGCACAGAACAGCAAAAATTTAGAGTTGCCCAATGCACACATTCCCAGCTGAGGTAGAATTCAGTGATGCTGTATCTTGTTTCAGCTCTCATACTGTAAATATGTGTCTTTTTCACAGCCTATTTAGTGCCACATTTTTGCACTGTTGTGCTTTTTGTTGGCGATTCCACTACGTGGCCCGCAACTTGTAGCACTGAAGTGCTGTCTAGAGTTCCTGAGCTCAAGAAGACTGTGATGTGTCTCATGAAGAAAACACATGTCAGATAAGCTTAATTCAGACATGAGTTATAGTGCTATTGGGCATAAGTTCAATGTTAATGAATCAATGATATTTATGAAATATGGTGTATGTAAACAGAAACACATGTAAAACAAGGCCATGTTGTACTGCTTGGTTAACTAAAATGCAATCAAAGGCTAGTAGGAACCTAATCCTGTATTTTCCCTAGAGACAATGGTTCGGTATTCACTAACTCAGTGTTCACAGAAACTTTCTAGAACCTAACTATCACAAATAACAAGCACTGACTGCATACATAAGCGTTTTCTGGAAGCCGAATATATATACCAAAGTGCCCAAATCATAACTGTACAGCTCCATGAATCTACAAAACAAACACACTTGTGTAACTAGTACCCAAGTCAAGAAGCAAAATATAACCAGAATCCACAGACCTCTTCATACTCCATTCCTGTCATTATGCCCTCCCTACAAAAGAAACTACTACCTTGACATCCAAAACCATAGTTCTGTCAGTTTTAAATTTTATAGAAATTGAATCATTGAATCATATAAGTCATACTTCGTTTTTTCTTTTTTTTTTTTTTTTTTTTGAGACGGAGTCTCACTCTGTTGCCCGGGCTGGAGTACAGTGGCACGATCTCGGCTCACTGCAACCTCCGCCTCTCGGGTTCAAGCGATTCTCCTGCTTCAGCCTCCCAAGTAGCTGGCATTACAGGCGCACGTCACCACACCCTGAAATTTTTTATACTTTTTGGTAGAGAGGGGATTTCACTATGTTGACCAAGTTACCTGGTCTCAAATTCCTGACCCAAATTGATCTGCCCACCTCGGCCTCCCAAAGTGCTGGGATTACAGGCACAAGCCACCATGCACGGCCAAGTCATACTTCTTTATGTCTGGCTTCTTTCACCAACATTATGTTTATGTAATTCATTCATGTTGTTATGTGTAGTTTAGTTTTTACTGCTGTAGAGCATTCCATTACATATACCACCATTTGTTCATTCTGTTGTTGACAGGAACTGGGGTTATTACAGACAGTGTTAATACGAATAGTGTTAATAACTTGCTAGCTTAATATTTTTAAAAACTTTTTCCCTTAATTACATTAAATGCAAATATTAAAAAAAGCTACTTGTCATATAAACATCTCTAAATCAGTAGATGTAAACACAATAATGCTACAAAACTGCAGGCAAGTTAACAGAGATGGTACAGGAATGAAGAAAAGAAGTATAAAGTTGTGGCAGTGAGCTAAATAAAGAAGCACTCATTTTATAGAAAAAAATGTATCTAAAACTATAGTCATATCCTGATATACAAAAAAGATAAAGTATTTTGTCTTAAGATAGACTGGATAACAGAGCTAATAGATTAAACTAAAACCAGTGATGAAAAAATGACTCAAAATCAAGGGCCAGGCGGGGTGGCTCACGCCTGTAATCCCAGCACTTTGGGAGGCCAAGACGGGCAGATCACAAGGTCAGGAGATCGAGACCATCCTGGCTAACATGGTGAAACCCCGTCCTACTAAAAACACAAAAAATTAGCCAGGCGTGGTGGCAGATGTCTGTAGTCCCAGCTACTCGGGAGGCTGAGGCAGGAGAATGGGGTGAACCCAGGAGGCAGAGCTTGCAGTGACCCGAGATCACGCCACTGCCCTCCAGCCTGGGCAACAGAGTGAGACTGCGTCTCAAAAAAAAAAAAAAAGAAAAAATGACTCAAAATCATATTTCCTGCTCTACTTTTAGTGGAGGTAATCAGTGATAATGATTATCAGAATAATTATCACTACCCAAATATTTATGTATTCACATATATTTTATATTCTGCAAAGATTCAGCTACATTATAAAATATGTGAATATAATTACATTTATAATTACTTATCATAAAGATTTTTAGAACTTCTAATGCCACTCAGTTTATGTATTTTATTTAAGATATTTTACCTGTATTTTTTGGTAGTCACAAGACAATCAACACCCTATGACTTCCCTTTACATGGTAATATTCTAAATAGTAAAAAAGGGGAGGGGAGAATTCCAAACACACATAAGTGTTTACATTGCACAGTAAGTATTCCTGATAATCCAGGGATTCAACAAACATAATAAAAACAATGAAGCAGCACTGAAACAATCAAATTTGAGAAAAACCAGACAATACAGTTTCACAATCTCTAATTTCATTTTTAAAAATTTGATCTTCTCTACTGAAAATCAAAGTAATACAGATGCCAGAATGCCTCTCTGATGATTCTTTTTCTAAAGCTTGCTATCTTGCCTAAGTCACAACTTTCATGTAGTTTAAGAAAATATCATATATATTAGAGTATATTAGAGTATACCACATGGGCTTAAAAGAAAAAGAAAATCTTGTATCCAGCTAAGAGAGTATCTAGTAAGTATTACCATGGGCTACAAGTTAAATCTGAGACCTGTCAATAAAAATTAAAATAATAATTAAATGTGTCCTAACTATCCATAAAGTAGATTATTTCCTCAGATTATCAAAAGATTAAAATTGCTTCATTGGGAATTATTATTATTATTTTTTAAAGAAATGGTGGTCTCACTGTGTTGCTCAGGCTGATCTTGAACTCCCAGGCCCAAGCGATCCTCTTGCCTCAGCCTCCCATGTAGCTGGGATTTCAGGCACAAGCCACTGCATCTGGCTCAGAAATGTTTATTTTTAACCCAAGCTAAACTCATAATTAAATCAGGTGATTGACTATAACCTCCAATTCTTTTTAATAATTCATACTTAATTACTTTTTATTATTTAAGTATTTTGAACAATTTACCATTAAACATATTCTAATAATGTGTCTATATAATCACATAACAATCCCTTCTCTCACCTTATATCAACACATATCACTATATCTAGTGATCCTGAGAAACAAAATAAGTTATGAAAATATAATTATTTAAACTGATGAAGTACTGAATAGTGGAAAGCTACAAATGTGCTACTTGAAATATCAATTATCAAATGTTCAAAGCCAAAAAGAAAAAAATAAGTCCTTTCTGTTAAATAGTACCTGAAACATAGTAGAAACTCAATAAATATGTATAGAATGAGTAAAATATAAGTAGGTACATCTGTGGAAATGTATAGCTAAAATTATAGCGCACATGAATATATAACAACCATAATCTATTTATACTTTAAAATAGATCAAATAATGTATCACAAACTGGTAAAAGTACCCAGATTTCTGTAAATCAAATAATTATATCTTCAGATAACAGAATCTTTACAGTTAAATTTAGTTATACCCACACATTTATCATAATTATTCTTCAACATAATTATCTCAATGGGTTTTCTTTATACTTAGAAAATATATATGTTTTTAAAGTTTCTGATCAATGTAAACAGTAAAAGCATGAAACTTTTTTTTCAATTACAACCACCCCTGCAAACACCCATCTGGAAAAAGTAAGCCTGTTACTCTCTATGGCAATCATCATATTATTTACAGTGTTCTTAATAACTACTGGAACTCATATAGCAATTTTTGAGATATCTTCTACCATGTATACACAAATGGTTGCCATATGGATCTTGAGATGTGGACTATATGCAAAGCTGCTAATGATATCAAAGGACCAGATGCTCTAAGCTTATGAATCATTACAATGTTATTAATATCCTTTTATACCACATAGTTTATACCACATAAATAAATAGATGTTTAAAAATATCTGACATTATATTACATCCTTTGGGTATATCTATGTTGTAGCACATCATAACTAAAACAGATTTTAGTACTAATAAATTTCTATGTTTTCAACTTAGTCATTAAAATGATATTTAAAATTACAGTCCTAGTGAAAATAATATATCCTAAAATTCCACATTTTTCACCAAAAATTTGTTTATTAATATTCATTGTGCTAAAATGGTAAAAAAAAAAAAAAACTTGAGTCAGTATGCCTCTAACATAGTGACAATATTGCCTACAAGGTTTCTCTGGGAAACAAGATAAACATTGAACAGCTGGGAAAACTATAAACTGCTACACAAATGTTAAGCATTATCAATGTGTTTTCATAAGTACAAAAAATATAGCTATTTCTTTGTCTAAAGAGACAGGGACAGAAATTATGAGAGACAAATGGAGAAGGTACACCTTATTAACTAAGAAGTAATAAATAACCTTCTTCACATAGTTCCACTTTTGCTTTTTCTTGCAATATCAAAACTATAATCTAGTCAGAATATTAATCAGTGTTAAAGGGTTGAAAATATTCCAATTGCACACAGTGAAAATTAAATTATGCTTGAAGCTGGCTTCAAAATACTAATACAAGTATGATCTTGTCTCCAGAAGCCAAGCAGAATTTTCAAGGAGAATACTAGGATCTCTAAATCTCTAGCTAACATGTTAAGCAGATTCTTACCACCCACATATGTTCTTTAAAAGCTCATTAAGTATTACAAACATTATGTTCCGTCATTATGAAGATGAAATCCCATTAAAAATAAAATTGAATTTCCTGGAAATGTAAAAAAAAAGTTACGAGGGGCAACAAAAGCGAAATAATAAAATCTCTACCATCTTGATCATCATCATAATCTTGTCTGCTTATATATATTTGAAATTCAATCAAATGAAATAGAGTTAAAAAGAAATAAGTTATCTCTAAAAATACAGCATTCATATCAGAGAATTTTACATATATATTAGTATGAAATTATGTCAAAAGGATAGAGGATCTAAAGCTCTGTATTTCCTTAATTAGGACTATAACCAACATTTTTAATGTACACTATAGTGTCTGTACTAAATTTAGGGTTACACCAAGGTTGGTGATTCAATCAGAAAGACATTTAAAACAATGATCAGATACCACTTCACAAAATTTACAATACTAATAAATACCCAGGGCTGTTGAGATTATGAGACCACCTATGCTGTCACAGACTGTTAGTGGACACTGGCCTGACAGAATCCTTTAAGATATAAAATATACACATGTTTTAACCCAAAATTCACTTCCAGAAATCTAATAAAAACACCCACATGTTCAAAAAGTTAATGTTTTCAAAGATATTCACTAACATATACCAATAACATCCTCAGTGTCTAATAAAAAGAATAGCTAAGTGTATTATCATACTTATATACTGGACTGACATAGAAAAATTTCCATGGCATAGTATAAAAATAAAAAGCAAGTTCCTGAACAATATATGTAAGAATGGCACCATTTTTTGTATAACATGTGCACGCACACACGTTTATGTAGCAGGAATAAAACATTTTTTGTCTGTTTTTTAATCGACTGACATTAAGGTTTCTGCCTGTGTTTAGAAAAATTCCTTACATAAGACGGGTACATAGACAGATAATCAAAGACCAGTAGTATCTCCCCTGAATTTGGAAATAGCAGCAAGTTAAGAAGCAAAAGAAAATAAAATAAGAAATTGATAGAAGAAACAGACATACAGAGAAAAAGAGGGAGAATATGGCAAGAAACAAGAACTGATAACATGTGGAGAAAGAACAGGGTTATTAAACGTTCAATTTTGAATAGTTCACCTTGTTACAACCCTCTCCTCACCACTATGGCTACTCCAACATTCACTAAAGTCTACAATACAAACAAAGGCTTTGTGAGAGTGACACTGGGTAAACTGAGCCAAGGAGCTACATTTCACCTCTGAATAGGCAGGAAGCAGAGAACAGAGAACATTCAGGGAAGGTAAGAGTTTAGCAGTATAAGAACTCCAAGAAAGAGGTTACCCTAACCAAGAAACTTCCAAAGCATATTTGATAATCACCTTGACATAATTTTATTTAAATCTCAAAAGACAGAGCAACCTCTGCTAACAACTGCATATGTATGTACATGTGTGGATATGTGTCTGTGCTATATTAATGTATAAGTATAAGCATATGTTTTAAAAATAAAACACTACATTACCCACATTTGATTTGTTAAAATATATTTTCTCTTTTATTTCACATTGTAAATATTTAATGCTCCTTTTTCCAAGGAACTAATAACTAATGGAATTTCCAGTTTAGCTTTAAGAACACAGGCCCTCCTAATTAGCAACTGGAGGAATTGCTAATTAGGAATTCAGAAAGGAGTCTCAGAAAGATGAGAAGAGATGCTCCTGCTCTCTCCCCTGCAGCTGCAGAGCGTATAACATTCTGAGTAAGAGGGCCTGTCCTGATAAGATATAGAACTGAAAGCATTCACATCATAAGTCTAGTATAGAAGCTGTGTATAAAGTTATAACTGCAATCATCCTGCTCTATTTTCTAAGATAAAACAGTTCTTACAAATGTTATTTGTTTCTCAAGCCATCTGGATTCAAAGAATCTTACTATGTCCTGTGATTCTAACCCATATCTAAAAAACTCTGGTTTTTTAATTGGTTGTCTCGTTTCAAAAGTGATCGCCCTGGTAAGACTATTTTAATGACATTTCTATTTATGAAGATAAAAATATTTGTCTTTGGATAACTATATTTTTTATAAATATGGCTTTGCTAACCAGAAAGGCTTTAAAATTTTATCTCTTCCCACCCTTCATGCATAAAAGTAAAATGAGCTAACTAATCTGGTAGATTCCTTATTTTTTAACATCATGTATATGACTTTTTAAATTGATTAACTGAATTTCATCAAAATTAAGAAATTCTGCACATCCCAAGAGACTGCTTAGAGGATAAGAAGACAGACTAGGAGAAAACATTTGCAAGTCATATACTGAAGACTTGTATCCAGAATATGTAAACAACTCTCAGGCTCGTTAACAAGAAAACAAAACAATATAAAAATGAGCAAAAGATGTGAATGTACACTTCACCAAAGATGACAAATAAGCACATGAAAAGATGTTCCACATTATTAGTCAATAGCAAATGAAAAGTAAAACCAAAATGAGATATCCCTACTCAACTATTAGAATAGCAAAAATTTCAAAGACCACCCATACCAAGTGTTGTTGGAGATAAGAAGAAACAAGATTTCTCATAAACTACTGGTAGGAGTGTAAAATGTTAAATACTACAGCCATTTTGGAAAACAGTTTGGTTTGTTAAAGTTTAAAATGCACCTACCACAGAATTGAGCCATTCTACACCTGGGTAGTTATCCATAAAAAAAGAAAGCATGCGTCCACACAAATACTTGCATATGAACGTTAATAACCATTTCATTTGTAACAGCCAAAAACAGAAAACAACCCAAATGGTCATTTGCAGATGCCCAGATAAACAAATTGTAGAATATGCAAACAATGGAATACCATTAAGAAATAAAAACAATGAACTTCTGATACATACAACAAAAATTAATTGTCCAATAATTATGCTTAATAAAATGAAGCCATTAAGAGTACATAATCTATGATTATATTTATATAAAATTCCATAAAATTCAAACTAATCGATAGTGACATAAGATCATGGTTGCCTAAAGACAGGGAAAGGGTAGGAAGAAAAGATTACCAAAGGGATAATCCCTTGATAATCATTTAGGGAGCAACGGATATCTTCATTATCTTGATTGCATTAATGGTTTTACAAGTGTGCATGTATGTCAAAACTTAGCAAACTGCACACTTTAAACATGTGCAGTTTATTGCATGTGGGTTATAAAAAATGGAAAAAGAATTATTGAGTCCCAAAATAAATATAAGGCAATGTTACATCACATTTTTAGTAGACTTTATGGAAAGAAAAGGTAATTAAACACTGAATTAGAGGGACAAATTAGAATTATCAGGCTTTCCAAAGGCAAAGAAAATGAGACTGGGAACATGATGACAAACTATGCTAACATTTCTTCACCTGGAAATTTTCCTGTTTACTTTAAATGATAATCCACAGAACCATGCTCCAATAGAAACTATGCTTAAAGGTACTCACATCAAGTGGACCATGAAGTATATTACAACATCATTTCCTATGAATTAGAAAGTTTCCCCACTTCTCCTTTCAAATATAGCTTTGCCATTAACTAGCTGACCCTAATTAGGAATTCATTTAACTGCACTGGGATTAATTTTTGTTCAACATTTCAAGTGGTTATTTTAGACTTGTATTAGTCAGGGTTCTCCCCAGAAACAGAACTATTAGGATATATATAGAGAGAGAGAGAAAGAGATTTCTTATAAGGAATTGACACATGATTATGGAGGATGACCAGCCCAAATCTGCAGTGTGAGCCAGCAGGTTCAAGACCCAAGAGGCTGGGCATGGTGGCTCACACCTGTAAACCCAGCACTTTGGGAGGCCAAGGCGGGCAGATCACTTGAGGTCAGCAGTTCGAGACCAGCCTGGCCAACATGGTGAAACTCCATCTCTACTAAAAATACAAAAATTAGCCAGGCATGGTGGCACATGCCTGCAATCCCAGCTACTCGGGAGGCTAAGGCAGGACAATCACTTGAACCTGAGAGGCGAAGACTGCAGTGAGCCAAGATTGTGCCACTGCACTCAGCCTGGGTGACAGCGAGACTCCATATCAAAAAAAAAAAAAAAAGTCCAAAGGTCACCCAGGAGTCAGTGGCACAGATGAAGTCCAAAGGCAGTCTGCTGGAGAATTCTTCTCTTACTCAGGGGAGGGTCGGTCTTTATGTTCTATTCAAGCCTTCAACTGACTGGATAAAGCCCACCCATATTATGGCAGACAATCTGCTTTACTCGATCAATAAAAATGTTAATCTCCTGCAAAATACTTAGAGAAATACTCAGAATAATTTTTAAACAAATATTTGGGCACCCAGTGGCTCACTCAAGTGGACACATAAAACTAACCATCACTGGACCATATAAACTTGCCTTGAAGATGAAGATGCCTTGCACCTCTAAAATTATTTAATTTCATGTTTATTAAAAATGAGCTCAGGACTTCTGTGTCCATGAAGATGAAACAGATGTAGTTTTCCCTGTTTTTCCTCCTAAGTACAACAAAAAACTGGACATTACATATAAAAAATAACCTGAAAAGACTGAAAAGTGATGAGAAGAAAGAAGACCTGCATAGGGACCTCAGGATCCTCAGGACCAAGGAGTGATACGGGTGAGTTCCCTGGATTTTCATTTTGCCTCATATATGCCTGGCTTGGAGCTAAAACAGCTGGCAGCCAGTGTATCTAACACCCTAGATACATCAATGAGTGCCAAAAACAAAAACAAAAAACCCAAGCTTCATTGCATTTCTGGGTAAACTATGGCTCAGAGAAATTAAATGAGTTGTGTTAGTCAAAGAGCTAGTAATTAAGAAAACAGATTTCAAACACATATCTTCTAATGTCAAACCGTGTCTTATATAGCCTAGAATAAATAACAAATGAGTAAATTCAAATTTGTAGAGACTGAATTATGAATGCAAGATAAACCAACTTCTAGGGAAACCGACAAAACAAATGCATCCCACACCCACCACCACCACCAAAAAAAAAAAAAGAAACCAACTCACTGATACCCATCAAAATGAACAAAAGTAATAGAAAAGAAAATGTAACCTGAAGACTGCACTGCCCTTCTGGTTAAAACATTTCAGTTGCGGGTGATGAAAAATTAAACTCAAATCACTTAAGCTAAAACACAATTGATCAGAAAGAACGTCAGTGAGAAGGCAAAGTAGGAGATACCAGCCTTCCTCCACCCACAAAAAACTATTATCCACAAACGAAAATAGCTCTAAAAGAGCTCAGGAGTTAAGGAGCTGCAGCAACACAGTAGAGCAAAAGCCCAAAAATAACTGCCCAAAGATGGTAAAAACAGTCTCATTTTTCCTGAATGAAGCCAACGGTGCTTAGCAATACAAGGAAACTCCCTGACCCGAGTTCCCTTCACAAGAGAAAAGATTAAGGTAAGCACCAGTTTCTCCATCCTTTTAGGGTTCTGCTGCAGTTATACTCCACCCAGATCAATGGGGAGACCCGCATAGCTGAGTCACCTGGAAACAGCTAGGAACAAAGAAGTGTGTGGCCTATTGGCATCAACCACATGGCAGGTTGTGGCCTTCTCAGCAAAAGACTCTAACACCTTTCAACATGGAGAAACTCAACTCAACAGCCCTTGGGGTCACTGCAGATGCCCCACAGTTGTGAGCACTGAGGACCTCAAGTGTTCATAATCATGAACCCCAGAGGCCTGCTTTGCAGAGGACTCAAGAAGCTTTCACCACTGAGGAAACCAATAGCCAGCCAAGCCACTGCAGACCCCCAACAGCTTTTACTAACAAGGGCCTACCAGTTTTTCACCTTCTCAGACTTCACTTGCCTAAGCTACCTTAGTAAGCATCACCATGGGCAACCCAGCCCTGGGAACCAGGGCAGCCACCCCACACATGTCCACTACCACCCCAGGGCCCTGCCACCAGGTTCAGCTTCCACCAGTGTGCACACTGCTGCAATCAGACCCTGCAAGCGCACACATGCAGATTTCAGGGCTGAAGCCCCAGTGCCAGATCCATAAGCACAGATAAGAGTCCAAACAGCCCTCACAGCTACCAAGGACCTCCCACAATTCTTGCCACCAATGACTATGTAGCTAACAATAACACAGAGAGCTGCCTGAAATGACGAGACACTGTGCCCCTGCCTCAGACCTGAAGCCACTGTATTCCCCCGTACTTAGCACTCCATGCCACTAGACCTGGTTCCATAGCATGCTACACAATATGCCCTCCAGTCAGCCCATCAGTGCTCTCCTCCTGCACATAAGATATTCATTTACTGAAGCTTGTGATGAGAGTAGCAGGCCCAGTGGTCTCCAAAATGACTTCAGGGTTATTCTTTCCTTGTCTTGGTGAACAGCACCTGGCTTCTGCCCATCCATACCAATCTCCTTATAACATGTGAACATTCATTTAGCCATACCCTTGGTGCTCTCTCCCAAACACACTTTTTCATTGTTTAAAACATGGCCAGGGTGACAATTTTCCAAATCTTTAAAAGTTCTGCTCCTCTTTTGATTATAAATTCCATCTTTAATTTGTTTCTTTTTGCATTTTACTATAAGCATTTAAGAGAAGTCATGCCTCACCCTCAACACTTCGCTTAGAGATTTCTTCCACCAAATATACTTTTTCACTGCTCAGTAGTACTGCCTTCCACAAATCACTAGGACACCAACACAATTCTGCCAAGGTCTTTATTACTTTATAACAACAATAGCCTTTCCTCTCATTTCCAATAAAATCTTCCCATTTCCATCTGAGACCTCATCAGAATGGCATTTACTATCCACATTTTTACCAACATTTTAATCATGACTACTTAGGCCATCTCTAAGAAAACTGGGGCTTTCTCTGCAGTTATCTTCTTCTGAGGCCTCACCACAATTGCCCTTAATGCTCCGTTCATGGCGGTGTAGGCTTTTTCTAGCATGTATGCCAAATTCTTCCAGACTCTCCCCATTATCCAGTTCCGAACCTGCCTCCACATTTTTAGTTATTTGTTACAACAGCACCCCACTTCTCAGCACCAATTTTCATCTCAGTCCATTCAAGCTACTATAACAAAATACCTTAGGCTGGGTAATTAAACAACAGAAGTTTATTGTTCACAGTTCGGGAGCAGAGTCTGAGAAGTCCAAGATCAAGGCACCAGCAGATCTGGTGTCTGGTAAGGGCTTGCTTCTCAGAAATGGCACCTTCTATGTGCTCTCAAATGGGGGAAGGCACACATAAGCTCCCTCAGGCCTCTTTTATAAGGGCACTAATCCAATTCATGAAGGCAGAGGTCTCATGACCTAACCTCTTCCAAAGTCCCCACCTCTTAATACCATCACCTTCGGGGGTTAGGTTTCAAATAAAAATTTTGAAGAGACATAAAAATTCGAGCACAGCACCATATATCTGATCATGACAAACTCCAAAATACATAAGGAACTTATATAACTCAATAGCAAAAACTCAACCCAATTAATAAATCAGCAAATGACCTAAACAGACATTTCTCAAAAGAAGAAATTCATGTAAGTACTACACACTAACTGATTGTGCCACTGGAGCACCCGAAAAGAAGAAATTCAGATGGTCAACAGGTATATAATCTCTAATCAACAAGAAAATATAAAGCAAAACCACAATGAGATATCACCTTACATCTGTTAGAATAGCTATTAGCAAAGACAAAAGATAACAAGTGTTGGGAAGGATGTGGAGAAAAGTGAATCCTTATACACTGTTGGTGGGAAAGTAAATTGGTATAGTGTATGGAAAACAGTAAGGAAGTTCCTCAAAGAAATAAATATAGAACTACCATATGATCCAGCAATCCTACTTCTGGGTATATATCCAAAGGAATTGAAAACGGAATCATGAAAAGACATCTGCACTCCCATGTTCACAGTAGCATTATTCACAATAGCCAAGTAATGGAAACAACCTAAATATCCTTCAATGGAAGAAAAGATAAAAATAAAATGTGGTGTGTGTATATATATACATGCACACACATATACACACACACACAATGTAATATTATTCAGCCTTAAAAAAGGATTCTGCCATTTGCGGCAAGCTGGATGAAACTGGAGAACAACTCAAATAATATCAACAGGACCCAATCTTCGTCCAGCTATTATCTCTGTACTTGGCTCTGCTCTCACAGACCAACTCTCACTAGTGGCAAGATGGCCATCAGCAACTCCAAATTTCTATCCCTACTCAGGGGCATATGTGTGGGTGTGCATTTGGTGCACCACACAAAGTACCAAAACAAGGGGGCAAAGGAACTGAATCTAACCAACACGTCACTCAGCTCTGGCATCTATGAGAAAGAGGCATATTTTTCTTCACACCAAGCCATCTTCAGCAAGTTATGCATTAGAAGACACCTTTCTATAATTCATCCATCAGAGGGGCACTGTTTGGTAATTACTCTCACAGAGACATAACGTAAGCTAGCAGAAGCCTGACTCAAACAGAAATCCCAAATTCACTCTGATTAAATGTAATTGTTTTGATTTGGGACACAGATCTGTCTCTGAACTAATCACTATAGCCTAGAGCCTAGATTTTAAAAATCTCCACCTGAAGTACTTGGACTGAAAATGGCAGGAGTGATTTCCACCCAAAGCAAGATCAGTGTGTTGTTTCAAAGGAAGGGAGAACTGTACATAAGATAGAAAAAACAACAAATGTCCATGGCTTCACAGTACCTTTAGAAAAAAAAATCCAAACTTCTTACTAAGGCCACAAGGCCCTGCATTTGGCTCAAGCCTATCCCTACAAACCTATCTTGACCCATTCTGTTCCTCTCTCGCTAAGCTCCAACCACCCCGGTCTTCATTCAGTTCCTCAAACATGCGGAGCTTTTTCTCACTTCAGGTCCTTTGCCCATATTGTTTTACTCTACTGGAATGTTTTCCTCAATTTTTTCATGGCTAATTCTGCCTCATCTTTCAAGACTCAGAGCAAATGTCAGCTCCTCTGACAGGGCCTTCTCTTCTCCAGGTATTCTCCATCTCAGTCCCCTGCTGCTTCCCTTTGAAATATATATGGCAATATTTTATTTATTATGTTTATTTTTGTCTTTTTCCCCAGCTTACTATAAACTCCATGAGAAAAACAGTAGAATTCACCAGTAACTTATAGCATTAAAGGAACGTAGCTGAACTGCAAATGAATTGGGTAAATGTATGGATTAATCAGTGAATTAATGGATCTATATTGAAAACAAGAAAAGTCCTAAACACAAACTAAACATACCAAAGCTATCAACAAGATGCAATTTAATTTGATCCACAACGAAAGTCAACACTCGGTGCTGATAGTTTGCAGGTATAGTTAGGGCTCATTACGAAGTGGAAGACATTCTAATTAACCCACTTATGCCTAGCGTTCCATTATTGGGATGCTAAGCATGTGGAAGTTATTTATATCCTACTGCTCAGGGTCATCGCCAAGGTCTGATTGCAAAAATTCAAAATATTGCCACCTCAGGTATAAATGGGTTAAACGTTCTTCTAATTGTCCCTAGCTTAGAAGGGTAGGGGCCAGGGACATGGCTCATTAGGGAAGGGTGAAAGTACTCCAACCTGGAGCTCCTTCAACACGAAGGACTTCTGCCAGCAGATCGCCTTTGGACTCAAACTGTAACTCTTCCCTGGGTCTTCAGCCTATTGGTATACTCTGCAAATTTTGATCAAGCTTCCATAATCACATGAACCATATATATATAGATATATATAGATATATATAGATATATATATATACACACACACACACACACGTGTGTGTGTGTTTCTCTCTGGAGAACTGACTCATCAGTGAGTATGGTCTATAGAGTTTTAAAATTAAAAAGATGTTAAGTAAGAATTATATACAAAACCAAACTGTATTTCACTTGTCACAAGAACAAAGATTCTTAAGTATATGAGAGTTCAAGAAGTGAATGAAATCTTTGTATCTTCCTGAAGTTTGTGTTAAAAACACAGTCTAGCTAACTAAAGAAGTGAATAACCGTAAGTCATAAAAACTGGGAAACTACAGAAAAAAGTACTAGTAGTGAGCAAGAAATCAATTTAAACACAATTTAAATAACTGGCAAACATGATTATAAAACCAAATAAAACTGTTTAATCTTTCAAAGAAAGCTGTATCATATGAAAATAATAATGTAATAAACTTGATAAAATACAACTAACAAAAACTGCCGATTAGGCTGGTAGTATAGTGGTTTTTATTTTCATTTTATGAGAAGGAAAAAAGCAAAAGAACATTAAAAAGTGAAAGTTAAACCAAGCATACAATAAATATAAATAAAATAAATTAATATGTATTAATGCATGACCTTTTCTTTGTATTTTATGTTTATGATTTTGTCTCACTGACCTTAGATATGCCTTCTTATCAGATATATAAAAGCCTAGGGAAGTTTTGTATCCTTGGTGGTTTCGCCTTACTCTGGTTTAAATGTGTCCCCTAGAATTCATGTGTTGGAAACTTAATCTCCAATGTGACAATGTTATGAGGTAGGGTCTAATGTAAGCATTTCTGTCATGAAGCTCCACCTCATGAATAGATTAATACCATCATTATTAAAAAGGCTCTAGGAGTGCGTTCTTTCTCCTACTCTCTTTCTGTCCTTCCACCTTTCACCAGTTGAGGACAAAGCACACCATCTTGGAATCAGAATCACCAAACCTATCAGTGCCTTAATATTAGAATTCCCAGCCTCCAGAACTGTGAGCCAGAACACCCAGTCTGTGGTATTCTGTTACAACAGCACAAACCAACCAAGACACACCCATATCAATTATATTATTTACTTATTTAAATGTTTATTGAGCACAGGTACAACGCAAAATCCTTGACTACAGTAAATATAATAAGACATTAAAAGTAACAGCAAAAAAGCAATTAATTTTGCACCAACCAATCCTGCTCTCATGGAATTTACAGTCTAATTGGCAAAATATAAAACAAAATATTAGCAAAGATAATCCAGCAATACATTAAAAAGATAACAGCTGCACTCCAGCTTAAGCAGTAAAGCTGGACTCTATCACTTAAAACAAGTAAAATAAAACAAGTAAGGGTGGTTTCTTCCAGGAATGCAGGCACAGTTCAATATTAGGAAGCATTCACATAATTCACTAAATTATGAAATCAAAGGAGTAAGGCCATTTGGCTAGCATCCTGGGTGATGAATACACATTCAATAAAATTTGTCACCATTCCTGGTTTTTAAAAATCCTTATAAAACAAAAATATATTAATATAAATTTAATTTTTCTGGCTCACGCCTATAATCCCAGCACTGTGGGAGGCTAAGGTGGGTGGATCACATGAGTCCAGGGATCGAGACAAACATGATAGAATCCTGTCTCTACTAAAAATACAAAAATTAGCTGGGCGTGGCAGCACACGCCTATAATCCCAGCTACTTAGGAGGTTGAGGCATGAGAATCACTTGAACCTAGGAGGCAGGGGTTGCAGTGACCCAAGACAGGGCTACTGCACTCCACCTGGGCAACACAGTGAGACTCTGTCTCAAAAAATACATATATTTTTCTTAATATGGAAAAAAAAGCCTGTATCATGTTTAGTGATCAGGTACTAGAAGGCTTTCACTAAAATCAGAAATAAAAATAAGGATTCCCACTAACCAGGACAAGCCCCCAAAATAACCCATATGTAAGCTAATCTTTGAATTTTTTTTTTTTTTTTTTCAGACAGAGTCTCGCTCTGTCGCCCAGGCTGGAGTGCAGTGGCGCAATCTCGGCTCACTGCAAGCTCCACCTCCCAGGTTCACGCCATTCTCCTGCCTCAGCCTCCCTAGCAGCTGGGAATACAGGCGCACACCACCACACCTGGCTAATTTTTTGTATTTTTAGTAGAGATGGGGTTTCACCATGTTAGCCAGGATGGTCTCGATCTCCTGACCTTGTGATCAGCCTGCCTCGGCCTCTCAAAGTGCTGGGATTACAGGCGTGAGCCACTACGCCCGGCCTAATCTTTGAAATTTAACTGAATCCAATTAAACTCTTCCCATGTGTAGTGAGTGGAAGCCTACAATTTCAACTAATCACTAAGAATTCCATCTAGGTGTGTGAGTAAAAGAGTAAGTGGCTGATGGTTTTCTAGGTATTTCAGGATCTAGTCCTCTGGTTACCCTTGTCCTTTACCATCAAGACTGACTGTGTCAACATATGGAGGATAATTCTAAAAGTAAGAGGAAGTTCTGATATCCAAATAGGAACTACTCCACAACAGTAATGCAATGTGAATGAGCACTCTTAAAGATAAAGAAGTTGGATAAACAACAAAAGGGAAAGTAAATTCCCAATAAGGGATTGGGGTTGAGGGAAGGGTAGCTACTAAGGCCATTAAATGAAGCCACTCACTCACATTTCAGAAACTTGAGAAATTGGTTGAAGATCTGGGCCAACTGGAAGACAGACAACTAATATCTCAACGAAGCATTCAGACCCACAGTATGAAGACTGTTGGATAAAAAGGTTAGCTGTATAAAAATGACAACTCTGTTGCCTATCTGATTTGCCTGTCACCTTCTAGTGTTTACCGTCACATTTTATCTAAAATCAGAAACAAAGGATATGTGGTCCATGATTATTTTTTTGTTGTTATTTAGTGGCAGTAAATAAAAGAGATCCCATACTCTGATTTATAATACATCACTAGTCTATTAAAAGACATTAAGGCCGGGTGCAGTGGCTCATGTCTGTGATCCCAGCACTTTGGGAGGCCAAGGTGGGTGGATCACCTGAGGTCGGGAGTTCGAGACCAGCCTGATCAACATGAAGAAACCCCATCTCTAATAAAAATACAAAATTAGCCAGGCATGGTGGCACATGCCTGTAATCCCAGCTACTTGGGAGGTTGAGGCAGGAGAATCACTTGAACCCGGGATGCGGAGGTTGCAGTGAGTGGCAATCGCACCATTGCACTGCAGCCTGGGCAACAAAAGTGAAACTCTGTCCCAAAAAAAAAAAAAAAAGACATTAAAAGAAAGTAAATCTAATAAAACAGAAACATAATAGAAATGATTTTGCCTTTCAATTTAATGTGGAAGAAGCTTTCCTCACGTATCTAAAATGATACAATTTTAGTCATAGTTATTACTCAGAATAAAATCCAAATAGCCTTTGTCACTAACTTGTCACTAACTCTAGTGTCGAGAGTCTAATGTCACTAACTCTGGATCAGAAAGATCCAGAGGAATACCTGCTTTTTTTTCTGACCCCATTAGAACTACAACTAATTACAATTATACTCATCAATAAAACTGAACCTCATGAAAATCTATGGAAATTGAGTTTCCTCCCTTCATCCTAACTTGGGTATCACAAAAAGTATTTTAAACTGACAAAAATATAATAATATACTAACCTAGTTTTATTGCATTATTTATATGTAGATGCTTATAATTTGACTACCAAACCAAGTATCAAGATAGTTGAGATAGACAAGAAATCTCAAATTCGGGTTTAAGTTAACTGCTGATGTGCTATTACCAGACAATGACAGTGCAGGAACTATAATCTTTTTACTTGCATGTCTTAATAACTGAAAGAAAATAAGAAGGACATTTTACAAAAGGACATCTTACAAAAAGAGTAGCTCTAACAGGTGATGAGGGTCCCTTTCCCTAAAATAAAACACATGGAAAGAAACAATAGGGAAGGGAAAAAGAAACAGCCAGGTTTTTGACTCTTAGGTCATAGTAAGGATTTATCAAAATAAGTGCACCTATGTTCAAATGCAAGAATACAGTCCATTTCAGAGACAATATTAGTCTGTTCTCACACTGCTATGAAGAAAAACCCAAGACTGGGCAATTTATAAAGAAAATAGGTTTAATTGACTCATAGTTCCACAGGGCTCCGGAGGCCTTAGGAAACTTACATTCATGGCAGAAGGGGAAGCAAACATGTCCTTCACATGGGGGCAGGAGAAAGAAGTGCCAAGCAAAGGGGAGAAAAACCCCTTGTAAAATCATCCAATTGGCCGGGCACAGTGGCTCATGCCTATAATCCCAGCACTTTGGGAGGCTGAGGTGGGTGGATCACTTGAGGTCAAGAGTTCGAGACCAGAGTGACAAACATGGTGAAACCTTGTCTCTACTAAATTATTAGCCAGGAGTAGTAGTGCGTGACTATAATCCCAGCTACTCAAGTGTCTGAGGCAGGAGAATCGCTTGAACCCAGGAGGCAGACGTTGTAGTGAGCCGAGATCGCACCACTGCACTCTAGCCTGGGCAATGGGGCAAGACTCTCAAAAAAAAAAAACCATCCAATTTCATGAGAATTCATTCACTATCACAAAAACAGCATGGGGAACTGCCCCCATTATCTAATCACCTCCAATGAGGTCCCACCCCCAACACATGGGGATTAGAATTCAAGATGAGATTTTGGGTGGGGACACAGCCAAACCATATCATGGACTAATATATTCATTATTTAGATTTTCAGATGCAGCAGAGAAGTCAGAAGCCTAAATCCCTTCAGTCTTTTTGTTTGTTCTTCTAAATATACAAGTAATACATTGCTCACTGAAAACGTTTGGAAAATAAAAGAAGGTAAGAAACATCAAATGGACAATCTGACCGCCAAGAGATGACATTTTATATCAGTCAGGTTTTTTTTTATTTTTTTTTTGAGATGGAGTCTCGCTCTGTTGCCCAGGCTAGAGTGCAGTGGCACGATCTCGGCTCATTGCAAGCTCCGCCTCCTGGTGAACACTAGAGTGAGTGACAAGTTAGTCAGAGTGAGACTCCGTCTCAAGAGAAAAAAAAAAAAAGAACAGGGCTTTATTATGCAGTTCACAAAATCATTGAGAGAATTATAGAAACAGAATCAAAGTTAAACTCCCAGAAGCAATATCTGAAGCTACCACAGAAGGCCTGATGAAGATGATGCTTTCTTACTTTTACCATCATCCAATGCCAAGAGCCCAACTTTATTGCAACTGCTACTGCCACCAATGCCAACACCACTCTTGCATCAAGAATGTGATCTCAGCCAGGCTTAGTGGCTCACAACTGTAATCCCAGCATTTTCAGAGGCCAAGGCACAAGGATTACTTGAGCCCAGGGGTTCAAGACCAGCCTGGGCAACGTGGTAAGACCCTGTCTCTACCAGGAAAAAAAAAAAAAAAGAAAAGGAATGTGACCTCACAACCACTGGAAAACCTATGCTACTGCTGCTACTCTCATAACCAAAAACAAGACACATTTGCCACCACTCATACATCAAAAACGGAGATTTTAAATAGGGCCCCTTCCTGTCACTTGCCAAAGTCTCACTCACAGGTGGCTCTGATCTGAAAAGTAGAGGTCATTTGTCTGATGCCTAGCTGCAAGAGAGACTGGATATTATACACATACATATATTTATTTAATTATCCTGACAGGAAACACGGGTTCTAGATCAGAGACAGACTTTTAATTGCTCACAGAGCATCTTATGCCAGTTCCCCCGATTCCCTGTGGTGCAAAATAGTGAAAGCAGATGTCATCATCTGCTGGTGCAAGAGTTGGAAGCAAAGGAGAGGAACTCTGAAATTATCAAATGCAGAGCTTACATAGGAACTGCCAGCACATGTGCTCCTCCTTTCCTTCACAGAGAATGTAAACAAATCCCTTCTGTGGAGAGAAGAAAACGGTCTCTAGGTTTTTAAAACCCTTGAAGTATGAGCAAATGACTCAGGTTTTATTACCATTAGAATGCAAACTAATGGCTTCTTTAGGTCTACCACCTTTAGAATGTGAACAAATGGCTCTGGATCAACACACAATCTCAAACTTCAAAGGCATGTGTACCATTCATACATCCTTTAATGGAGGGGCCAAGTGTTCTATGCTCAAAAAATCATGAGTGTGCAGAAACATGAAAATATTCACAGACTATTGTTTCCCCATATGGGAGATTTACAATCTGAGCTGTAATTTGTATCATATATAAGGTTCATAACAAGGGAATTCCCAGGAAATGATTATACTCAGCCATGCATATGATAGCTGTCTACCACAATGCTGTTTAAACATTATGATGTTTATCATTCCTGTTTTTTTCCTACCATCTATGCTTATATTGAACCAAAGATCATCTCATATTTATACTATATTTGAAATTTTATTCTCATATAATTAAATTGTCCTACAAACAGTGGCGTTTCACACTTCAAATAAAATCTTAGGCTTATACATGTAAGATGTAGTCACCTGAAGCTGGATTGTTTGAAACAGTAGTAGAAAACTAGGATCCCCACCAATTAGTCTCCTTTCTTTGTTTCATTGTATATTACAGTGTAATAAAAATAAAAAAAAAAAGTGCACATTAAATGTAACATGCTTGAACCATCCCAAAACCATCCACCACCCCACCTCCAGTCCATGAAAAAAATTGTCTTCCACAGAACCTGTCCCTGGTGCCAAAAAGACTGGGGACTGCTGGTTTAAGCCACTCAGTCTTTGGTATTTTGTTGTAACACCCTGAAAAAACAAAAAGCCCAAGCCAACTAAGACATATCTACATACATTAATTTCAAGGAATGCTCCCATGAAAAGGAAAACTGGGGTATCATATATATTACACTGTCATCCTGTTTCTTTTTTTAAAAAAGAGATAAAGAATACTATATCTGTGATATATTATTGTATTATATATATAGTATTATTGTAGTATATATGAACACAGAAAAACTTTTGGAAGCAAACACAACGTACTCTTAACGCTAAATATCTAAAGGTATGGGTAGGGAAGTACAGGTGTGAGGTTACCTGGAACGGGGGCAGAGATTAACTTTTGCTTTAAACACAGTTCATTTTGTTGAAATACCTAGATTAAGAAAATGCACATCTTCCTAATCCTTTTTTTATTAGGCATTTTTAAATTAAAAATGTACTTTAGATTTTATCTAATTCTTCAGCAACAATCAATGAAATCACAATTTCAAAAATATTGAACTAAATTGTATTTCTATAAAATATAGTACTAACTCATAAAACATGATGATAGATTTTGTGGGCCAGGATACTACTTAGAAATATTACAGTTATATTCATAAGATTAGTCTGTTTATATCTATGTGTTATTGTCAATTTTTGATATTATGCTACATTCATAAAGTAAATGGGGAGCGTTCTTTGTTTTTTCCATGACCTGTGTTAGTAAACTTGGATTCAAGTTTCATATCTGCCACTAATTATCTATGTAACCCAGTAAGAGAAGTGAGTTCACAGTTAAGAATTCAATAAAGAATGGATGGAAGTAGGGAGGCAGAGAACTCCATGTCAAGATCTCTAATAACCCTTTTTAAATTATCCTTTTGCATATAGGAAGATCATAGTTCCTATTATATCCTATTCTATCACACAAAATCATACACCCAATGGAAGCAAATGTTCCTTCAAGTTAACTCAAGTTCTATTTGTAAATACTATCTACAACCTCAGAGATAAGCCTCCTAGCTGTGAGGGGTACACAGCACCCTAAAACAGAAGCCAAAAAGATCCAGAGGTGTGGATATATTCTGCCAACAAAATTATGAATAATATGCAAAGGTAAAAAAGTAAATCCCTTGAGAGGCTGAGGCAGGGGGATTGCTTGAAGCCAGGAGTTCAAAACCAGCCTAGACAACATGGCGAGACCCCTTCTCTTAAAAAAAGTGTTTAAAAATTAGTCAGGTGTGGTGGTACACACCCACTAGTCCCACCACTGAGGTCAGAGGCTGAGGTGGGTGGATCGCTTTGAGCCTAGGAGTTGGAAGCTGCAGTGAGCTATAATCACACCCGTGTACTCCAGTCTAGGCAACAGAGCAAGACCCCATCTCTTAAAAAAAAAAAAAGAAAGAAAGAAAAAGAAAAAAAAAGTAAAAAGTAAATCACTGATTTGTTAGACCATGGGCATTTTGAATTTAACACTCAAGGGTTGTGGCTCTCCCCCAAAGGAGGAAGACATTTCAAAACATGAAATTATTTTGCTGTGGCACTAATTTAAAGCATATTTCCTGGAAAATACAGTACAGAAGTCACTTAACGAACAGTAAGTAGAATAGCCTATTCAGAATCTACATCTCAATGAGACTGTGTTAAAATGTAAACCAACTCTGAATGCTGACAGAGATTTAAAAAACTGAAGTTTTGGATAAAATAAAAAGAATAACGACGTGTTTGGCAATAGATCAGATATATAACATAAAGCAGTCTGTAACAGCTCTATGTGGACACAAGAAAAAGTTCTCATAAAAGTGTTTTACCCAATGAGTGCTCCCAACAGCGCTCTGCTTATCAAGCGAGAAATTAAGCTTTAGTGGACATTTTAACAGCAGTAGAGAAAGGATATGCAACTACTCCATGGAAATATGTTTATGAAGAAAGCCAGGAGCCTCTACAAACATTTCCATATTCACCTTGGATTTATTCCTAGCAAATGTCAAGGGTCTTGTGTATAAAATTCCTGTGGGAAAGAGATTCACTGCCAAATGGTCTGGATATATTAGAATTCAAAATTAAAAGGAGGCCAAGTTAATGGGTTTGCATTACAATTCTTTCATTCCTCAATTATGTAAGTATGAAGTTCACATACGGCTAGTTACTGATTAGGAGGGCGAAAAAACTATATTTCTTCTATAAACACAACACTCTGGACTTGAATTCTGATTTTTGTTTCCTTTCTGCCATTTTTCTCTCATACATTTAGAGCAAAATTTTTACACTATTAAAGAAACCGAATGGATCACCTAAGTAATAACTAATAATTCTATGCAAAAAACAGGGGTGGGGGTATATGCATATTGAAGCATAGTAAGAAAAAATAACACTACATTTAGAAATAAAACCGAATTATTTTAAACAACATTATAGATTTGGGAAACTTATGCAAAAACTGATTTAAATTTTCTTTTAACATTTTTACTTTGTAGACAAGACTATAAGAGAGAATTGTTAAAACATTTATAAAGAGCACCTTGAGTAAACAAAAAAATAAGCAAAAGACTATATTTACAAATAAACTATATACAGTAGACTATAGCATACAGTGAGTTTTTTGTTTGCTTAGTCACACTTTTAAATCATCCTTCTGAAAACAACAGCCCACGTCCTCTGAGGAACTTCCTAATTCATGCAGTCCTCTTGTCAATAAGGGTATCACTCTCCACCCCAACCTCAATAAAAGGGCCATCCAGGATTCTACTCTGGGAAAGAGAAACCATCTTTCTGTTAGCATAAATAAAACCAGCAGGTTATTTTTCTTTTTTGAGAACTCCTCAAAAGTTTTTATTCTTATTCTTTTTTTTAACCAGCACATTGCCTGGTATATACTGCCAGGTAGGCATTCAATAAGCTTTTTTTTTTAATAGGCAATTTATAACACTGGGAAAATTTCATTTCAGTGAAATGATAATCATGTTTTTGGAAACACTGAAATGAAATTTCACCTTACTTCACCTTATAAATTGTACCTCATTCTCACCTTGTTACAGGTAGTTAGATAGGCATGAGCAGGGCAGGAGAGAGCTCTCCCCCTAACCACTAGGAATATCAGGTGAGGTTTGACAATTATCACACTGCCCCCTCTAAAAATGATAATTTGGCAGCCCATTCAGGGCGCCAGAGCGAGGCCATTTCCTGATGATCCACAGCTACTAACATTAAAGTGTTAGTTGAATGCAGATGCCAGGGAGAAAAAACTTCCTGGTCATGCTCACTAAGAGACAAAATGGCGAAATATGACCTTCCGGGTATACACCACCGGAAAAAGGGAAGAAAGCCTCAGACAGGCATGTATGCAACTTGCTAAACACACTGCATGAGCTCCAAGGGTAAGGGAGGCACTGCGCATGCGGGAAACCCACCCTAACGGAAGAATCTTGGGAAAGAGGCGAACCTATAAAGCCCTAGGATCAAGGTAATACATTCTCTTTGACCTTCAGGCACCCTCTTGGATCTCTTCCAAGTAAGCTTTCCTTTCTTTCCTGTTCTAAAGCCTTTTAAATAAACTTCAACTCCTACTCTGAAACGTGCCTCGGTCTCTTTTCCTGCTTTATGTCCTTCAAAGTCTTTCTCTGAGGAGGCAAGGACTGAAGTTGCTGCAGACCCGCACAGATGTGCTGCTGGTAACTCAGGGTAACTCGGATCTCTTCCACCGGTAACAGCCTGACTCTGATAGAAGTTTTGTCCCTGCTTTTATAAGCCACCTCAGACAGACACTGGAACATGTTAGACAACACTTAAATGCTTCGGAAGGGCATAAAAAATTCTAAAAAAAATTCAAGAGCTGTCATAATTGCTGGGAAGACTGGCTTCTGCAGCCCAGTGTGGCTTCACACTAGTCAGAAGACACAGATTCTGTATCCCTCCCCTACCTGGGACCTCCAGGAAAACTCCTCTGGTTGATTCTCAAGAGTCTTCCAAAAAGGCAGAGGGCAGACCAACAGACAGGGGCAGTGAACTCCTCTAACCGGTCCAGGTCTCACACAGCTGTTTATCAGCAGTTTAGCTACTAAGCATGTCATATCCTACTGGAAGTATCTCCTAGCAGGAGGATATTAATCTCCTGCTTCCTACAGATAATTTCCAGTACAGGAAAGAAGTCCATTCATAAGAGAAAATCAGACCAAAACAAAGAGAAGCATACCCCAAAAACAGAACTGCCTGAGAACCAGATCCAGCAAAGCCTGAAGCCTCTCCTACTCACTCTGAACCTCACCGGTACATGATCTATATATGTCCTCGTTTAAGTTAGTTTGAGTCGAAATTCTGTCAGTTACCCATGAAAGGGGCATGTTAACTTATTTGTATCCATCTACTAAGGCAGGCCCCTAGGAAAGCCTATTATGTAATTAAATGAATTTATCTTCATCCAGAAAAGCTGGGGAACAGGGTTACTAATTAACTAAATCTTGCAATATACTAAAAATGTGAACAGGCAATTTTTCAAGAATTTAAAAATATATTTTAAAATAAACTTTTAGTGTTACATAAAGTAGTTTAGAATTCATCATAAAATCACTACAATTGCCACTATCATTTTACAATCGAAGTTTTCCATTTAGAAACAGTATACCACTGTGGTTGAGACTACTGGCTTTAGCTCTAACAAGATGGGTTCAAATTGCGGCTATGCTATGAAATAGTTATGAGATCTAAAGCAAGTTATTTAATGTCTCTGTACTTTGGTTTCCTCATCTGTTATCTAAGATGCCAATACTTATTACCTCATGGGATTTGGGGAAAGATAATACATGTAAATACATGTAAAACATTTGTAATCGGGCCTGCTCCATCAAAGCACTCAATGCATTAGCTATTTTTTAGAATTGTGTTATGTATTTTAGTCTCATCTAAAAACAATGTCTGCATTTTGGTCAAAGGGAATAAAAACTATAAAGAATTTAAGTTTAAAACCTCAGAAGTCAGGGTTCCATTGTTATTCTTCACTAAGTGTATGGCTTGTATGCACCCAACAACAGAGCAGATAACACAAAAACTACTGGGAATGCAGGGATAACATCGTTAAAAATACATAAGCACTAAAGCTTTTCATAATCCTTTTACAGTATCAAACAGTCCAAGTATACCAAAAAATAAAAACATAAAGAAAAATACAATTAACAAACTTAAAAGCAATAGTATGAATGTTTACATCCCTAAATAGAGAATGTACATTTTTATAGTAATAGAACATGAACAAAAATCTACCAGGTACCTATTCACACAGAAATCATAAACTTATTCAAAATAGCGTGGCTAATGCTCTTTTATCACGATTCCAAAAATCAGAAATAAAAGTAAAATAATGATGAAAAGTGTTAAAACACTTAAGAATTAAGAACTCATTGATAGTATGGAGATTCCTTAAAGAACTAAAAGTAGGCCAGGCACGGTGGCTCATGCCTGTAATTCCAGCACTTTGGGAGGCCGAGGCGGGTGGATCACAAGGTCAGGAAATCGAGACCATCCTGGCTAACATGGTGAAACCCTGTCTCTACTAAAAATACAAAAAATTAGCCGGGCGCAGTGGCGGGTACCTGTAGTCCCAGCTACTCAGGAGGCTGAGGCAGGAGAATGGTGTGAACCCGGGAGGCGGAGCTGGCAGTGAGCCGAGATTGTGCCACTGCACTCCAGCCTGGGTGACAAAGCAAGACTCCATCTCAAAAAAAAAAAGAACTAAAAGTAGATCTACCGTTCAGTCAAGCAATCCCACTACTGGGTATTTACCCAAAGGAAAATAAGTCATTATATGAAAAAAACACATAAACAAAGTGTGATGCCTCATGCCTGTAACCCCAGCACTTTGGGAAGCCGAGGTAGGGAGAGGATCACTTGAGCCCTGGAGTTCAAGGCCAGCCTGGACAACACAGTGGGACCTCATTTCAATTTAAAAAGAAAAAAAAGACACATGCGCAGGCATGTTTATAGCAGCACGATTCACAACTGCAAAGACGTGGAACCAATCTAAGTGCCCATCAACCAATGAGTGGACAAAGAAAATGTAGTATATATATACCACGGAATACTACTCAGCCATAAAAATGAACAAACTAAGTTCATTTTGCAGCAACTTGGATGGAACTGGAGGCCATTATTCTAAGTGAAGTAACCCAGGAATGGAAAACCAAATTCCGTTATGTTCTCACTTATAAGTGGGAGCTAAGCTATGAGGATGCAAAGATGTACATAATAAATTTTGGGGACTCTGGGTGGAAGGAGGGAGGTGAGGAGTAAAACACTAAATATTCGGTACAGTGTACACTGCTCAGGTGACGGGTGCACTAAAATCTCAGAATTCACCACTACAGAATTCATCCATGTAACCAAAAACCACTTGTACCCCAAAAGCTATTGAAATTTTAAAAAAAAGAATTCATTGATAATCCATGGGTAGAAAGAAATCAAAACAACTTATATCAATGTTACTGATAAAAGAACACTTTAACCCAAAATAATGGGATACAGTGACAGTTATACTAGCGGAAATATTGCATCCATCTCGCCCCTTTTGTTCAAAAAAGAAAGTGATTTTTTTTTTTGGAGACAGGGTCTCTCTCTGGCACCCAGGCTGGAGTGCAGTGGCACAATCATAGCTCACTGTAACCTCAAACTCCTGGGCTCAAGTGATCCTCCCACCTCAGCCTCACAAGTAGCTGGAGTTATAGGTACAAGCCACCAAGCCTAGCAGAACTCAGAAATCTTAATAAAGAAATTTAGTACTTGTTTTAGTCAGCTTAGGCTGTTGTAACATTCATTTCTCACAGTTCTAGAAGCTGGGAAGTCTGAATCAGAGCACCTGCATGGTCACGGTCCTGGTGAGAGCTCTCTTCCTGGCTTGCAAATGGAAGTCTTCTTGCTGTGTCCTCACATGCAGAGAGAGACAGAGAAAGAGAGAGAGAGAGACAAAGAGAGACGGAGAGAGACAGAGAGCAAAAAGGAAGTATCTCTCATGTCTCTTCTTCTAAAGGTACTAATCCCATCATGAGGGCTCTGCCTTCATAATCTAATCACCTCCCAAAGGTCCCATCTCCAAATACCATTATATTGGAAGTTAGGGCTCCAATATATGCATGGGGTCGGGGGAGGGACAGGGAACACAATTCAGTCTACAGAAGTACTCTTAGTAAAAATCTTATAAAATCAGAAGAATAATAGAAGAAAATAAGCCCAAAAAGATGAAATATAAAATTGGTCGAGAAAAAAGTTCAACGTAATGAAATAAAAATAAACTATAATAGCCAATATAAACAACCTAAAAGCTTATATTTTAAAAGTTCTATAAAATAGAGAAACCCCTTTTGAATCTGTTTGTGTAAAAAACGTTTGTGTATGTGTGTGTGTCTATGTCTGTGTGTGTATGATTAAAAACAAGAAAAAAATGCATTCCTGAGTAATTAAAATAATTATTTAAGACTGTATATAAGTATATGGCAACCAATCTGCTAACTTAGAGAAAAGAGATAATTCCCTAGAGAAATATAAAAGTTATTAAAAACTGATCTAAATAGAAGTAGAAAGCTTGAATAATTTCCTTAGAAGAGTTTGAAAGAAGAATTTAAAAGCTACCATTTTTAAAGAGAACAGAACCAAGTGATTTCACCAATGAGTTCCATCTAATTTCTAAGGTGCAAGGAATTCTAGTATTATTTAAACTATTCCAGGTCATAGAAAAATATTAAAATCTCTCCAATTTACTTTGGAAGTTAACATTATTTTAATAACCAAACATGACAGTGGACCAAAAATACACATAATTCAATGCCACTAAATAAAATATAATTTTCAGCAATATATCAAAAATGTTTAATAGTTTACTCAGTTGAGTCCATTCCAGGAATATAAGAATGGACCAATATTAAGAAAGGTGTCTTCATAATTAATTACATCAAAAAACTGAAGAATAAACCATATAACTGTAATAATGAATGACAAAAAGTATTTAATAAAAACTTAGTCATTCCTAGTAAGAACTAGGTAATTCAGTAACCAAATAATAGTATTTAAATAAGATAATGCTTCTTAACAAAACACATTAATACATATAAAAATAATCCTTAGACTTCTCTGATTAAATGTCTAAGAGACTCTTAATATAGCCAAATGCCTCAACTACAGTAAAATTTGGCAGTAGGAGAGAAGAAATGACAAATTTGAAATTTTATATATATATTCAAAATACATATATATTCAAACTCATAAACATAAGCATACATATATCTAGGTACTATATATTCACACATAGAAATACCACCAAATTCATATATAAAAATCTATGTGTATCCCTTCACAGAAAACATACACAATATACCTAATTATATATTTATATTTATTCTCTGTTAAAATTACTAGTTTACCTGTTTGGGATGTCGGAACAAGGAGTTCTTATAGAAAATGTCCTTAGCCTGGCTCCATGTACCATCAATGATGATGATTGTAGAAGGATAAACAGGAGAATCTAATATAAATTCTTCCAAATTAGCAGCTTCAGCCCCTGGATATAATATTAATGTACCAGACTTCCGGCAAACAGTTGAAAGTTCAGGATCTCTGAAAAAGTTTTTTAAAAATATATCTTTATTAGCTTGTGAGGAAAAAAGGTTTTATTATGCTTACTGAATTTCCTAATAAAAGTTTCCCTATATGTAGTCATTTGTCTAATCAAATATAAGTATTAGTTTATAAAGTATGAATTAAAAAGACTCAAAATTTTGTGTACTCTCTACTGATGTATTCACCACAATTCTGCCACTCTCCTCTAGGCTTTCCAATCCTCACTATTCTTCTCTATCAAAGCTTTTCTATCCAACTGCCAGTGACATAACTTTAGCCCTTCCAAAGAATTCTTCCTTTCCTCACTAATACTTCATGTGTAATCTGATCCACTTTATCAAAGTAAACAACTGGCACTGCCTAACAATCCTAGCACAAACAATCCTAACAATCCCAAGGCAAAATCGAGTAGCAATGGAAGAACCATAAAGAGAAGTTCGGTTGCATAGGCAAGCCACATTCTCAAATTCACCTTTGTTAAAGCCAACTAAATATGGCCTGAGAAGGACTCCATACTTCTATATTTGAGTCCTTATGGATGAACCCTAACCTATCTTAATAGGCAGACAAGATTGAAAACCTAATTTAGGAGTATGCACCTGTAACAATGGCTGAGTCTTGGCCAATCCCAGTGGCCATACTTCAACCATTCACAGAGTGCTAAGTGTTCAAACTGTGTTCAAATAAGGCACACCCCAACCTGTAACCAATCCAGCTGTTTCTGTACCTCATTGCTGATTTCTGTACGTCACTTCCCTTTTTTTTTTTTTGTCCACAAATTTGTTCTGACCACGAGGCATCCCTGGGGTCTCTCTGAATCTGCTGTGATTCTGGGGACTGCCCGATTCACAAATTGTTCATTGCTCAATTAAATTCCTTTAAATTTAATTTGGCTGAAGTTTTTCTTATAACATCGTATATTATCTATTGAAGGAAACCAAAATATTTCACTTCAAAATATACTTATTTGACATATGTTGACACAGCTGTTTAGAGGGCTTGCAAACAGCAGTAGCCTTGAAAAGCTGTTGCATCTGTAGAGAAAAACACATGGCAGCCAGGCTTTCTCTGAGGACCTTCCCTTGTCCAGATCTAGGAAATAATAACTGAAAGTCTGACAACCTTAATGGTCTGAAAGAAATATTTACCCTCTATTCTCTATGAAGGCTGCTATCGGTGCGGTTTCATCTGCATAACAAGACCACTTTTGCCAGCCAGGCCTCCTCTTCTCCCCGTCCCAAATGTTTTTGCCATAATAACCAGCTTTGCCATGCTCTAAGCCCCTATTCTTTCTGTAAACCTCAAGATGACATAAAAGCATCAACCATCTGGCCATTTCTCTGAGTTCTTATATTTCATAAGACTCCCTTACACGTCAATAAATTTGTATGCCTTTTCTCCCTTTAATTTGTCTTTTGTCAGATGATTTTCAGCAGACCTTCAGAGGGTGAAGAGGAACGTTCCCCTTGGCCCCTACACCATCATCCAGTTCCGTTATAGAGTTAGTTGATTCAACATTCATTCAAAAATGTGTCAAAGCTTTTTGGTACTGGAGACAAAACAATGAATGAGACACCCTTTGCCCACAAGCAAAAAACAAAACAAAATGCTATTAAGGGGAAAGGAGACAAATTATCATTTTTCTTTGAAATATAATTTGGACTTCCAAATTCAGCTCAGAAATAAAGAGTTTGAAAGTCATCAAGCCCATCTTCACAAAAAAAAATGCTAACAAACTGAAAATTAACAACTTTTCTTAGATTCGTCAGAGAATTGAGGCTCCAGGGCAAACACTCCAAAAACCAGAGGAAAAAAAAAGAAAAGTAACCATCTTGAAATAGCCCGCAGCATTCTCCATAACAAAGGCCTTTCCCTCAAGAGAAACTACTTACCACAGCTTTTTTCTACCTATTATTTAACCACAAAAAGAAATTAAGTACTAATATATGTTACAACATACATGTTACAACCTTGAAAACATTATGCTAAGTGAAAGAAGCCAGTCACAAAAGTCCAAATATATTATTTCATTTATATGGAATATCAGATATCAAATATGGATAACAAATAGGAAAATCAATAGAAACACAGAGTAGACTAGTGTTTGCTTAGGACTGGGAAGGCGCAGGGAGTTGGAGAGGACGGAGGGCATAGGGATAGGTAGGTGACAGTTAAAGGTAGAGGGTTTCTTTTTGAAGTGATGACATATTTTAAATTGACTGGTGATGGTTGCAAATATCTTTGGATATACTAGAAACCAATTAATTTGTACATTTTAAATTGGTAAGTTAAATGGTATGTGAATTACATCTCAATAAAGCCCTTTTGAAAAAAAAAAGGGATGAAGATATATGATAATACTAATCAAAAGATAATTCCAGGCCAGGCAGTGGCTCACCCCTGTAATCCCAGCACTTTGGGAGTCCAAGGCAGGAGCACTGCTTAAGCCCAAGAGTTCAACATCAGCCTAGGCAACACAGTGAGACTCCCATCTCTCCAAAAATGTTTAAAAATCAGCCAAGCATGGTGGCGTGCACCTATGGTCCCAGCTACTCGGGAAGCGGAGGCAGGAGAATCGCTTGAGCCTGGGAGGTCAAGGCTACAGTGAGTGAACCATGATTGTGCCACTACACTCAAGCTTGAGCAACAGAACGAGACCTTGTCTTAAAAAAAAAAAAAAAAAAAAAGTAACTGCAGTCTGCAATAGCTATATAAACTACAGACAAAGCAGACATCAGAAGGAAACTTATGAGGATGAAGAAAGGCATTACATAATAACAAGAGTCAATTCTCCAAAAAGACATAACAATCTTTTAACATGTATGTACTTAAAAATTCACTGTTCACAACATGTAAGGCAAAAACCAATAGAACTGAAAAAAGAAACAGACAAATCCAGTAATACAGTTGGAGACTTCAGTACAACCTTGTCAGTAACTGGTAGATCAAGCAGACAAAAAAATCAGTAAGGATATTGTTGGCCTGAACAGCATTATCAATCAACTTGATCTAATTGATATTTATAGAATAGTCCACCAACAACAAAATACACATTCTTCTCAAGTTCACATGAAACACTCACCAAAACAGACCACATTCTGGGCCATAAAACATACCCTGACAAATTTAAAATAGAAATCATACAAAGTATGCTCTCAGACTACAATGGAATTAAATTAGAGCCAGAAAACTTGCTGGAAAACTCCGCAGTATTGGAGATTAAACAACATACTTCTAAGTAAACCACGGGTCAAGAGATAAGTCCCAAGGGAAATTTTTAAATATTTTGAACTAAACGAAAATGAAAATACAACTTATCAAAATGTGTGGGAAGCAGCAAAAGCACTGCTTAGAGAGATATTCATAGCATTAAAATGCACATTAAGAAAAAGGAAAGACCTGAAAATCAACAGTCTGAGCTTCCTCCTTAAAAACACAACAACAACAAAAACAACAACAACAACAAAAGCTAGATAGGGCCATGCATTGTGGCTCATGCCTCTAATCCCAGAGGCAGGAGGGTCACTTGAGGCCAGGAGCTCAAGACCAGCCTGAGCAATGTAGCAAGACTCTGTCTTGACAAAAAAATTTAAAAAAAAAAAAAAAAAGCTAGAGAAAGACGAGCAATTTAAGCCTGAAGCAAGCACTATAAAAAGAAAAGAAAGAGTAAAACCTAAGATGGAAATCAGTGAAGTTCAAAATAGGAAGACAACAGAAAAAATCAATGAAATCAAAAGCTGACTGTTATAGAAGGAATTGTGTCCTCCCCAAAATTCATATGTTGAAGTCCTAACCCCTAGTAGCTCAGAATATGATGGTATTTAGAGATAGAAAAATCACCTTTAAAGAAGTGATTAAGTTAAAATGAAGCCATTAGGGTGGTCCCTATTCTAATCTAACTGGTATGATTATAAGAAGAGGAAATTTGGACACAAAAGAAGAGATGGCAGGGGCACACCTGTTCAGAGGGACAACCATATGAACAGGCAATGAGAGGGCAACCAACTGTAAGCCAAGGAGAGGCCTCAGGAGAAACCAAATCTACTGGCCTCTTGATCTTGGAGTTCTAAACTCAAGAACTGTGGAAAATAAACTTCTCTTTGGCCACCCAGTATGTGGTATTTTATTATGGCAGTCCTAGCAAACTAATACACTGGTTCTTTGAAAAGATCAATTAAATTGATAAAACTACACCTGAGGTAATCAAAAAAAAAAGAGCAAAGACACAATTACTGATATCAGAAATAAAAAGGGTGATCATTACTGATTCCAAAGTCATTAAGAAAATAATAAATACTACAAAAAACTCAATGCCCACAAATTTCATAGTTAGGAGGAAATTAACTAATTCCTTGAAAAACAAACTATCAAAACTCACACAAGGAGAAATACGAAAACTGAAAAGCTCTATGTCTATTAAAGAAATTGAATCGATAATTAATAATCTTCTAAAAAAGAAATCACCAGGCCCAGGTGGTTTCAGCAGTGAATTCTCTCAAACATTTCAGGAAGAAATGGTATCAATTCTCCACAATCTCTTCCAGATCCTAAAAACAGACAGAACATTGCCTAATTCATTCTATAAGGCCAGCATTACCCTCATATCAAAACCAAATAAAGGCATTACAAGAAAGGAAAACTATAGATCAATATCCCTTATGAATATAAAGGCAAAAATTCTCAACAAAATATCAGCAAATTAAATCCAAAAAGTTATCTATCATCACAAACCAGATTTATTACAGGGATGGAAGGTTGGTTTAACATTCAAAATCAATAAATGTAATCACCCACATCAATGGACTAAAGAAGAAACATCAAAGGACTGTATCAATTCACAAAGAAAACGCATTTGACAAAACCCAAAGCCCACTCATGATAAAAACTCTCCACAAACTAGGAATAGGGGAGAATGTCCTCAGTTTAGTAAAGAACATTTCCAAAATACCTATAGCTAGCATTATACGTAATTGTTCTCTAAGACTGAGAACAAAACAAGGATGTCCTCTCACCACTGCTATTCAATCCCTAGCTATTGAAATAAGAAAAGGGAACCAAAGATATACAAACTAGAAAGATGAAACAAAACCATATATACTCCTCAGAAGACCTAATCATCTATGTAGAAAAGTCCAGGGAACTGACCTAAATAAATAAATAAATAAATAAATAAATAAATAAATAAATAAAAATAACCTCCAAGAACAAGTAAATAAGTACAGCAAGGTCACAAGATATAAGGTTAATATACAAAAGTCAATTGCTTTCCCACATACTAGCAACAAAAAATTCACATTTGTAATTGTTTTAAATACCATTAAAATAGCCCTGCAAAAATGAAATTCTTAGGTGTGAATCTATTAAAATACGTAAAGTACCTGTATGTGAAACACTAAAAAACACTGATAAAAAGCAAAAAGGACTGGGCACAGTGGCTCACATCTGTAATCCCAGCACTTTGGGAGGCCAAAGCAGGTGGATCCCTTTAGCCTAGGAGTTTAAGACTGGCCTGGGCAACATAGTGAGACCTTGTCTCCATTAAAAAAAAAAAAAAAAAAAAAAAAAAAAAGCAAAGAATATCTAAATAACTGCTTTAGATTTACAGAATTATTGCAAAAATAGTACAGAGAATTCCTATATACACCACACCCAGTTTCCCTTATTATCTAAAAGTAAAATACATGAAAACAATAACACAAAAAATAGAAGGAGATTGCATGGAATTATATTTTTATAAGGTTCTTATGTTATATATTTAATGTATAATGTTATTAATTCAAGGTAAACAGTGATAAAGTAAGAATACATAGTATAATCCAAAGACTAACCACAAAAGGCATACCTAAAAAGCCAGCAAAGAAATAGAATGGAACGCTAAGAAAAACTTAGTAACCCAGAAGAAAGACATAAAAGAGGAACAAAAGATCAAATAACTGATAGGACTAATAGAAGACAAATATCACTATGGTATTCACTGGTAATGTAAAAGAAAACAAGTCAATAACTACATCCAGGAAAATGAAATAAACTCCCCAATTAAACAACAGAGATTGTTAGATTAAATTTAAAAACCAAGACCCATACCATATAAACACTAGCACCCACACATAGTAGACTTTAAGACAAAGAGTATTACCAGAGATAAAGAAAGACATTTGTGATATTGTGAAATATATATTTGGTCTTCTTTCCGTTTCCTGGAATACAACTCCTAAAATCCTTAGAATCTTCAAAGTGTTGTTTTTTTGTATGCTAATATTGACTGACAGCTCCAGGGTGGGATTAGTCACTGGAAAGACTAAGGGGAAGGAGAGAGGCTAAAGGTCAAGTTGATCACCAGTGGCCAATGGCTTAATCAATCATGCCTGAATGATGAAGCCTAAATAAAAACCCAAGCAGACAGGGTTCAGAGAGCTGAACATGTGGCCATTCCTGGAGGGTAGTGCACCAGGGAAGGCATGGAAGCTCTGCAGCCCTTTCTCTGTACCTTGCATTACGTATCTCACCTGTACCCTTTGTAATATCCTTTATCATAAACTGGTAAACATTAAGTGTTTCTAACTAACTGAACCCAAACCAAGAGTTGTGGAAGCCCCAACTTGAAGCTGATCAGTCAGAAGTTCCTGAGGCCCGGACTTGCCAATGGTGTCTGAAGCGGGGAAGGGGCAGTCTTGGGAACTGAGCCCTCATCCTGTGGGATGTGACACTATCCCCACGTAGGCAGGGTCAGAATTGAACTGGAAGACACCCAACTAGTATTATTGCAAAATTGACTGCTTGCTTGCTTGCTTGCTTGCTCGCTCGCTTGCTTGTGGGGAGAAATCCTCACATATTTGGGGGTCTCGGAAGTTTTCTGTGTTGAAGTTTGTGGTGTTGACACCACAGCAGAGGAAAAATGGTTGAGAGTTTTTCCAACAACACATAATAATGATAAAAGGACTAGTGCATCAAGTTAACATAATAATACGAAATACATATTCACCTACTTGAAGAGTTTTCAAATAGATAAAACAGGAACCAAAAGAACAAAATGTAAAAATAAACAAATCCCTAATCATAGCTGGAGATTTTAACACAATTTCCTTGATATTTGAGAGAAAACATGCTCATAAAATCAGTCAAAATACAGAAGATTTGAATAACACTATCAACCATCTTGACCTAATTGATAGTTTGTGTAACACTACATCTGACAACTGAGGAATATAGTCTTTTCTTGTGCATATAGAATATTTACCAAAAGACAGATCACATGCCAGAACACAAAACAAGTATCAATAAAATTTTTAAACCTAAAATCACAGAGTATAAACAAATAAGAGTAGAAATCAAAATAAACATAATCATGATACATCTAAAACTTCCCCAAATATCTGGAAATTAAGCGACACACTCCTGAACAATCCATGTGTGAAAGAAGAAATCACAAAAGTAATTTTAAAATATTTTGAACTGAACAAACCAAAATCACAATATAACAGAATTGGTGGGATATATAAAGCAATGGTTAAGAAGAGAAACTTGGCCAGGAATCGTGGCTCTCACTTGTAATCCCAGCACTTTGGGAGGCCAAAGGGGGTAAGATACTTTGAGGCCAGGAGTTCAAGACCAGCCTGGGCAACATAGCGAGACCCTGTCTCTACAAAAGAAAACTTTTAATTGAGCCCAAGAGTTCAAGGCTACAGTGAGCTATGTGTGTGCCACTGTACTTCAAGCCTGGAAAACAAGACCCTGTCTAAAAAAAAAAAGGAAAAATTTATAGATTTACAGCTGAAATGTTTATATGCACGGGCCAGGCACAGTAGCTCACATCTGTAATCCTAGCACTTTGGAAGGCCAAGATGAGAGGATCACTTGAGGCCAGGAGTTTGAGACGAGGCCAGTCAACATAGCAAGACCCCATCTCAATTTATTTTTTTTTTAAATTTATGCTTATATGAATGAACAAAAAGTTTTAAAATCTGTTATCTAATCTTCTACTAAAAAAAGAAAAAAGAGAAATTAAATCCAAAGCAAGAAAAAAATTGACAATAAAGAGTAGAAATCAATTAGAAAACCAAACAAAGAAAAACACAAAGCCAAATCTTGATTCTTTAAAGAGATCGACCAAAACAGACTAAGAAAAAAGAAAAGACACAAATTACCTAAATCAGGAATTAAAAGAGGTTACCACTACAGATTCTACAGACATGAAAATAACAATAAATAAATGCTACAAGCAACTTTATGACAATAAATTCAACAATTTAGATAACTTGTACCATTTCTTTGAAAGGTACAAAATATAAAAACTGACACAAAAATAAATGGAAAATATGAAATGCCTTATGTTTAATAAATGAATTATATTTGTAAGAAAAAAACCTTCCCACAAATTATAATATGACCAGGTGGGCTTTATCTTAGAAATAGAAGGGTTTTAACATGCAGAAATCAATCAATATAATACACTATATTAACAGAATTAAGGAGAGAATCTACATGATCATTTTAATAGATGCATTTCACAAAACTCAACAAACACCCATTCATAATTAAAACTCTCATCATTTTAGAAACTGATAAATGACATTGTATAACATGGTTATTACAGTTAATGTATTGTATACTTGAAAACAGCCATGAAGGCAGCTCTTATATGTTATCACTGCAAAAAAAAAAAAAAAACCATAAAACTATTGTTATAAATCTGTTTAATACAGTTGTTGCCTTGGCATCCATTTTAGGCCTGACGTAAGTTATCTGTAATCCAGCCAACCCTATCACCTTTGGCCTAGTTAAAACTTTCCCTCCCTGTGTGGTGTTTGCCATATAGCCTACTTGTTCCTCACTAATCCAAAACCCAACACATCACATAGCTGCTGACCACAATAAAACCTAAAGGTCAATACCAGAGTCATATGAATAAGCTCCCCCTTCACATTGTTCTCTTTAAACTAGCCAGTCTACAACCCACAGGGAAATCCCAAGGGATAATCCCCACAGACCTTAATAAAGGCATAATCCCACAGGTCTCCCCTTCCCACCCACCCAGCGGTTGAATCCCCTGTTGTTTCCAGACTTCCCTTTGGCCTCACACTGGCATCCTAACCTCTCTGGTATCTGTGTGTAATAAACTTCTTTCCTTTCATGCATTTTGGCTTCACTTCCTCATTATGTCTCTCCTGACACAGCCATACTATAGTATTCTCAATATTACTGAACGTTTTGAACAAATCTTAACTATGTGAGGTGATAAATTTAATTAGCTTGATTGTGCTAATCATTTCACAATGTATACATACATCAAAACATCACACTGTACATGATAAATATAACTTTTATCTATCAATTATACCTCAATAATGCTTGGTGGGGAGAAACATACAGCCGATATCATAGTTAATAACGTCCACAGAGTTTGGGACCAAGGTAAAGATGTTGGCTTTCACCACTTCCAATAAACATTATACTAAAGGTATCAGTTATTGCAATGCGGCAAGGAAAAAAAAAGGATAAGTATCAGAAAGGAAGAAATATAAATGATCTCATTTGCAGATGACAATGCTGCTTACATAGAAAGTTCCAGGGAATCTACAAAACAATTTCTACAACTAACAGACGAATTTAGAAAGTTACTGGATATGGGGTTAATATATAAAAACCAATTGTTTTCTTATATACTAGAGGCAAAAATTTACAAAGGACACCAAAAGCAGTATGTCTCTTAATCATTCCCCGATGATTTCATCATGTACTCTAACAAAAGCCTAAATTAATCATTCAATTACCACATTTATATTAATAGTTCTAATTTGCTTTAATTTAAAATTCATCAGCAAATAATAATTTACTGGCCAGGCCCAGTGGCTCATGCCTGTAGTCCCAGCTGCTCAGGAAGCTGAGGTGGGAGAATCACTTGAGCCCAGGAGGTGGAGGCTGCAGTGAGCCAAAATTGCACCACTGCACTCCAGACTGGGCAACAAAGTGAGATCCTGCCTCAAAAAATAATAATAATAACAATTTACTGAGTAAGCACTATATTAGGCACCATAGGGGAAAAAAAACTGAACTAAATCTAATACAAGAACCCTACCAAAAAAAAAAAAAAAAAAGTTGTGGAAGATATTTAAGAAAAAAAAAAAAAAAGAACCCTACCATCTACCAACTGAAAGGCACTTTTAACAAAAATGATATAAACACTAAGTATATTTGCCTTTTAAGTTAAACATACATTACTATGAAATTCAGATAATGCTATCATTCCTTTGCTTATACATTATTTATTTTTTTATTTCTGATTTTGTTTTGTTTTGTTTTGTCTTGTATTATTTTGTGTGGTCAGGGGTTAGCAGAACCTAAATTTTTTGACTAATTTCCACTCTTTAGACCATGAATAAGCTGAAAGAAATAAGCTGAAAGAAACCATTTTTTAAGATCTGTGTAGAAAAGAATTATTTACATTGCCCTAACAGTTAATTTACCTTTCTTCACTGAAGCGACGACCGATCTTCACTTTACACTTGTCCTGGGGGAGGCATGCTGCTAGTAGAGGAACTGTACGCAACACTTTGTTTTCCTTTAATTAAAAAATGAATTGAAACATAGATTTTTACTTAGATATACACACTTTTAAATATTTTATAATGAACATCTGATTCATAACTTTATGCATAACTTTCACAAGTCTTTTACTAAAGACCACAGTTTAATAAAAAGAGGTAAAATTTCTCTGATTTATCAGTATTAACCATAACACAAGCATACATTTTTATTCTATTTGGGTATGTTTTACAGGTTTACTGATCAAAGAAGATTACATTAATATATATAATGATTAAGATTATTAAAATGTAAATTTGTGTTTAACTAAATTGAATCATTTACTCTGACAAGTTTTTCATTTCACAAGTAATTACATTTTGCACTATGCCAGCTTGAAGATAATTGCCTAGATCTTTATGCCCAAAAAAGCAAGGAAGTGCTCAGAAAACAAAACAATCGGTTCTTCCCAGCATAGCCTCTTTACTTAAATTAAAAATTTTTTTAAAAAAGAAAACAAAACAATGGGGTATGTCAAAGGGACACAGAAGCCAATCTTAAAGAGCTCCCAATGGCTAAAATTGAACAATCTGAGCAAGAAAATAAATAACACAGTACTGGGTTATAACCCAAAGTACAAATTAGAGTCCAGAATGATATAAATAAATGACTTAATAAATAAATGGGGGAGAAGAAACAAATCTTCCTTACAAAAGAATTCCAAATAATAAATGTAAATACTCCCCCCTCCTGAAGGTGGAACTTAATCTCTTCCTCCCACTTGAGTGTGGGCTGGATTTATGGCCTTGCTTCCAAAGAATATAGAGTATGGAAAGAGAACAAAAATAATAACTTTAGAGTGGAGAAATCTGGTGGCCATTTCTGAAAAAGCCATTAAGTTGACTGTCGTCAGTGGTTTCTTCAATGTCCTAGCTTCCATCACTGGAAACCATCTTTCTTGTTGCCACGAGAATTCTACCTTGAATCCCATAGAGCCAAGTGATTAGTTACTCCGCCTTAGGTGGTTTTAGGACATTTTCCAATGTTTAATACAATGTTCTTCTCTCTTTACCATCACCATGAGACTGTGACACAAACTTAATCAGTTTCTAAACCTTTATCAAAGTAATACATGTATATATGTCAAATTAAATAGTGCCATAAGATTTAAAATGCCACAGTTGTTCCCAGATGTACTCCCCAGTACCACATCCTGGAGGCAATCACTTTAACTCTTTTGGCTATTTCTTCTGGTAGTTATCTCCATATAACCATACAATATATGTTGTTTTTCTATTTCTTGATTTATCGATTTTAGATATTATCCAAAAACTACCAATTATCATCATCATAACAGCTAATATTAAGGCACACAATTCTAAGTACAATACAAAGAGAGAGAGAAATATATCTTTTGTCATATCCATTTTACTAATGAGGAAACTGAAACACAGAGATGTTAATTAACTTGCTCAAAGTTTCAGAGTTTATAGAACTATTAAGAATTTGAACTCAGGCAGTCTAGCTCCACAGCCCTTAAGTACTGCCTCTCATAACAAATGAGGATTTAGCTTTCTAATACCACTCCTTCCTCTCACATCTAATATTATTAGTTAAGTCAATAAACAGTGTTTGCATCTTCACGACTAAATACACATTGTTCACAAAGGCCAAGTCCTTTAACATAAGATTATTTTCTTGTAAAGCTTTCTGTTATTTTTGAGATAGCTTTTCTATTTTTACCCTTAGGTAATTTTACATGTATGTATACCTACTCTTTGAAATGCTCCATCATATCACCTCCATATCATCTACTCCACCAAGTCTTCTTTTCCCAAAGCCCCCTCCTAGAGCCTATCTAAATGGTTAATAACTTTTCTATGGGAGAGTCAAAAACTAGCAAATCCTTTTTTCTTTTTATTATATATATATTTTTATTATACTGTAAGTTCTAGGGTACATGTGCACAATGTGCAGATTTGTTACATATGTATACATGTGCCATGTTGGTGTGCTGCACCCATTAACTCGTCATTTACATTAGGTCTATCTCCTAATGCTATCCCTCCCCACACCCCTCACCCTACAACAGGCCCCGGTGTGTGATGTTCCCCTTCCTGTGTCCAAGTGTTCTCATTGTTCAATTCCCACCTATGAGTGAGAACATGCAGTGTTTGGTTTTCTTGTCCTTGTGATATAGTTTGCTAAGAATGATGGTTTCCAGCTTCATCCATGTCCTACAAAGGACATGAACTCATCATTTTTTATGGCTGCATAGTATTCCATGGTGTATATGTGCCACATTTTCTTAATCCAGTCTATCATTGTTGGACATTTAGGTTGGTTCCAAGTCTTTGCTATTGTGAGTAGTGCTGCAATAAACATACGTGTGCATGTGTCTTTATAGCAGCATGATTTATATTCCTTTGGGTATACACCCAGTAATGGGATGGCTGGGTCAAATGGTATTTCTAGTTCTAGATCCCTGAGGAATCGCCACACAGACTTCCACAATGGTTGAACTAGTTTACAGTCCCATCAACAGTGTAAAAGTGTTCCTATTTCTCCACATCCTCTCCAGCACCTGTTGTTTCCTGACTTTTTAATGATCGCCATTCTAACTGGTGTGAGATGATATCTCATTGTGGTTTTGATTTGCATTTCTCTGATGGCCAGTGATGAAGAGCATTTTTTCATGTGTCTGTTGGCTGCATAAATGTCTTCTTTTGAGAAGTGTCTGTTCATATCCTTTGTCCACTTTTTGATGGGGTTCTTTGTTTTTTTCTTGTAAATTTGTTTGAGTTCTTTGTAGATTCTGGATATTAGCCCTTTTTCAGATGAGTAGATTGCAAAAATTTTCTCTCATTCTGTAGGCTAGCAAATCCTTTTATTGGAAATGGTGTGCTGAAGTTAAGCACAGGCAGCCCAGTATTAATAAGTTAGATGAAAACTGGAAAATTCCTTTGCTAAGAATGGCTGGACACAGTGGTTCACGCCTATAGTCCCAGCTCTTAGGGAGGCAGAGGTTGGAGGATAACTTGAGCCATGGGTTTGAGACCTGCCTGGGCAATATAGCGAGACCCCGTTCTTAAAAACAGAAAATAATAATAATAGAAAATTCCTTTGCTGAGAAGGAAAAACTGTATGGATGCATTTCTACATGCATAAAACACATCTGTAGCACACACAGTGATGAATGAATCATCTAAACCATGGATTAATAATGGTCAAAAATAAATTAAAAATAAGGTATTTGAAAACATTAAAAAAAAAAGGCCAAGCATGATGGCTCACGCCCGTAATCCTAGCACTGTGGGAGGCTGAGGCAGGAGGATCACTCGAGGCCAGGAATTCAAGACCAGCCTGGGCAACATAGTGAGACCCTATCTCTACAAAAAATAGAAAGAAAACATTAATATTGCCACAAATCAATGAAAACACCCACACTAAAAAAGCTATCTTATATCTGGAACCACACAATAATGAAAAGGCACCATACTGTGTATACTGCAAAATGAACACAGTATTTGCCATCAAATGTCAAGTGGTGTGGGTTGTTTTTTTTTTAAGATAGGGTCTTGCTGTACAGCCCAAGCTAGAGTGCAATGTCACAATCATAGCTCATTGCAGCCTAAAACTCCTGTACAGAAGGGATCCTCCCACCTCAGCCTCCCAAGTAGCTAGGCCTATAGGCATACACCACCACACTTGGCTAATTTTTTTATTTGTTTATAGAGATGGGGTCTCGCTATGTTGCCCAGGCTGGTCTCAAACTTGTGGGCTCAAGTTATCCTCCTTCTTCAGCCTCCCAAAGTGCTGGAATTATAAGCATAAGCCACCGCTCCCAGCCTCAAAAGTCAGGTTTTAACCAAAATTGCTGTGGCCGGCAAGCTATCAGTTTACATAAATTTGAGCTGTACAATGTTTTAAGTTTAATTGAAGTAAAATACTGCTAGTGACCAAATTGTCATAATCCTGACAAAAGCATGATGCTGCTAAGACTGAGAAAAAGGTTAGGCCAGGTGCGGTGGCTCACGCCTGTAATCCCAGCACTTTGGGAGACTGAGGCAGGTGGATCATGAGATCAGGAGATCGAGACCATCCTGGCTAACACGGTGAAACCCCGTCTCTACTAAAAATACAAAAAGTTAGCCGGGCGTTGTGGTGGGCGCCTGTAGTCCCAGCTACTCGGGAGGCCGAGGCAGGAGAATGGCATGAACCTGGAAGGTGGAGCTTGCAGTGAGCTGAGATCGCGCCACTGCACTCCTGCTTGGGCAACAGAGCAAGACTCCGTCTCAAAAAAAAAAAAAAAAGGCTGAGAAAAAGGTTGTCCACCAAATGGAGTAGTTAACAATTTGCAATAAAAGAAAAAATGTTTCAAGGCTGAGGCATGAGAATTGTTTGTACCCGGGAGGCAGAGATTGCAGTGAGCTGAGATTGTACCACTGTACTCCAGCCTGGGTGACAGAGGGAGACTCTGTCTCAAAAAATAAATAAATAAGTGTTTCATCATTTGAAAGAAAGAAAAGATTAATTTCTTTTATACCTCTGTTAAAGTCTTCAAGTGATCCAGACTTGAGAAATTTAAAAAATAATTATTCCTTCTTAGAAAGCTTGACTGCGTCTATGATGTCCTCAGTTCCTAAATACTGAAAGAGTTTTAACTGCATTTTACAGCAAATAATTTCATAGTATGCATTGAGTAGCTTTGTATTAATTATAACTTCCTCCCCTCTTCATTATGCAGCTAATCAAGAGTTACAAACACATATACACACTGGCACATATGTATTTTACCTGCACAAGAAAGTATTAATTTTAAAATCTTTACATATAACATGCATTATAAAATATACATGTTTCTTCTATTCATCTAAAATAAACCAAAAATTTATTTATACATTCACTTTGTAAGAGTAAAATGCCAAAGTTACTTCTACTGGAGCAAGAAAAGACATCAAGCATCAAGAAACATAAGCTATGACCAAAATTTAAAAAGCAATGATTTTCTTAGCTCTTTATTCACAAAACCTCATTTTTTCTTCATACAAAATTGTTGGGAGTTTTAAATTTCTATACTATTCAATAACATAGATTTTGTGAAATGGTATCTCTCTCTAGAGCATAAGACTCTATACTATCAGTTGAAATTAAAAAGAAACTATTTTTTCCAAAAGAGAAAGCATTTATCACCAACTTCTTTTCAGAAATGCTAAAGAGCTGGTAAGGATAAGTATGTTTATCTTCGTGTTTCCTCTTGTGGACTCATATTCTATTTGAAATCCTGTATTTTACAAAATCTTACCTCTGCTGGATGCTGAATTATGTACAAGTGGGTAGAGATATGCAGAGGGTGCGCTGGGAGAAATGGACACAAACACACTTTCTGAGGCCGGCTAAAGGGTAAAAAGAAAAATAAAACTGGTAAATTTTAAAAATACAATGATATAACAATTTTTTAAATGACCTTAATCCCACTGCATTTATACAAAGAGGTTTGCTAAAGCTACATTCTTTTCAAAATGAAATACCAAGAATGAATTTAATCAATCAGACTTTAGACATGAGAATTTGGAGAAATTCAAGTAAATTCTTTACCACTTATATAGATTAAGTACCTCAAAACAAAAATCTTACCTTAGTTATATTTAGAGAAAGAATACCTATAAGTCATCTGGTCCCTTTATTCAAAACATGACACTTCTGATTTGCATTCCAAATCAAAAAGAGATCTCATATCAAAGAGAAACCTGGCAACTCTTCTGTGTCACTTTAAGTTGAGTAAACAATAAGATGATAAAATACTAGAATATAATTACCAACTAGAGAAAAACACTAATCAAACTTAGCCATCAATCAATACAGAGAACTTACCAATTGTGAGAAGAAACTCAAATAGACGCCACCAAATTATATTTGGCTAGAATTATACTAGAAGAGTATTTGCCTTTTCCATTTAACTTACCTTTTCTTACTGCTTGTCATTTTTATTTTACTTACATTTTAGTGCTTTACTACTGTTTAGGTAACTCTTACACACAATATAAAGTTCAATTAGAATTAAAGGCTATACCTCCTATCTCTGTCCTCCAGCCTACAGTATTCTCTTCCTTTAGGGGCAACCAATGACTGGTTTTTTATGTCCTTCCAAAGGTAATGTATGAATAAACATTTGTATTTTACCATTAAATACTATATTTGGTATATGCATTTATAATATGAAATTCATGACTAGGCACGGTGGCTCATGCCTGTAATCCCAGCACTTTGGGAGGCTGAGGTGGGCAGATCACCTGAGGTCAAGAGTTCAAGACCAGCCTGGCCAATGTGGTGAAACCCCAACTCTAATAAAAATGCAAAAATTAGCTGGGAGTGGTGGTGGGTGCCTATAATCCCAGCAACTCGGGAAGTTGAGGTAGGAGAGTTGCTTGAACCCAGGAGATGGAGGTTGCAGTGAGCCAGGATTGTGCCACTGCACTCCAGCCTGGGCGACAGAGCGAGACTCCAACTCAAAAAAAAAAAAAGAAAGAAAGAAAGAAAGAAAGAAAGAAAGAAAGAAATTCATTAAGTGGCCAGATCCCAGATATGGGAGTAAATTTTTCACAAACGATCACAGGCAGATGTTATATGCCATTACAATAGTATACAAATAAATGTTATATTAAAGGGAATTTCCAATACCATACATACAAGCTGATCACTGTTAACTCTTTCCTCAATTTTACTTATTGTGGAATTTTAGACTGAGATTAAGAAATGCTTATTAATAAACCATACAGTGTGGGTAAATTGGCTCAAACATCTGTTAAACACACCCTCTCATTCTGCAAGAAACTGCCAAATCTATGCTCTGGATGAAGAAATTATCTAGATATCTTAGGCAGAAGTAAAATCATATTATACATGACTCCACCTCCTCTTTCCAACCCCACTGAACCTGGAATGTAAGTTTAACCCAAGGAAAATCAATACACCTGATTTCCAGTGACTTCTGAGATGATTTCCAATGATTGTTCTGCCCCACACTGGATTTCCTCTCAGGAATATGAGGAGATTTTTGAGATGGAAAGTCTTTCTGTGGTCACAGGAGTAAACACAAAAGAGGGACAGACACCAACTGATGAAACAGGGTGCAATGACAAACAGATCGAGGACTGCTATAAGAAAGGATTCCTCACTCAGTAGAAACAGGAACAGGATGAGGTACATTCAAATTCTAAAAAACAAGATTCTGATTTTTTCTATTAAGTTAATCAAAACCAAAAACTAAAATGATTCAAAGAATAAATACATCATAGGACAGAAGAACCAAGTAAAAACATGTTTCTCCAACATAACCAGGCAAATTTAAATAAAGTATCTCTATGCTAATAGTATTTCAATGTGGCGGGTGGGGTAGAGTTTGACTTTGAATTTTTTTTAATAAATCTATTCAAATTTTGACTGAAGAAAAGCTGTAAGTCTACAAACATTAGCTTTAATCTTTAAAAACAAACAAACAAAAAAAAACAGAATCTCACTCTGTCACCCAGGCTGGAGTGCAGTGGCACAACCTCAGCTCACTGCAACCTCTGCCTCCCGGATTCAATCGATTCTCGTGTCTCACCCTCCTGAATAGCTGAGATTACAGGCACACATCACCATGTCCAGCTAATTTTTTATATTTTCAGTAGAGAGAGGTTTTCACCACTATGGCCAAGCTGGTCTCGAACTCCTGACCTCAAGTGATCCGCCCACCTCAGCCTCAAAAAGTACTGGTGAAACAGAAAATTTTCCTTGACCCCTTCCTGAGCATCATGACAGGAGTGCCTGCCTCACTTACTCAGCCCACAGCTCTCAACGCCTGGTGGGACGGGGAGCAGCAGGTGAGCAAGTGCAGGAGCCAGAGCTAGCACTGTTGGGTGCCGGCAGGTGCAAAACTCCATGGGGCCCCCCGGCAGTGTCTAGGTGAGTACTCGTGACCCCTGAAGCCCCAGAGGGCATGTGATACAGTGCTCTTTTAGCTTTGCTGCCCACACTGGTGGCACCCAAGCTCTTGTTCGGCGTCCAGTAAAAATCAGGTCACAGGAATGAATTGAAGGGTGGTAAATATGGAGGATTTTATTGCCGATGAAAGTGGCTCTAAGCGGGAAGGAGAGCTGGAAGAGGGATGGAGCAGGAAGGTGATCTTCCCCTGGATTCCGACTGTCCCGAGCTGGACTCTCCGAAGCAACAGCATCAAGCCATCCCTCTAATGTCAAGCTGCTTTTCCCCAACGTCAAACTGCAGTCCCTACCATACAGCTGCCTTTCCTCCTCTCCCCTTCTCTTCTCTCTGCCAGTACAGTCAGGGGTTTTTATGGGTACAGGATGGGGGTGGAACGGGCCATGTGTGGTTTTGGAAAAGACAGCATTCGAGCGGGAAAACAGGAATGCATGTTCTCACTTTGGGGCATAGTTCCAGGCTTGAGGGTGGGGCTTTGCCAGGGACCTTGCCCTTTTCTGCCTAGAATTTCTCTGCCTCCTGTTCCTATCACTGGGATTACAGGCATGAGCCACCATACTCAACCAATTTTAACCTTTTACAGATAAAAGTCCTAACTTTTATCTGTAAAACTTAGTTAAAAAGGGCAGTTCAAATAAGTTGATTTTGTGATACTATTGAGGAACTTCAGTTATATTGTGGTTTTGTATAGTTCTAAAAATCCCCAAAATGAATTGAAGTTAGACTCACTTTAATAACAAATGTTGCATAACACATTTGATGAATGATAATATATATTATAAAAACATATTGTAATAGGTAGTTCATCTACTAAAGGTTAGAAATCAACCTTTTAGGTAAAATGTTATTGGGGCAACATAGAGTGTTGACAGATGTGGAAGATACTATAGCATAGCCTGCCTTAGCTGGTGAGTGGCGATTAAGCCTGGTGGAACTGCCATTAATAAACCAACTGTGGGCCAGGCACGGTGGCTCACGCCTGTAATCCCAGCACTTTGGGAGGCCGAGGCGGGCGGATCACAAGGTCAGGAGTTAGGGACCTTCCTGGCTAACACGGTGAAACCCCGTCTCTACTAAAAATACAAAAAAAAAAAATTAGCCGGGCATGATGGCAGGTGCCTGTAGTCCCAGCTACTTGGGAGGCTGAGGCCAGGGAATGGCATGAACCCGGGAGGCGGAGCTTGCAGTGAGCCGAGATCATGCCACTGCACTCCAGCCTGGGCGACAAAGCAAGACTCCATCTCAAAAAAACAAAAACAAAAACAAACTGTGATCAGGGTGGGGAACAGGAAAAAATGAAATATGGGGAAATGGAGTGAATGCCAGGTGGATCAGAGAGACACGGTCATGGGGGTCAGGTGTGGTATCAGGAATAATGTGGGGGCCAGCCTAAAACAGTAAGGTCAAGTTGTTTGGACAGAAAGGCTACAGGGCACGGTCCCGGCTCTCGTGTAAGAATTCTGACCGCACAGCCCTGCACTTCGGCTGTGTGTAATGAAAAGGGTTGGGATTAGTTAGGGAGAGCTAGTGTGGAAGCAGCTTCTAGGGCTGTTTTTAAGGAAAGGAAAGAGGAGTGGGGAAAGGATTTAGGATCTATGAGGTCAGCTAAGTTTCTTTTTGTGAGTTTATATAACGGTTTAGTCAGGATGGCAAAACCAGGTATCCAAAGGTGAAAGTACCTAACCATGCTAGGAAGGAAAGGAGTTGTTGCTTTGTAGAAGGGGTTAGGGTTTGGGAGATTAGCCAGACACGATCAGCAGGGAGAGAACGTGTGTTTTTATTAAGAATTATGCCGAGATAGGTAACAGATGAGGAAGAAATTTGGGCTTTGAAGGAGGATACGCGATATTCTTTTGAGAACAGATGTTGGAGGAGCAGAAGGGTGTCCTTTTGGGAAGATTTGTAGGAGGGGCTATAAAGTAGAAGGTTGTCAAAATATTGAATAAAGTGAGAAGCAGATGGATGGAAAGAAAGTAAATCATGAGAAACGGCTTGACTGAAGTAATGGGGGCTGTTCCTGAAGCCTTGTGGCAGTATAGCCTAGGTAAGTTGCTGAGACTGATGGGTGTCAGGGTCAGTCCAAGTGAAAGCAAAGAGAGGCTGGGATGAAGGGTGCAAAGGAATAGTAAAGGAAGCATGCTTGAGATCCAGAACAGAAAAATGGGTTGTGGAGGGAGGTATTGAGGACAAGAGTGTACGGGTTGGGCACTACAGGGTGGACAGGCAAAACAATTTGGTTGATAAGGCATAGATCCTGAACCAACCTGTAAGACTTGTCTGGTTTTTGGATGGGTAAAATGGGAGAATTGTAAGGAGAGTTTATATGCTTTAGAAGCCCATGCTGTAGCAAGTGAGTGATAACAGGCTTTAACCTTTTAAAGCATGCGGTGGGATGGGATATTGGCATTGAGTGGGGTAAGGGTGATTAGGTTTTAATGGGATGTTAAGGGGTGCATGATCATTCGCCAAGGTAGGAATAGAGGTGTCTCATACTTGTGGATTAAGATGGGGAGACACAAGGGGAGGATGTGAAGGAGGCTTTGAACTGGGGAAAAGGGCGGCAATGAGTTGTGGCTGTAGCCTAGGAATAGTCAGGAAAGCAGATAAGTTAGTTAAAATGCCTAGACCTAATAAGGGAACTGGGCACGTGGGGATAACTAAAAAGGAGTGCACAAAAGAATATTGTCTAAGCGGCCGGGCGCGATGGCTCACGCCTGTAATCCCAGCACTTTGGGAGGCCAAGGCGGGCAGATCACGAGGTCAGGAGATCGAGACCATCCTGGCTAACATGGTGAAACCCCGTCACTATTAAAAATACAAAAAATTAGCTGGGCATGGTGGCGGACGCCTGTCATCCCAGCTATTCAGGAGGTTGAGGTGGGAGAATGGTGTGAACCCAGGAGACGGAGCTTGTATTATTGAGCCGAGATCACGCCACTGCACTCCAGCCTCGGTGACAGAGTGAGACTCCATCTCCAAAAAAAAAAAAAAAAAAAAAAAAGAATATTGTCTAAGTTGGCACCAGAGTTGGGGAGTTTTAAGAGGTTTAGAAGCCTGGCCATCAATACCTACAACAGTTATGGAGGCAAGGGAAACGGTCCTTGAAAAGAAGGTAATGTGGAGTGGGTAGTCTCTGTATTGATTAAGAAGGGGACGGCCTTACCCTCCACTGTAAGAGTTACCTCAAGCGCCTGTGATGGTCCAGGAGGCTTTTGAGGCAATCAGGCAGTGTCAGTCTTCAGCTGCTAAGCCGAGAAGATCGGGGAAGGAGTCAGAGAGCCTTGGGCCAGAATTCCAGGGGCTCTGGGAGTGGCTGCCGGGCAAGTTGGACAGTTCGATTTCCAGTGGGGTCCCGCACAGATGGGACATGACTAAGGAGGAATCCCGGGCTGCAGGCATTCCTTGGCCCAGTGGCCAGATTTCCAGCACTTGAAGCAAGATCCTGGGGGAGGAGGTCCTGAAGGAATGCCTGACCACTGTGGCTTAGGCGTTTTGAAGTTCTTCTGTGCTGAAGATGTGGCTGGGGTTTCTCTCACAGCAGAGGCAAGTAATTGCAACTCAGAAATACATTGCTGCTTGGCTGCCTCTTTTTAATTATTGTACACCTTGAAGGCAAGGTTAATTAAATCCTGTTGTGGGGTTTGAGGGCTGGAATTTAAGTTTTGGAGCTTTTTTTAAACGTCAGGAGCAGATTGGGTAATAAAATGCATATTGAGAATAAGACGGCCTTCTGGCCTTTCTGGGTCTAGGAAGGTAAAGTCTCTAAGGGTTGTTGCCAAACAAGCCACGGACTGGGCTGGGTTTTCATATTTGATGAAAAAAAGCCTAAACACTAACTGATTTGGGAGAGGCTGGATAAAGAAAAAGGAGCAATAACCTTGACCATGCCTTTAGCTCCAGACACCTCTTTAAGAGGAAATTGTTGGGCAGGTGGGGAAGGGCTAGTCACAGAAGGAAACTGTAAGCCGGACTGGGTGTGAGGAGAGGAGGTGATAGAAGGATTATAGGGTGGAGGAGCAGAAGCCGAGGAAGAAGTGGGACCTGGCTCGGCCTGGCAAGGGGCAGCCTGGGGAGGAAGAGAGAGGTCATATAGGTCTGTAGAAAAGGAGGATTCAAAGGACTCAGAGCTTGGGGTGGAGACTGAAGGAACAGACAGGAGAGAAAGAAGAAAGATTTGGGACGAGTTGCATTGGGAGCAGAGATTAGAAAGGGACTGATGTGAAAAAGAATGCCTAGACGTCAGGCACCTCAGACCATTTGCCCATTTTACGAGAAGAATTATCTAGATCTTGTAGGATGGAGAAATCAAAAGTGACATTTTCTGGCTATTTGGAAACACTGTCAAGTTTGTATTGGGGTCAAGCGGTGTTGCAGAAGAAAATAAGGCATTTAGGTTTTAGGTCAGGTGTGAGTTGAAGAGGTTTTAAGTTTTTGAGAACACAGGCTAAGGGAGAAGAAGGAGGAATGGAGGGTGGAAGGTTGCCCATAGTGAAGGAAGCAAGCCCAGAGAAAAGAGAGGGTAGAGACATGGAGAGAAGGGGTGGGAGGGTACTTGCCCCGCCTCGGGGAGGTAGTGCTTGCCACCAAGGTGAAGGATCAAGGCAGGCGTCCCCATGGTGATCAGACACCTCTGAAATGTGGCTGAATAATCAGGCAGGTGTCCCCGCGTGATTAAACACAAAGGAAAGACTGTCTTCCCAAGTCTGTGACTGGCACCGGAGTTTTAGGTTCACGGATAAAACGCGTCTCCTCTGTCTCTACCAGAAAAAGAAAGGAACTGAAATTAAGGGAAGGGAGAGATTGAAAGGTGGCGCAGAAATTGAAAGGAGAAAGGGGTTGAGGGATAGTGAGAGGACAGAGAAGACAGTAAAAAGACGCCGCTTACCCAATTTAAAATTGGTGAGATGTTCCTTGGGCTGGTTGGTCTGAGGACCAGAGGTCGTAGATGGATCTTTCTCACGGAGCAAAGAGCAGGAGGACAGGGGATTGATCTCCCAAGGGAGGTCCCCCAATCCGAGTCACGGCACCAAATGTTTCGACACCAAATGTCACGCGCGTCCGTGTGAAGAGACCACCAAAGAGGCTTTGTGTGAGCAATAAAGCTTTTTAATCACCTGGGTGCAGGCAGGCTGAGTCCAAAAAGAGTCAGCAAAGGGACATAGGGGTGGGGCCATTTTATAGGAGTTGGGTAGGTAGTGGAAAATTACAGTCAAAGGGGTTGTTCTCCGGCAAGCAGGGGCGGGGGTCATGAGGTGCTCAGTGGGGGAGCGTCTGAGCCGGGAGAAGGAATTTCACAAGGTAATGTCATCAGTTAGGGCAGGAATTGGCCATTTTCACTTCTTTTGTGATTCTTCACTTGCTTCATGCCATCTGGATGTAAACATGCAGGCTTGGGCTCAAAGGCCTGACAGGAACCTTTAAGAACATTTAGAAACTCTACTCCAAAAGTCTATTTAAAAGTTGGTTGTCTGGAAGTGGTTAGATTCTCAGCCCACAACAGCAGTCTTTAACCCATAAATCTGCAATATTTACAATATTATTTTAAGTACAGTATCCAACCAGGACCACATTGCTTATGCTCCAAGACAACGCCTCTCATCTTGTTTGCACGTCTCTGTTACTCCCAGGGCTGAATTCACTTTCTTTTATTTTAGTCGTATGTATTTCCTTTAGATTCCTATTAATACTTCCATTTAAACACTTGACCACATCATATGACAAAATTTTGTTTTCACATCTTCCTCTCACTTCTAGATGATGAACCCTCTAAGAGCAGAGTTTTCATTTAATTTTTGTATCCCCTAGTACAGTGATTCCCAAACTTTTGCTGTTATCAGAATCACCTAGAGGACTCATTAAACTAGACAGCTGAGCCCCAGCCCTCAGAGCTTCTGATTCAGTAAGCCTGAGAATGTGCATTTCTAACAAATTCCTAGGTGGTGATGATGCTGCTAGTGAGTAAGGAGTGAGGGGGTGAAGAATGTAAAGACCACAGTTTGATGTGCAAGGCTCTAGAGGTGTCCACACCAGTGGGTTTTATTTTTCAAGTGACTTGAATTCATTCGTATCTACATCCTGCCCACTTACCCATTCCTGTCTACATCTGAAGGTTGGCAAAGCTTGATGAACTTTTGTGAGAAGTAGTAATCAAAGAATAATAAACAACAAAGCTATGGACAAAATGGCTTACCCAAAACCCTTCCCCCTGCATGAAAATTTGACCTTCCCTTAACTAACGAGCTCTGTTACCCTGGCAACATGATAACTATATTGCTAAGCAACACTGTATGTGATTTAAATGACAACTGACTGGTAGATTGCATATGGACTAGAGACCTATAAAGACCCTATGGGGACACCATACTTTGGACTTCCCTAAATTGGAACCCTAGAAACTTGCTAGAGAGTTGTTACAAAAGATGTTGGCTCCTGAGAGCATAAAGTTATTAGGCTACCTTATCTGCCTAGTGTGGAACATATCACCTTCCACCTGAGCTGGACTGCTATGCCAGACTGCCACAAGGATGCCAGCAGAAAAGGGTCATCTAAGGTTGCTCTACAATGCCACAAATGCAAATTTGTGGCTCCTGGCCTATATCTTTCTGGTATTAGGTGTGGCCTAAAGTAGTCTTATGCACCTGAGTGTCTAGCAACTGGTGCTCTGCCTGGTATCTTATCCCAGATATCTGCAGAGCTTAAAGATTCACTTAGACCAGGTCTTTGCTCCAATGCCCCATTCTAAAATAATCCAAGGCAAGGCATGGTGGCTCATGCCTGTAATCTCAGAATTTTGGGAAGCTGAGGAGAAAGGATCACTTGAGCACAGGAATTCGAGATCAGCCTAGGAAACATAGCAAGACCTCATCTCTACTAAAAATTTAAAAATTAGCCAGACACGGTGGTGCACAGCTGTAGTCCCAGCTACTTGGGAGGCTGAAACAGGAAGACTGCTCATACCCAGGTGTTTGAGGATGCAGTGAGCTATGATCACACCACTGTACTCCAGCCTGGGCAACAGAGAGAGAAAAACCCTAGCAATGAATCAATCAATCAATCAAATCATCCACCTTTTCTCTCACTATCACTCTCTATCCCCTTATTCTGACTGATTTTTCTTCACAGCATTTTACTACTATTTGACATTATGTTAGCTGAATGTGGGTTTCCTTCTCTAAAATGTAAGCTACAGGGAGGCAAGGACTTAGCCTACCTTTTTCACTGCTATATCCCCAGCACCTGGCATAGTAGGTGCTCAATAGATATTGCTGAATACATAAAGGATTTTTTTCTTTTTTTGAGACAGGTGTCACTCTGTCACCCAGGCTGGAGTGCAGTGGCATGATCTCAGTTCACTGCAACCTCCGCCTCCCAATTCAAGCAATTCTCATGCCTCAGCCTCGTGAGTAGCTGAGGTTACAGGTGTGCACCACCACATCTGGCTAATTTTTGTATTTGAATAATTAATGTTATTTTTGGATTTTTTTTTGTAGAGGTGAAGTTTCTCAAATTCCTGGCCTCAAGTGATCCACCTGCTTCGGCCTCCCAAAGTGCTGAAGTTACAGGCGTGAGCCACCGTGCCCAGCCTGAAGGAATATCTTTACATTCCGTCTTCTCTAAACCTTTGAATGCTTTTCTCCTCCTATACAATTTTCTATCCCATTCGTTAATTTTTTTTTATATATCAAAGTTTAATTTCTCCTTTATGCCCTCTCTGGTACTTAAGTAATTCATTTGTATTACAAATGAAATTCAGAGTGTCAGGTCTTCCTTTATTATATTTTGTGATCATTTTGATAAGTGATCGCACATAAAAGACAAAAATATTTACTGAAGAAAACAGTTACTAAAAAAATAGCTAAACAATTTATGTGTAAACACTATAAGCGTGATTTAACCTAAAACTAATTGCTTTAACTCATGATTTTATATGCTCACAAAACATTTTCTATTTACTTTAAAGCATATTCTCTTTATTAACCTAATTTTACTTATAATTACTTCAAACTAATAAAACTGTAGCTCTTTAAAACATCTCAACTAGCTTTATATTTAGCAAGTTACTTTATAGGACGCATTTCTGCTTTATTACCTTACTATCAATCTTTCCTCCCCGACAATGCTCTGCATGCATGGTAATGGTGATTAGCTGACCAACTGTTAAACCATCTCTTCCTAAACTAGTGGGTAAGTGCAGAGTAACTGCTCTCCTCATTCTAAAATCTCTCTAGAAGGTTTAAATATTTAAATTAATAATGGATTGAATAATTTATAAATTCAACAAATTTTTATTCAAATATTTACTGCATACCTAAGTGCCAGATATTAGGCACTTGGGACAATAAAAAGAACAAAGATTCCTACCCTCATGGAGCTTATTTGTTCTCACTGTGCCAGAAATAATTTTTTAAAAGTTCCTTGCTTCTCCAGGCACATAGCAGGGTGCAGCTACTCAGGAGGCTAAGGCAGGAGGATCACTTGAGCCCACTTTGAGGCTGTAGTAGTACAACCAGTGAATAGCCACTATGCTCCAGCCTGGACAACACAGCAAGACCCCTATCTCTTAAAAAAAAAAAAAAGTTCCTTGCTTCCTATGAACTATTATACTTGACAGGCAAAAAATATCACATAACTATATATCAAAACTGATTATTTGTAAATAATGAATATTCATTTTTTTTTAATCAAGCTACTTCTAGAATTTATATAGATATGAGAAATAAAAACTAACATCTAAAGAAATATACACTGGTCAACTGGGTATAGGTTTGGGGAATAACTATTATAATGTCACTACCAATGTTATTGTCTTGCTATGTGACCTTGGGCATGTCACAGATTTTCAATTTCCTTCCGAACAAAACTGGTAACAATAAGGCAACAAGAGAGTTCTGGGGAATAACTACTGCATTACAGGCAAACATTCTGGCTATTATTTTGAGCTAATTTATAACAGACTGACCAAAATAGGTGCTGAGATTTTTCCCTTTTCTATATTTATAATGTATTTACAATGTATTTTTCCGCTCATCGGGGTTTATCTTCTTTAAAACCTATACAACCCAATTAATGTAATTACATTCTTAAAATATAAATGAAACCTTCAAATCATTTCCCCAAGGAAATTCTGTGAAATAAGCTTTTTCTTCTTTTCTCATTAAGGATGTAGAAATAAATACATGGGCTTCCTGTCAGACTAAGACTGACTTGCTTCCTAAACAAATGCTGTAATACAAAGGTAATGTGTATCACTCTGGGCATACTATCTCTGACAGCCTGTGGGCTAATAAAATTATATCTGACATATGACTAGAGATGCTAGGACCTACAAAAAAATCTTTCAAAGCTTTAATTAAATTTCTTATATAATATTCACTGAAAGCTTTTTTCTCACAGTACTGATTTTAATCAAGGTGATTCAAATAAGTAAACTTTAAAGATTAGTGAACAGATTTACAAGTACTCTTTTTAAAGAGTACTAAACAAAAGCAAATGTGGAACCCAGAAAAATAGTGCACCTCAACTTTACCAATACTCAACAAAATTTTTATACTCCTAACATAGCGAAAAAGCAAAGAACAAAAAGTTTCATAGCTATTCATTCAACTAGTTGAATAGATACACTGCATTACACATAAAAATGGCAACAATTTTCCAATTTTAAAACTGGCTTTGGAAAACTAAATACCATAGTGCCCTCTGCTGTCATTTTAAAGAAACTAACGTGATCTGTAAGATAAAGTCATTGTCAGATTTCTGAAACTATATATCCAACATAACCAATAAAAGTAGAAATAGCTTTACATGATTAACATTATAATACATTTTCATCTCCAAAACAGAAGTAGATAACATCTTCCATGTCTGACTGCTTCAAGTACAAATAACAATAATATTCCCATACCCTGCAAAATTGTTTTCCTTACTAGATTCTCTTATAACTGGCTTTAGGAGTGGAGGAAGGATAGACTTAGAAAAAATATACTGTTGTGATTTTTTTTTTTCTGAGACATAGTCTTGCTCTGTCACCCAGGCTGGAGTGCAGTGGCATGATCTCGGCTCACTGCAACCTCCACATCCCGGGTACAAGCAATTCTCCTGCCTCAGCCTCCCAAGTAGCTGGGATTACAGGGGCGCGCCACCATGCCTGGCTAATTTTTGTATTTTTAGTAGAGATGGGGTTTCACCATGTTGGCAAGGTTGGTCTCGAACTCCTGACCTCGTGATCTGCCTGCCTTGGCCTCACAAAGTGCTGGGATTACAGGTGTGAGCCACCGCACCTGGCCACTGTTGTGATTTTTTAATTACAGTGTGAAGTTGTCCTATCCTAAAACGGTGATATATATAATATATATCTGTTTTAAATATATATACACATTTGTTTTTCTTTTTGCGAATTGGGCAGCCTCCCACAAAGGAATAGATTCAGAAACACTCCCAAGAATAAATGTCTTTAGATGAGAGTTTCAGAGACTTGTGCCCCAGAGGGCATGCCTAGAGCAGTGAAGAAATTATCAAGTTTATTTGAATTGTGGACTTGCATCTTACTATCCTTAACAGGGAATCTCACCCGAAATATATATTGTGCTTTGAGATAATAAATAATAATAGTGAGACTCCATTATACTATCATTACTGACCAAAACATTTTTAAAGACTTTATCTCACCAATACTTCTTCCTTTTTTGATATCTAGTTTTGTGTATGTTTTATGAGGTGCATCATATACTAATATACAATAAGTGTGTGTAATTAGAGAAAAATAAGCCTATCTATTAAAATGCACCCTAATTTTTTTAAATCAACTGCAGTATGTAATCAAAATAATTATATCACTGGCCTAGACATGTTTGTTCCTACTAGATCTATAATTAATATAAGTTTTCATGTGAAACCACAAGTTGGTTATTTGAAAGAATAAATCAGACAGACCACTGGCGGCCAGGCGCGGTGGCTCACACCTGTAGTCCCAGCACTTTGGGGGGCCAAGGTGGGCAGATCATGAGGTCAGGAGCTCGAGACCATCCTGGCTAACACAGTGAAACTCCGTCTCTACCAAAAATACAAAAACAAAATGAGCCGGGTGTGGTGGCAGGTGCCTGTAGTCCCAGCTACTCCAGAGGCTGAGGCAGGAGAATGGCGTGAATCCGGGAGGTGGAGTTTGCAGTGAGCCGGGATCACGCCACTACACTCCAGCCAGGGCAACAAAGCAAGACTCCGTCTGAAAAACAACAACAACAACAACAACAACAACAAAAGACCACTGGCTAGACTAATAAAGAAAAAAAGAAAATCCAAATAAAGAATCAGAAATGACAAATATAACATTAACACCAACCCCACAGAAAGACAAAAAAAAAAAAAAAAGACTATTATGAACACCTCCACGCACATAAACTAGAAAACCTAGAAGAAATGGAACCTACAAGCCAATATCCTTGATGAACATAAATGCAAAAATCCTCAAAAAAAATTAGCAAACCGAATCCAGCAGCACATCAAAAACAAATTCACTGCAATCTGATCAAGTAGGTTTTATCCCTAGGATACAAGAATGGTTCAATATACGCAAATCAATAAATGTGATTCATCACACAAAGAGAACAACAAAAACCACATGATCATATCAATAGATGCAGAAAAGGCTTTCAATAAAATCCAGCATCCCTTCATGTTAAAAATCCTCAACAAACTAGGCACTAAAGGAACTTACCTCAAAATAATAAGAGCCATCTATGCCAAACCCACAGCCAACATCATACTGAACGGGCAAAAACCAAAAGCATTCCCCTTGAGAACTGGAACATGACAAGTCTGCTCACTCTCACCACTCCTATTTAACATTGTATTGGAAGTCCTGGCCAGAGAAATCCGGCAAGGGAAATAAATAAAAGACGTCCAAATAGGAAGAGAGAAAGTCAAACTATCTCTGTTTGCAGACAATATTCTTTTTTACCTAGAAAACCCCATAGTCTGCCCAAAAGCTCCTAGATCTAATAAACAACTTCAGCAAAGTTTCAGGATACAAAATCAATGTAAAAAAAATCAGTAGCATTTCTATACACCAATAATGTCCAAGCTGAGCGCCAAATCAAGAACACAATCCCACTCACAATAGACACAAAAAGAATAAAAATACTTAGGAATATAGCTAACCAAGGAGGTAAAAAAATCTCTACAACGAGAATTACAAAGCACTGCTCAAAGAAATCAGAGATGACACAAACAAATAGAAAAGCATCCCAAGCTCATGGATAGGAAGAGTCAACATTGTTAAAATGACCATATTACCCAAAGCAATGTACAGATTCAATCCTATTTCTATCAAACTACCAATGACATTCTTCACAGAATTAGAAAAATAAAACTATTCTAAAATTCATATGGAACCAAAAAAGAGCCCAAATAACAATTGCAATTCTAAGCAAAAAGAACAAAGCTGGAGCAAACACATTACCAGACTTCAAACTATACTATAATGCTACAGTAACCAAAACAGCATGGTACTGGTACAAAAACAGACATACAGATTAATGGTACAGAATAGAGTAAAGCCACATACCTACAACCCTCTGATCTTCAACAAAGCTGACAAAAACAAGCAATGGAGAAAGGATTCCCTATTCAATAAATGGTGCTGGGATAAGTAGCTAGCTGTATGCAGAAGACTGAAACTAGACCTCTTCCTTACACCATATATAAAAGTCAATCAAGATGGATTAAAAACTTCAATGTAAAACCTAAAACTATAAAAATCCTGAAAGATAAACTAGAAAACACCACTATAGACTAGGCACTGGCAAAGAATTTATGATGAAGATGCTAAAAGCAACTGCAACAAAAATTAAAATTGACAAATGGGACTTAATTAAAAAGTTTCTGCAAAGCAAAAGAAACTTATCAACAGAGTAAACAGACAACTCACAAAATGGGAGAAAATATTTGCAAACTATGCATCTGACAAAGGTCTAATATTCAGAATCTACAAGAAACTTAAATCTACAAGCAAAAAAAACCCATTAAAATGTGAGCAAAAGACATAAACATTTTTCAAAATGAGACATATATACGGCAAAGAAGCATATGAAAAAATGCTCAACATCACTAATCACCAGAGAAATGCAAATCAAAATCACAATGACATACCAGCTCACACCAGTAAGAATGGCTACTATTAAAATGTCAAAAAAACAAGAGATGCTGGCAAGACTGCAGATAAAAGGGAATGCTTATATACTGCTGGTGGGAATGTAAATTAGCTCAGACACTATGGAAAGCGGTTTAGCAATTTCTCAAAGAACTTAAAACAGAATTAACATTCCATCCAGCAATCCCATTATTGGGTATATACCCAAAGGAATATAAACTCTTCTACCATAAAGACCCATGCACATGTATGTTCAATGCAGCCCTATTCACCAAAGGAAAGACATGTAATTAACCTAAATGAGCATCAGTGGTAGACTGGATAAAGAAAATGTGGTACATATATACCATGGAATAGTATGCAGCCATAAAAAAAAACAAAATCATGTCCTTTAGAGCAACATGGAGCTGGAGGCCATTATCCTAAGTGAACTAACGCAAGAACAGAAAACCAAACACTGCATATTCTCACTTATCAGTGGGAGCTAAACACTGAGTACACATGGATGCCAAGAAGGAAACAATAGACATTGAGGCCTAATTGAGGGTGGAGGGTGGGAAGAGGGTGAGGATCAAAAAATTACCTAGTAGATACTATGCTACTTACCTGGGTGACAAAATAATATGTACATAAAACCCCCATGATACACAATTTATCTATAGATCCAACCTGCACATGTACCCCCAAAACTAAAAGTTAAAAAAAAAAGTTTTAGTGAGTGTTATAATTGAGAAAGCTTAAGAGAGGCCAGATGCCTAGAGAACAAACGTCTCATGTCTAGAGAGATGAATATATACAGCAGCTAGAAAAGCCCCTACTAAAACTGTGATGACAGTTATGGATCAACTAAGACTGAGAATCTTATCATAATCATCTCACGTTCAGTTAACCTATTACTTACTTCCTTTCTTTTTATAGAAATATAAACAAATATAAAATATAGCAAACAGCTTTCTTAACAGCAAATTAATTTAATCACTCTTTCCTCTGCAAACTATTATTTTATATTTCCATAGTTTGTCTTAAATATTACTTAGACATGTTTTCTCTCATACTTAATTCACTATATGTTCTAAAGGAAACAATTTCTTAATCATTTTTGTATTATCCCAGCTGTGCATTTCCTGGGTACTAGATATTGAATAAATAATGATTGGACAAATAAAGAATGTCCACATGATTTATTCAAACTGAGCCTGCCGGTCCTCATGTAGCAGAATCCTCTGCTCCTTATTCACTGGCTGCATGAACATCCATCCTTATAAGCAGGAATCAAAGATTAAAGTAAAGATATTCTGCATAGAATATTTTGCTTATTCTCTCATCTCCTTTTCTTATCTAAAAACTGTCTATATTTTAAAACACTGATTTTTGTATACTTGCTTTATTGGGGGGGGCATACTTCCTCATTTTACATCAATGTCCATTTTCTCAAAAAAGCACAAAGACAGTTAAAAATTTTCTTTGCTACAAAGTAAAGAAAATATATTGATTTAGGTTAGTATTACATTACTACATAAGAGCATATAATAGTGCTATGAATAAGCCATTGATTTTGAGAGTTAAAAATTTTCTTTGCTGCCAGGCGCAGTGGCTCATGCCGGTAATCCCAGCACTTTGGGAGGCTGAGGCGGGAGGATCATCTGAGGTCAGGAGTTCGAGACCAGTCTCAACATGGAGAAACCCCATCTCTACTAAAAATACAAAATTAGCTGGGCATGGTGGTGCATGCCTGTAATCCCAGCTACTCAGGAGGCTGAGGCAGGAGAATTGCTTGAACCTGGGAGGCAGAGATTGTGGTGAGCCGAGATCACGCCATTGCACTCCAGCCTGGGCAACAAGAGCAAAACTCTGTCTCAAAAAAAAAGAAAATTATTTGCTATAAATTAGAGAAAATACATTAAGATTTAGGTTAGTATTACATTACTATATAAGAGAATACAATAGTGCTACAAATAAGCCACTGATTTTGATGCCTTTCCCCTAAAAAAGTGGTTTTCATCAATGCAACACCTATATACAGCTAAGAATTGAGTACAACTGAAAGTACCAGAATGACAAAATTCCCATCACGAGGCAATTTATTTATGGTGACCTGCCGCATTAACACATGAAAAATTATTAATTTGCCGATAACTTCTGAATCCAAAAAAAAATCCTAAAAGAAGCTGGATATTAGCAAAACAGACTAATTTCATAAACAGTAATGATATTTCATGGAGAAGAAAAAGGAAGTGGGATTAGGGAGTAAAAATAAAAGAGGGAATGAAAAGGAGAAGGGAGAGGAAAAGAAGGGACAGGTAAAGACAAAGAATTTAACATTTATTGCACACTTTTATGTTTTAGGCACTATGCTAAATACTTTAATTCTCACAAAACCTGTCAGCAGGAGGTAGTATTTTTAGCCTAACTTAAAGATGATGAAACTAAGGCTTAGAGAGGTTAAGTAACTTTTTCAAGAGAAAACAGAGCTGGGGCTAGAGCTTGGTTCTGTCTGATTCCAAAATGCATGCCTTTAATCAACACATTTGACTGAGTCCACATAAGCAGTTAATGTTCAATGAAAAGTCTTAACACATAGTTCTATCCAGCTGTCCTAGAACCCAGAAGACCTAGCACTAGAATTAAAACATTTAGAGATAAATAAACAAACGTGAGGGTCTAAAGAGGATCCAGAAGCAAAAGATCAAAGCCAAGATATTCATAAAATTCCTCAGTATAAAATGGCTAAAAAGTAATTAAGGATATGTGGTTAAAGATACCGTAAGAAATACGAAGAGGCTGACCCACAGGAAGCTAACAATATAGTAGAGAAAAAAGACAAAGTGAGGAGTTAGAAGAAGAAACTATTCAAACTTGGGAGATAGCTAGAAGGATAAGAAATGGTTTCATGCAAGACATGGAACTTGAGCTGGACCTTGAAATAGAGTATGATTGCAGAAAGCACAGATGAGGGAGGAGCTTTTCACAGAGACAGAATAACAGAACAAAGGCATGGAGCCAAACATTAAAAAGCACCTGTTTTGGGGGAGCAGTTCAGTGTAGCTGGAGAAAGGGGTGTATGGAGGAGGAAGAGATGAGTGGACAGGCTGAGGACTGACCTGCAGGACTTGGATGTTACACAAAAGATTCTGAACTCCCTTCTTTACCTAAAATATAAGCATTGAAGTTCTCCAGGAAAGGAATAAAATGAGCAGACAGACATGTTAAAAATATAAAGAACTTCATTAAAAGGGAATTGAACAGATGACAAAATGGAGTTTAGAAAACTACTTCAATTAGCACAGGACTGAAAAAATTCATTGCCGAGTGATGGCACAGAGAGAAGCCAGGTACTAAAGAGTAGTTTAAATACCACCTCCCCTGTAAAGTTCCAAGCAGGGGTCCCTCCCACCTCTGCACTCCTAAATCACACTATTCATGTTATATTACAATTATTGGCTTACCTGTGTTTCTTCCCTTAAAGATCCTTATGGTAACAACCAACCTTCATTCATTTTAATACCCCCAGTACCTAACTTGGTGAAAGAAGATATAAGCATTTGCAGGCCAGGTGCAGTGCTTCACACCTGTAATCCCAGTACTTTGGGAGGCCGAGGCGTGTGGACCACTTGAGGTCAGGTGTTCAAGACCAGCCTGGCCAACATGGTAAAACCTCATCTCTATTAAAAATACAAAAATTAGCCAGGCGTGGTGGCTCACGCTTGTAATTCCAGCTACTTGGGAGGCTGAGGCAGGAGAATCACTTGAACTCAGAAGGTGGAGTTGCGGTGGTTGCAGTGAGCCGAGATTGCACCACTACACTCCAACCTGAGCAACAGAGCAAGACTCCATCTCAAAAAAAAAAAAAAAAAAATTTGCAGAATGAAACATCTCAGATGTGTTTACTCATTAATGAGATATGACTTCAGGATGAGATTGGTTCCAAATTATACTTCATATAAGGCACCAAGTTGTGGTCATTTGGTGGCTGAAAGAGATGCCAGGGGAAAATTCCTCTACTTTGCCCTCTCCCTCTCCCTCTCCTTCTCCCCACGGTCTCCCTCTCCCTCTCCCTCTCCCCACAGTCTCTGTCTCCCTCTCTATCCACGGTCTCCCTCTGATGCCGAGCCGAAGCTGGACTGTACTGCCGCCATCTCTGCTCACTGCAACCTCCCTGCCTGATGCTCCTGCCTCAGCCTGCCGAATGCCTGCGATTGCAGGCGCGTGCCGCCACGCCTGACTGGTTTTCGTATTTTTTTGGTGGAGACGGGGTTTCGCTGTGTTGGCCGGGCTGGTCTCCAGCTCCTAACCACGAATGATCTGCCAGCCTCGGCCTCCCGAGGTGCCAGGACTGCAGATGGAGTCTCGTTCACTCAGTGCTCAATGTTGCCCAGGCTGGAGTGCAGTGGCGTGATCTCGGCTCGCTACAACCTCCACCTCCCAGCCGCCTGCCTTGGCCTCCCAAAGTGCCGAGATTGCAGCCTCTGCCCGGCCACCACCCCGTCTGGGAAGTGAGGAGCATCTCTGCCTGGCCGCCCATCGTCTGGGATGTGAGGAGCCCCTCTGCCCGGCTGCCCAGTCTGGGAAGTGAGGAGCGCCTCTTCCCGGCCGCCATCCCATCTACGAAGTGAGGAGCATCTCTGCCCGGCCGCCCATCGTCTGAGATGTGGGGAGCACCTCTGCCCCGCCGCCCCGTCTGGGATGTGAGGAGCACCACTGCCCGGCCGCAACCCCGTCTGGGAGGTGAGGAGCGTCTCTGCCCAGCTGCCCCGTCTGAGAAGTAAGGAGCCCCTCCGCCCGGCAGCTGCCCTGTCTGAGAAGTGAGGAGCCCCTCCGCCCAGCAGCCGCCCCATCTGGGAAGTGAGGAGCATCTCCGCCCGACAGCCGCCCCGTCCGGGAGGTGGGGGGCAGCCCCCGCCCGGCCAGCCTCCCCGTCCGGGAGGTGGGGGGCGTCTCCGCTCAGCCGCCACCCCGTCCGGGAGGTGAGGGGCGCCTCTGCCCGGCCGCCCCTTCTGGGAAGTGAGGAGCCCCTCTGCCCGGCCGCCACCCCGTCTGGGAGGTGTATCCAACAGCTCACTGAGAACGGGCCATGATGATGATGCGGTTTTGTCGAATACAAAAGGGGGAAATGTGGGGAAAAGATAGAGAAATCAGATTGTTGCTGTGTCTGTGTAGAAAGAAGTAGACATAGGAGACTCCATTTTGTTCTGTACTAAGAAAAATTCTTCTGCCTTGGGATGCTGTTGGGGTATGGTGTAAGATCTATGACCTTACCCCCAACCCGGTGCTCTCTGAAACATGTGCTGTGTCCACTCAGGGTTAAATGGATTAAGGGCGGTGCAAGATGTGCTTTGTTAAACAGATGCCTGAAGGCAGCATGCTCGTTAAGAGTCATCACCACTCCCTAATCTCAAGTGCCCAGGGATACAAACATTGCGGAAGGCCCCAGGGTCCTCTGCCTAGGAAAACCAGAAACCTTTGTTCACTTGTTTGTCTGCTGACCTTCCCTCCACTGTTGTCCTGTGACCCTGCCAAATCCCCCTCTGCGAGAAACACCCAAGAATGATCAATAAAAAAAATAAATAAAAATAAATAAATAAATAAAAGAAAAAGAAAAAAAAAAAGAGATGCCAGGAAGAAGTATCTCTTAATTCCTTGTTTTTCACTTGCCACTGGGCATTATGCACATACCACTATTTCTCTTGAGAAACTCATAAAGATATCAGCTACGGTTTGGGTGCAGTCATGCATTGCCTAGAAAAAAACCCTGCCCAGAAAAATACCTTAATACTATCAAAATCCCACAATTTCTCCTAACATCTGTATTAGTTTCCTAGATGTACAGTGGGATTTGGCCGTTTATCATTCTGGCAAATTTACAAAAGTAAACCTCAAAAAATATGATAAAATGTTCAAGTTTAAAAAAGCATTGAACAGTTATCTGGTATATGTGGGTGCGCAGTGGTTGTCATAAAGGGTTATGAGGAATTTCTGTATGTTTCATTTATTTCTGTAAAGTGTGACTTTTTCTTCTGAGTATACACCTCTTTTGTGTTCAGAAAAAATATATATTTTTAAGAAGCATTGAATATCTGTCACCTCAAAGTTACTCCAACAATCTGTGGTTTTTAGATCTTTGCAACAGAAAAGATGTTTAATATTTTCTTATGATCATACTCAGGCAAATTAGTTGATGATATGCTATAATGCCAGTCTTATATCTTTAGTACATTACATAAGGCAAAGTAAACTATAGAAGGAAAAGTTGATAGGAATGATACCTAAGTTAATTAAACTGATAAAAGTTATCACTATCAAAATCCATCTCCTAGTATGTTGCTTTCCCTAACAGTTCTCCATAATTACAAATTAAAAGTCAATCAGAGGCCAGGCACAGTGGCTCACACCTGTAATCCCAGCACTTTGAGAGGCTGAGGTGTGAGGATCACCTGAGGTCAGGAGTGCGAGAACAGCCTGACCAATGTGGTGAAACCCCGTCTCTATTAAAAATACAAAAATTAGCCAGGCACGGTGGCAGGTGCCTGTAAGTCCCAGCTACTTGGGAGGCTAAAGCAGGAGAATCTCTTGAACCTGGGAGGTAGAGGTTGCAGTGAGCCAAGATTACGCCACTGCACTCCAGCAGAGCAACAGAGGGGGACTCCATCTCAAAAAAAAAAAAAGACAATCAGTAACTCAAAAAAAAAAAAAGTCAAATAGTAACAGAAGTATGGGTTCGCAATTCCAAAACAACTGTATGTGTAGATTAGGGTTGAACAAATAATCAAACATGTTGCAGATAAAGAGAGTCAGATTTCTTACTGTCAAAGAAATAAACTACAATTAGAGAAGGGAGGAAGACTAGAATGAACTCTGTGGTATTGGATGAAACTCATGGTTTCTTTACATAAGTGTAGGTGTACATATAGATTTAGAAATAGATATAGGTATATGCATGGGTTAGTATATACACAGAAATCCTAGATCTGTCCACTAATAAGATAAACATCTCAGTAGCAATAAGCACACCAAGCACCCGGATCTTGGTTTTGAATATCATTTTACAATAAACCAGGGCTTCCTGAAAAAGTGGTTGATTCTAGGGCTGGGGCAGGGAAAATATAAGATAAGCCTGGATCATCTTACAGTGTCAGAAAGTAAGAAAGTTCTCAAAAAAGGATAAGCCTGTCAAAAGGTTCCAGGAACCAACCTGAAAGAGTTCTCAATGACCCAGGAGGGAACAATTTGAGCAATAAAAGAAATAAAAATAGTATTGGATTATAATCCAGTAATAAAATAAATATCCATAATTCCATACAGATATAAGCAAATAACTGAATAAATAAATAAATGGGGAGAAAAAGACACAGCTCTTCCATATAGAAACATTCCAATCAATAAATGTAGAAAGAATGGGGAAAATAGAGAATCACCATCAGAGCACCATAGCCATAATTGTTGCAGACAAGATGGATACTAAAATCAGTGGGCAAAAATTTGAGCAGAAACAGTATATTTGCAAAGTCTCAAAGTAAATTCCTCCCCAAGATATTTATTAACTACAAAGGGAACAGGAGTAACTGCATAGTAGAAAAACACAGCAGAGACTACATTAACCAAATGATCTATGTTAATTTCGCCAAGAATAATGCATATTGATATCATGTACCTCTGATATATTTGCTAAAAATATAGTATTTTTAGACTATTAATTTGTAGCTAGTCTTACCAAAAATGTATAACCTTGCTGTAATCATGAGAAATCATAAGTCAAACCCAACTTGAGAGACATTCTACAAAATAACTGACCAGTATTCTTCAAAAGTAACAAAATCGTGAAAAAAAAAAAAAGAAAAACCTAAGGAATCATCACAAACTAGAGAGGACTAACAAGACATGACAATTAATGCAATGTGGGATGCTGAGTTAGATACTGAACCAGAAAAAAATGAACTTGAGTGGAAAAACTGGTGAATTCTGAACATAGTTAACAGTACTGTACCAGAAGCAGCTGCAGTCAGTGGCTATCACAGAGAAGAATGAAAACGGCAAATGAAATTCTGAACCTTCAACTGAGGTATCCAGGTTCTCACACTGGGACTCACTAGGTGGATGGCTAAACCCACAGAGAGTGAGGAAAAGCAGGGTGGGGAGACGGCCCCTTCTGAAGCCAGGGAAGGCCCTACCCCAGCCAAGGGAGGCAGTGAGTGTGCGACCCCACCCAGGAAACCACGTTTTTCCCATAGATCTTTGCAACCTGCAGATCAGGAGATCCCCCCCTGAGCCCACACCACCAGGACCTTGGGTCCAAAGCATAGCGCTATGCGGAGTCTCAACAGAGTGGCTCTGGTATGCACAGAGACCCAGGAATTTTGCATACTCTGGCCCTGGGAATTCCAGCAAGGCGGGAAATCCATCCATGCCTTCCCCTAGGAAGGGGGCTGAATCCAGGGGGCCAAGCAGCATCGTTCTGCAGGCCCCACTCCCATGGCACCTCACATGTTAACACCCACTGGCTTGGAATTCCAGCTGGCCAGTGGCAGGAAGCTGGAGACTGCCTGAAATGAACCAAGTTCCTGAGGGGCTTGGGAGTGGGGGCAGCTGCCATCTCTGTGGTTCCAGCCTGCCGGCTCCTCTGGGGAGTCCAGGAGGTCTGGAACGGGAAGAGTTTTCCACAACACAGCAGACTGTGGTCAGACTGCTCCTCTAAGTGGGACCCTGCTTCATCCCTCCTCACTAGGTGGGGCTTCCCTGCAGGAATTTCAGCTACACTAGCCTGAGTTATATGAACAGATCTCTGATCACTCCCTGGGACTGAGCCACCAAGAGGGGAGGGGCGGGGGGGAAGCGGTGACTGTATTTGCAGTTCAGCCAACTTAGCCTTTCCAGCCTGCTGGCTCTGGAGAGTCCAGGCAGTCTGTACAAGGAGGATTCCCCTCAGCTCAGCACACCCACTCAGCCAAAGGGCAGCCAGACTGCTTCTTTAAGCAGGTCCCTGATCCTGTTCCCCCTGACTGGGTGAGAACTCCCAGTAGGGGCTCCAGACACCTTCTACAGGAGCATTCAGGCCAACATCTGTTCAGTGTGCCCCTGGGACAAAGCTCCGAGAAGAAAGAGGAGGCTGTCACCTTTGCTGTTTTGCAGCCTTCACCGGTAATATCTCCAGGTGTGGGAGGACCAAGGAGATTAGGGTCTGGAGTGGAACCCCAACAACCACAGCAGCCCTATGGAAGAGTGACCTGTTAAAAGAAAAACAAACGAACGGAAAACAATAACAACAACAATAACATCAACAAAGAAGATCCCACAAAAACACCATTCAAAGGTCAGCAACCTCAAAGATAGAAGGTAGATAAGCCCACAAAGATGAGGAAGAATCAATGCAAAAACGCTGAAAACTCAAAAATCCAGAGTGACTCCAGATGACTGCAACACCTCTCCAGCATGGGTACAGAACTAGGCTGAAGCTGAGATGACTGAAATGACAGAAGGAGGCTTCAGAAAATGGGTAATAAAAAGCTTCACTGAGCTAAAGGAGCATGTTCTAACCCAATGCAAAGAAGCTAAGAATCATGATAAAACAATACAGGAGTTGATAATGAGAACAGCCAGTTTAGAGAGGAACATAAATGACCTGATGGAGCTGAAAAACACAATATAAGAAATTCACAATGCAATCACAAGTATCAACAGCAAAATAGACCAAGCAGAGGAAAGAATCTCAGAGCTGTAAGACTATCTTTCTAAAACAGGACAGAAAGACAAGAATAGAGAAAAAAGAATGAGACTGAGCACAGTGGCTCACGCCTGCAATCCCATCACTTTGGGAGGCCGAGGCAGGCAGATCACCTGAGGTCAGGAGTTCGAGACCAGCCTGGCCAACATGGCAAAACCCTGTCTCTACTAAAAACACAAAAATTAGCCAAGCATGGTGGTGTGCACCTATAATTCCAGCTACTCAGGAGGCTGAGGCACAAGAATCACTTGAACCCGGGAGGTGGAGATTGCAGTGAACCAAGATTGCACCACGGCACTCCAGCCTGCTAATAAAGCGAGACTCTGTCTCAGAAAAAGAAAAAAGGAAAAAAGAAAAGACGATGAACAAAAACTCTGAGAAATACAGTATTACGGAAAAGGACCGAACCTACAACTGACTGGGGTACCTGAAAGAGACAGGAAAATTGGAAACAAGTGGGAAAACATACTTCAGGATCTCATCCAGGAGAACTTCCCCAACCTAGCAAGACAAGCCAACATTCAAATTCAGGAAATTCAGGGAACCCCAGAAAGATACTCCACGAGAAGATCTACCCCAAGACACGTAATCAACAGATTCTCCAAGGTCAAAATGAAAGAAAAAATGTTAAGGGCAGCCAGAGAGAAACGCCAGGTAACCTACAAAGAGAAGTCCATCAGACTAAAAGCAAAACCCTCAGTGGAAACCCTATTAGCCAGCAGAGATTAGGGGCCAATATTCAACATTCTTAAAAGAATTTCCAGCCCAGAATTTCATATCTGGCCAAAATAAGCTTAATAAGCAAGGGAGAAATAAGATCCTTTTCAGACAAGCAAATGCTGAGGGACTTCGTCACCACCAGGCCTGCCTTTCAAGAGCTCCTGAAGGAAGCACTAAATATGGAAAGGAAAAATCATTACCAGTCACTACATAAATCCACTGAAGTACGCAAATCAGTGACACTACAAAGCAACCACATAAACAAGTCTGCAAAATAACCAGCTAGCTTCATGATGACAGGATCAAACTCACACATAACAATATTAACCTTAAGTGTAAATGGCCTAAATGCCCTAACTAAAAGACACAGAATGGCAAGCTGGATAGAGTCAAGATCCATCTGTATGCTATCTTCAAGAGACCCATCTCACATGCAAAGACACATATAACCTCAAAATAAAGGGATAAAGGAAAATTTACCAAGCAAATGGAAAACAGAAAAATGCAGGGGTCACAATTCTAGTTTCTGACAAAACAGACTTTAAACCAACAAAGATCAAAAAAGACAAAGAAGGGCGTTATATATGGTAAAGGGTTCAGTTCAACAAGGAGAGCTAACTATCCTAAATATATATGCACCCAATACAGTAGCACCCAGATTCATAAAGCAAGTTCTTAGAGATCTACAAAGAGACTGACTCCCACACAATAATAGTGAGAGACTTTAACACCCCACTGACAATATTAGACAGATGATCAAGACAGAAAATTAACAAAGATATTCAGGACCTGAACTTAGCTCTGGATCAAGCAGACCTGATAGAGATCTACAGAACTCTCCATCCAAAAATAACAGAATATATATTTTTCTCCTAGACACATGGCACTTACTCAAAAATTGATCACATAATTGGAAATCACTCCTCAGCAAATGCAAAAGAACTGAAATGATAACAAATAGTCTCTCAGACCACAGTGCAATCAAATTAGAACTGAAGGTTAAGAAACTCACTCAAAACTACACAACTACATGGAAATTGAACAACCTGAATGACTCCTTGATAAATTACGAAATTAAGGCAGACATCAAGAAGTTCTTTAAAACTAATGAGAACAAAGAGACACTGCACCAGAATCTCTGTAACACTGCAAAACAGTGTTTAGAGGAAAATACATAGCACTAAATGCCCACATCAAAAAGCTAGTAAGATCTCAAATCAACAACCGAACATCACAACTAAAAGAACTAGAGAAACAAGACCAAACAAACTCCAAAGCTAGCAGAATACAAGAAATAACCAAGATCAGAGCATAACTGAAGGAGACAGAGATATGACAACCCCTTCAAAAAATCAACAAATCCAGGAGCTGGGTTTTTGGAGAAAAAATAACAATAAATAGACTGCTAGGTAGACTAATAAAGAAGAAAAGGTGGAAGAATCACATAGACACAATCAGAAATGATAAGGGGGATATCACCACTGACCACACAGAAATACAAACAATCATCAGAGAATACTATAAACACCTCTATGCACATAAACTAGAAAATCTAGGAGAAATGGATAAATTCCTAGACACATACACCCTGCCAAGACGAACCAGGAAGAAATTGAGTACTTGAATAGACCAACAATGAGTTCTGAAACCAAGGCAGTAATTAAATAGCCTATCAGCCCAAAAAGAAAGCCCAGGAAAGGATGAATTTACAGCTGAATTCTACCAGAGGTACAAAGACGAGCTGGTACCATTTCTACTGAAACTATTCCAAACAGTTGAAAAGAAGGAACTCCTCCCAAACTCATTTTATGAAGCCAGCATCATCCTGATACCAAAACCTGGTAGAGATACAAAAACATAAAAAATTGCCCTCCAATATCCCTGATGAACATCAACACAAAAATCCTCAATAAAATACTGGCAAACTGATTCCAGCAGCACATCAAAAAGCTTATCTGTCATGATCAAGTTGGCTTCATCCCTGGGATCCAAGGTTGGTTCAACATACGTGAATCCATAAGTGTAATTCACCGCATAAACAAAACTAAAGACAAAAACCACATGATTCTAAGGCCTTGCTTTTGAATCTGGGTGCCCCTGTATTGGGTGCATATATATTTAGGATAGTTAGCTCTTCTTGTTGCTTTGATCCCTTTGCCATTATGTAATGCCCTTCTTTGTCTTTTTTTTATCTTTGTTGGTTTACAGTCTGTTTTATCAGAAACTTACAGTCTGTTTTATCAGAAACTAGGATTGCAACCCCCTTTTTTTTTTTTTTTTTTGGCTTTCCATTTGCTTGGTAAATCTTCCTCCATTTTGAGCCTATGTGTGTCTTTGCACGTGAGATGGGTCTTCTGAATACAACACACCAATGGGTCTTGACTCTTTATCCAATTTGCCAGTCTGTGTCTTTTAATTGGGGCATTTAACCCATTTACATTGAAGGTTAACGTTGTTACGTATGAATATGATCCTGTCATTATGATGTTAGCTGGTTATTTTGCCCCTTAGTTGATGCAGTTTCTTCATAGCGTCGATGGTCTTCACAATTTGGTATGTTTTTGCAGTGGCTGGTACTTGTTTTTCCTTTCCGTATTTAGTGCTTCCTTGAGGAGCTCTTGTAAGGCAGGCCTGGTGGTGACAAAATCTCTCAGCATTTGCTTATCTGTAAAGGATTTTATTGCTCCTTCACTTATGAAGCTTAGTTTGGCTGGAGATGAAATTCTAGGTTAAAAATTCTTTTATTCCCACTGGCTGCTCTGAAAAGCCATCTTTGCATTGTTCCTCGTCCGCCTCCTTGCTCGCGGCAGCCTCCTTGCTCGCGGCAGCCTCCTTGCTCGCGGCAGCCTCCTTGCTCGCCGCAGCCGCCTCCGCCACGCGCCTCCTCCGCCGCCGCGGACTCCGGCAGCTTTATCGCCAGAGTCCCTGAACTCTCGCTTTCTTTTTAATCGCCTGCATCGGATCACCGGCGTGCCCCACCATGTCAGACGCAGCCGTAGACACCAGCTCCGAAATCACCACCAAGGACTTACAGGAGAAGAAGGAAGTTGTGGAAGAGGCAGAAAATGGAAGAGACGCCCCTGCTAACGGGAATGCTAATGAGGAAAATGGGGAGCAGGAGGCTGACAATGAGGTAGATGAAGAAGAGGAAGAAGGTGGGGAGGAAGAGGAGGAGGAAGAAGGTGATGGTGAGGAAGAGGATGGAGATGAAGATGAGGAAGCTGAGACAGCTACGGGCAAGCGGGCAGCTGAAGATGATGAGGATGACGATGTCGATACCAAGAAGCAGAAGACCGACGAGGATGACTAGACAGCAAAAAAGGAAAAGTTAAACTAAAAAAAAAGGCCGCCTTGACCTATTCACCCTCCACTTCCCGTCTCAGAATCTAAACGTGGTCACCTTCGAGTAGAGAGGCCCGCCCGCCCACCGTGGACAGTGCCACCCGCAGATGACACGCGCTCTCCACCACCCAACCCAAACCATGAGAATTTGCAACAGGGGAGGAAAAAAGAACCAAAACTTCCAAGGCCCTGCTTTTTTTCTTAAAAGTACTTTAAAAAGGAAATTTGTTTGTATTTTTTATTTACATTTTATATTTTTGTACATATTGTTAGAGTCAGCCATTTTTAATGATCTCCGATGACCAAACCAGCCTTCGGAGCGTTCTCTGTCCTACTTCTGACTTTACTTGTGGTGTGACCATGTTCATTATAATCTCAAAGGAGAAAAAAAACCTTGTAAAAAAAGCAAAAATGACAACAGAAAAACAATCTTATTCCGAGCATTCCAGTAACTTTTTTGTGTATGTACTTAGCTGTACTATAAGTAGTTGGTTTGTATGAGATGGTTAAAAAGGCCAAAGATAAAAGGTTTCTTTTTTTTCCTTTTTTGTCTATGAAGTTGCTGTTTATTTTTTTTGGCCTGTTTGATGTATGTGTGAAACAATGTTGTCCAACAATAAACAGGAATTTTATTTTGCTGAGTTGTTCTAACAAAAAAAAAAATTCTTTTATTTAAGAATGTTGAATATTGGCCCCCACTCTCTTCTGGCTTGTAGAGTTTCTGCTGAGAGATCTGCTGTTAGTCTGATAGGCTTCCCTTTGTGGGTAACCCAACCTTTCTCTCTGGCTGCCCTTAACATTTTTTCCTTCATTTCAACCTTGGTGAATCTGATGATTATGTGTCTTGGGGTTGCTCTTCTCAAGGAGTATCTTTGTGGTGTTCTCTGTATTTCCTGAATTTGAATGTTGGCCTGTCTTGCTAGGTTGGGGAAGTTCTCCTGGATAATATCCTGAAGAGTGTTTTCCAACTTGGTTCCATTCTCCCCATCACTTTCACGTACACCAATCAAACATAGGTTTGGTCTTTTCACATAGTCCCATATTTCTTGGAGGCTTTGTTCGTTCCTTTTCATTCTTTTTTCTGTAATCTTGTCTTCACGCTTTATTTCATTGAGTTTATCTTCAATTTCTGATATCCTTTCTTCCGCTTGATCGATTTGGCTACTGATACTTGTGTATGCTTCAAGAAGTTCTCATGCTGTGTATTTCAGCTCCATCAGGTAATTTATGTTATTCTCTAAACTGGTTATTCTACTTAGCAATTCGTCTAACCTTTTTTCAAGGTTCTTAGCTTCCTTACATTGGGTTAGAATATGCTCCTTTAGCTCGGAGGAATTTGATATTACCCACTTTCTGAAGCCTACTTATGTCAATACATCAAACTCATTCTCCATCCAGTTTAGTTCCCTTGGTGGTGAAGAGCTGTGATCCTTTGGAGGACAAGAGGCATTCTGGTTTTTGGGATTTTCAGCCTTTTTGTGCTGGTTTTTCCTCATCTTCATGGATTTATCTACCTTTGGTCTTTGACGCTGGTGACCTTTGGATGGGGTTTCTGTAAGAGACTTAGACTCCCACACAATAACAGTGAGAGACTTTAACACCTCACCATCAATACTGGACCGATCAATGAGACAGAAAATTAAAAAGGATATGCAGGACTTGAACTCAGCTCTGGACCAAGTAGACCTAATAGACATCTACAGAACTCTCCACCCCAAATCAACAGAATATACATTCTTCTCATCACCACATCACACTTATTCTAAAATTGACCACATAATTAGAAGCAAAACACTCTTCAGCAAATGCAAAAGAATGGAAATCATAACAGTCTCTCAGACCACAGTGCAATCAAATTAGAACTCAGAATTAAGAAACTCACTCAAAACCTCACAACTACACGGAAACTGAACAACCTGCTCCTGAATGACTACTGGGTAAATAATGAAATTAAGGCAGAAATAAATAAGTTCTCTGAAACCAATGAGAACAAAGACACAACGTACCAGTATATCTGGGACACAGCTAACGCAGCGTTTAGAGGGAAATTTATAGTACTAAATGCCCACAGGAGAAAGTGGGAAAGATCTAAAATCAACACCCTAATATCACAATTAAAAGAACTAAAGCAAGAGCAAACAAATTCAAAAGCTAGCAACAGACAAGAAACAACTAAGATCAGAGCAGAACTGAAGAAGATAGAGACACAAAAAAACCCTTCAAAAAAATCTATGACTCCAGGAGCTGGTGTTTTGAAAAGATTAACAAAATAGATAGACTGCTAGCCAGACTAATAAAGAAGAAAAAAGAGAAGAATCAAATAGACACAGTAAAAGATGATAAAGGGGGTATCACCAATGATCCCACAGAAATACAAACTACCATCAAAGAATACTCTAAACACCTCTACACACATAAACTAGAAAATCTAGAAGAAATGGATAAATTCCTGGACATATACACCCTCCCAACACTAAACTAGGAAGAAGTCGAATCCCTGAATAGACCGATAACAAGTTCTGAAATTGAGGCAGTAATTAATAGCCTACCAACCAAAAACAGCTCAGAACCAGATTCACAGACGAATTCTACCACAGGTACAAAGAGGAGCTGGTACCATTCCTTCTGAAACTATTTCAAATAATAGAAAAAGAGGGACTCCTCCCTAACTCATTTTATGAGGCCAGCATCATCCTGATACCAAAACCTGGCAGAGATACAACAAAAAAAAGAACATTTCAGGCCAATATCCCTGATGAACATCAATGAGAAAATCCTCAATAAAATACTGGGAAACTGAATACAGTAGCACATCAAAAAGGTTATCCACCATGATCAAGTCAGCTTCATACCTGGGATGCAAGGCTGGTTCAACATATGCAAATCAATAAATGTAATCCATCACATAAACAGAACCAATGACAAAAACCACATGATTATCTCAAAAAATGCACAAAAAGCCTTTGATAAAATTCAACACCCTTTCATGCTAAAACTCTCAATAAACTAGGTATTGATGGAACATATCTCAAAATAATAAGAGCTATTTATGACAAACCCACAACCAATATCATACTGAATGGGCAAACGCTGGAAGCATTTCCTTTGAAGATCGGCACAAGACAAGGATCCCCTCTCTCACCACTGCTATTCAAAATAGTATTGGAAGTTCTGGTCAGGGCAATCAGGCAAGAGAAAGAAAGAAAGGGTATTCAAATAGGAAGAGAGGAAGTCAAATTGTATCTGTTTGCAGATGACATGATTGTATATTTAGAAAACCCCACTGTCTCAGCCCAAAATCTCCTTAAGCTGATCAGCAACTTCAGCAAAGTCTCAGGATATAAAATCAATGTGCAAAAATCACAAGCATTCCTATGTACCAACAACAGGCAAGCAGACAGCCAAATCATGAATGAACTCCCATTCGCAATTGCTACAAAGAGAATAAAATGCCTAGATATAGAGCTAACAAGGGAAGTGAAGGACCTCTTTAAGGAGAACTACAAACCACTGCTCAAGGAAATCAGAGAGGACACAAACAAATGGGAAAACATTCCATGCTCACGGACAGGAAGAATCAATATTGTGAAAATGGCCATACTGCCCAATTTATAGATTCAATGCTATTCCAATTAAACTACCATTAACATTCTTCACAGTATTAGGAAAAACTATTTTAAAATTCATATGGAACCAAAAAAGAACCCAAATAGCCAAGACAATCCTAAGGAAAAGAGGAAAACTGGAGAGGCATTACACTACCTGAGAGGCATTACACTACCTGACTTCAAACTATACTACAAGGCTACAGTAATTAAAACAGCCTGGTACTGGTACAAAACCAGACACATAGACCAATGGAACAGAATAGAGAACTCAGAAACAAGACTACACACCTACAACCATCTGATCTTCCACAAGCCTGACAAAAACAAGCAATGGGGAAAGGATTCCCTGCTTTTTTTTTTTTTAACTTTTTTTTACGTGGTGCTGGGAGAACTGGCTAGCCATATGCAGCAGAAAGTTGAAACTGGTCCTCTTCCTTACACCTTATACAAAAACTAACTCAAGATGAATTAAAGACGTAAATGTAAAACCCAAAACTAGAAAAACCCTAGAAGAAAATCCAGGCAATACCATTCAGGACGTTGGCACGGGCCAAGATCTCATGACAAAAACACCAAAAGCAATTTTGCAACAAAAGCAAAAATTGATAAATGGGATCTAATTAAACTAAAGATCTCTGCACACCAAAAGAAACTATCATCAGAGTGAACAGACAACCTACAGAATGGGAGAAAAACTTGGCAATCTACCCATCTGACAAAGGTCTAATATCCAGAGTCCACAAGGAATTTTAAATAAATGTATCAGAAAAAAACCAACAACCCCATTAAGAAGCGGGCAAAGGACATGAACAGACACTTCTCAAAAGAAGACATTCATGTGGCCAACAAACATAAGAAAAAAAGCTCAACATCACTGATTATGGAAATCCATATCAAAACCACAGTGAGATACCATCTCATGCCAGTCAGAATGGTGACTATCAAAACGTCAACAAATGGCCAGGCACGGTGGCTCACACCTGTAATCCCAGCACTTCAGGAGGCCAAGGAGGGTGGATCACTTGAGGTCAGGAGTTAGAGATCAGCCTGGGCAATATGGTGAAACCCCATCTCCAACAAAAATAAAAAAATTAGCTGGGCATGGTGGTGCACACATGTAGTCCCAGCTACCTGGGAGGCTGAAGCAGGAGGAATGCTTGAGCCGGGAAGATGGAGGTTGCAGTGAGCCAAGATCACATCACTGCGCTCCAGCCTGGGTTACACAGTGGGACTCCATCTCAAAAAATAAAAAATAGAGGCCAGGCGCGGTGGCTCACGCCTATAATCCCAGCACTTTGGGAGGCCAAGGCGGGTGGATCACAAGATCAGGAGATCAAGACCATCCTGGCTAACATGGTGAAACCCCATCTCTGCTAAAAATACAAAAAATTAGCCAGGCATGGTGGCGGGCACCTGTAGTCCCAGCTACTCGGGAGGCTGAGGCAGGAGAATGGTGTGAACCCAGGAGGCAGAGCTTGCAGTGAGCAAAGACTGTGCCACTGCACTCCAGCCTGGGCGACAGAGCAAGAGTCCATCCCCAAAAAAATAAATAAATAAATAATAAAAAATAAATAAAAGGTCAAAAAACAACAGATGCTGGTGAGGTTGTGGAGAAAAAAAGAACACTTTTATACTATTGGTGGAAGTGTAAATTAGTTCAACCATTGTGGAAGATAATGGGGCAATTCCTCAAAGATCTAGAAGCAGAAATATCATGTGACCTAGTAGTCCCATTACTGGGTATATTACCAAAGGAATATAAATCATTCTATTATAAAGATATATGCATGCGTATGTTCACTGCAGCACAATTCATAATAGCAAAGACATGGAATCAATCCACATGCCCATCAATAATAGACTGGATATAGAAAATGTGGCATACATCATAGAATACTATGCAGCCATAAGGAATGAGATCATGTCCTTTGCAGGGACATGGATGAAGCTGGATACTTTATCCTCAGCAAACTAATGCAGGAACAGAAAACCAAACACCGCATGTTCTCACTTATAAGCGGGAGCTGAACAATGAGAACACACAGACACAAAGTGGGGAATAACACAAATTGGGGCCTGTCAGGAGGGCAGGGGGTGGGAGAGCATCAGGAAGAATAGCTAATGGATGCTGGGCTTAATACCTAGGGGATGGGTTGATCTGTGCAGCAAACCACCATGGCACATGTTACCTATGTAACAAACCTGCCCATCCTGCACATGTACCCTGGAACTTAAAAGTTGAAAAGAAAAATAGTACTGTACCAATGTTCATTTCTTCATTTTCGTAACTGGACTTTGGAGGTAATTCTCCATGGGTCTCTTACATTTCTGTATGTTTTGTGACTGAGACAATAACCTTTTGTTCTGGACTATCTTTTCAAAGGTATCTACATGGTGAATAGCCCTGAAAGACAGATAAGGTCTCCCTCTGGAAAAAGAGCAGGTTTACTTGCAACCCATTGTAAAAAATTCAGGAACACACTAAGTTCAAGGTCCTTCAGCCAGGACGCAAACCCACTGTGTGCACAGCATCTACCAAATTATCTCTGAAATCCCTGTAGAGCTTGGAGTGGGAGGGGACAACAAAAGAAACAACACAAACATGAAGCTCATACTCCCTGTTGTGCCTTGAGTAATAAAGTCCTTTGTCTTTGGCCCAGGAATTTCATGTCTTTTGCCAGTGTCCATGAAACTGTGACAGGCTAACTTGTCCACTTGCAATTCGCCTACCAAAAGGACTTGAATAGACATTTTTCCAAAGAAGATATGCAAATGGCCAAAAAGCACATGAGAAGATGTTCAACATTATTAGTCAGCAAAATACAAATCAAAACCACAATGAAATATCACTTCATGCCTCCTAAGATGGGCATAATAAAATGGATAATAGTAAGTGTTGGCAGGAATGTGGAAAAAACAGAAAGCTCATACACTGCTGGTGGGAATGTAGGTGGTGCAGCTACTGTGGAAAATAGCTTGACAATTCCTCAAAAAGTTAAACATAAAACCATATGACCCAGCTATTCCACTCCTAGACAGTAATGGCAAAAACCACAATTACTTTTGCACCAACCTAAAATATATATTTAAAACAAAAACTGAGAGTAGGAACTAGAACAGATTATTTGTATACCAATGTTCATTGCATCATTATTGACAATAGCCAAAATGTAAAAACAACCCAAGCATTCATCAACAGATGAATGGATAATAGATCAACAAAATGTGGTTATACACATAAAATTCAGCCACAGAATTCAGTGAAATTTTCATTCATTTGCTACAACATGGATGGACCTTGAAAACATTATACTCGGTGAAATTAGCCAGACACAGATAGACAAATATATGATTCCACTTAAATCTAGAATAAGTAAATTCATAGAAACAAAAAGTAGAATAGAGGTTACCAGGGTCTCAGGGGAGGGAAAAATAGGAAATTACAGTGTAATGGACAGAGTTTATGTTGGGATGATGAAAAGGTTTGGGGTTTATACCATTTACATCGTGGTGATGGCTACACACATTATATATTTAATGTCACTAAACTGTACACTTAAATGATTAAAATGATAAATATTACGTTATGCAAATGTTACCACAATTTTTGAAAAAAGAATTAGACTGCCAAATAACTTGTCTACATAAACAGATCAGAGACATTTCTATCAGGTCAATTTCTCTACCCTTTGCAAGGTCAACAGGCTCAATACATACCTTTTCAACTAGGTTTCCAATAGTGAAAAATGAAAAACAAGCAAACAAACAATAAACTCAGCAGAAAAAAAAAATCCAACCCCTCCCTCTCTCTAAGAGATGGGGTCTTACTCTGTCACCCAGGCAAGAGCACAGTGGCACCTTCTTACCTTACTACAGCCTCGAACTCCTGGGCTCAAGTGATCCTCCCACCTCAGCCTCCCCGAATCTGCCTTTCTAACATAAAAGTGAAAAGCCAGCAATAGAAATGAGAATCTCATCACAGACAGACAAAGAATTCAGGAGATACAGGCTTGACTTTAAGAAATACAATAATTTAAAAATTGCTTACCTCAAAATAATTAAAAATACCCATGGCCAAAGGTAAAGGAAAAGAATCTTTAGATTAGAAGAAGGCAGAGAAACACCTCATGTAAATACTTACTACATGCAAGAAAAACAAATGCAGTCATACTGTTCATTATTATGTGGTGTAGCAATAATTCATTATTATGTGGTGTAGCAATAAAAATATGAAAGCTAAAGCAGCTCTGCCTCTTATTAGTCATCTGACCTAAAGAGTCTATAAAAGAGAATAACACTATTTAAATAGTAAGGTTGTCTCATGTATTAAACAAAAATGTAAAAGTACTTTGTAGCCAGTGAACTCTTTTTAAGTGATACCAAATTTTAGGCTAGACTATTTCTGAATATATTATCTGACTACATAAGCACTAATAGAAACTATGAATTATTAATTTTGGGAAAATGAACTCAAGGAATTAATGTGCTTTTACAGTCTTTGAAGAAAACTTCTACCTATCGGAGGGTAAAAATATAATTCCTATTTTTCCTAGGGAAAATAAATCAAACACTTAGAAAGCTCTAATGTGGTTTTTAAAACTGGCCATTCCTCTTTGAAGACTTAATTAAGGTTATGAAAAAATTCCCTCTTGACATATATCATTGCTTAACTTTGGACATACAATTAGCCTGCACAATGATTTGTAAATCAGTTAGCTTTCCACATATATTATGAATAAACTATTTCAAAGAATAAACATATTTTCTATACTAACAGGAAAGAACAAACTAATATAATAATTTTCTCTTGAGAATATATCTTTGATATATACAAAAATTAAACTTCAGAATACCCAAATTTTTACCCTAAAAGTTATCAATAATCTAGCTGATTTTAAATTTACCAAAATAGTTTGTTTTCTTTTTTTTTTTTTTTTTTTTGAGACGGAGTTTCGCTCTGTCGCCGAGGCTGGAGTGCAGTGGAGCAATCTTGGCTCACTGCAACCTCCGCCTCCCAAGTTCAAGCGATTCTCCTGCCTCAGCCTCCCAAGTAGCTGGGATTACAGGCACTCACCACCACGCCCGGCTAATTTTAGTATTTTTAGTAGAGACAGGGTTTCACCATGCTGGTCAGGCTGGTCTCGATCTCCTCTGACCTTGTGATCCATCCGCCTCAGCCTCCCAAAGTGCTGGGACTACAGGCATGAGCCACTGTGCCTGGCCCAAAATAGTTTATTTTCTAAGTGCTGATACTGATTCAACAGTTTCAGTTATTCTACATTAACTACCCTAGGAATTACCATTTTTCACTTTTCCCACCAAATTTGAAGACTGATTTACCAGTTGCTCAGTCAGACAACCACAATGATGTACAGGAGACCCAGAATCAAAACATAAATGCCTATAGGGGGCCAGCAGTTAACCACAAATGAGTTAAGCAGGAACGACTGGGAGCTACAGTGACCTGGAGAGATCATGCCCAATATACGGGCACAGCCAATAATACTGAGCTTAACCAACTGCTGCTCAGGAAGGTGGTCTCTGAAGCTGTCAGATCTTCCCACTGTCACAAAAGCCAGAAATCTGGATTTTTATATGAAACATCTTGATTTTGAACTATTAACAACTAATTTAAAAGCTGATAAAACACAGTTCAAAGCAAAACATCTGTAGAGTGCCAGTTTGTGGCTCGTGCATTCTTCTTAAACACCTGCACTCTTCCCTTCTCTCTCTCCTTTCCCCATTTTCTCTCTCTCTCTCTCTCTTATGATGTTCCTCCCATCACTTTTTCCTCCAGAATATCCAAGCCTAAAGAATAAGGAAAAGGTAATGATATGTGGAATTAAAAAGCCAGAGAAAATACCAAAACTCAGCATCCTGTTACTAACTTAAAAAGTCTGAAAATCTTGCAGACTTAGTGATGCCATTTCAACTGGTGATAATACCTACTGTGCAAACAAAATCTTAACGCTTCTTCAGCAAGGAGCCTGGAGTGAGATCAAGTACTTGCATGAGCTAGGGAACCAAGTGGACTGGAGCTAGAGACCCAATTCTGCTACCTGCCTGTTACCTGTATTTCCTCATCATTTAAAAGCAAACAGTAGCTGGGCGCGGTGGCTCTCACCTGTAATCCCAGTACCTTGGGAGGCTGAAGCAGGCGGCTCACCTGAGGTCAGGAGTTCGAGACCAGCCTGACCAACAGGGCAGAAAACCTGCTTCTACTAACAATACAAAACCTAGGCTGGGCGCAGTGGCTCACGCCTGTAATCCCAGCACTTTGGGAGGCCAAGGCAGGCGGATCACCTGAGGTTGGAAGCTCGAGACCAGCCTGACCAACATGGAGAAGCCCCATCTCTACTAAAAATACAAAATTAGTGAGGCGTGGTGGTGATGCATGCCTGTAATCCCAGCTACTCAGGAGGCTGAGGCAGGAGGATCGCTTGAACCTGGGTGGCAGAGGTTGCGGTCAGCCAAGATCATGCCATTGCACTGCAGCCTGGGCAACAAGAGCAAAAACTCCATCTCAAAAAAAAAAAAATACAAAACTTAGCCAGGCGTGGTGGCAGGCACCTGTAGTCCCAGCTACTCTGGAGGCTGAAGCAGGAGAATGGTTTGAACCTGGGAGGCAGAGGTTGCAGTGAGCTGAGATTGCGCCACTGCAATCCAGCCTGGGTGACAGAGCAAGACTCCGTTTCAAAAAAAAAAAAAAAGCAGCAATCTAAAAGTTTGTTACAAGAACTAAATAAAATATTATCATATATAAAATATCTAGGCCTAGTATGTGCCTGGCAGATGGCTGGTGTTTAGTAAATGGGTGTTAAATACATAGATATGGTGTATTATAATTCTTACAGCTTGTTACTTTTGAAAAGAAAACACTGGAGAGACAAAAACTTCCATCTCAGGGTCTATCTGATTCAGTTTGTGTGCATGCTCTCCCTGCTGTTTCTTCCCTTAAACAGGTTTTAAAACATGCTGTTTTTAGACATTATTCCATTATTCCTATGACCAATGATTTGCAAGTGGTTTATGACTCATCCTCAAATGCATAGCAGTAACTACAGAAGATATAAAAGTATAATTAAGATGCCTAAAATATTTCTGGAATGAGGCCCTAATTCTTCCCAGTCAAGCTTGTACCCTTTTATCACCATCCAGTTGCTTTTTTTATAAAATAAAAAAGTATAAATTATACAGCAAAAGTCATGTACAAAAGTCAAACTTGTCACCACCTTTCAAATATAAAAATATTACAGTGGCTGGCTTGTTGGGTTATAGAGCATTAGGCCCAAACTCCCTGACATAGTTTATTTTGCCCTTCCTGGGGCAACCACCACTAATCTCTGCAGCCTCGTCTCTCACCACTCCCTCCCTTCTCCCAAACTCCCCAAATACACTATATATTCTATACACTAAACTCTCGTACATACTGTTTCCTCAACCAGAGCTCACTTTTTCCTCCCTCAAGCCCTCTCCTCAGCCAGTCTCTTCCCTAATTAATCCTAAATATTAGAATCCAGATTAAATATTTCGTTATGTCCTTCAGTCTCAGCTTACATGTCACTTCCAAGATTTCCCAGATCTTTTCCTCATCTCCACCATACAAACTTAGGGTTAGGAGCACCTTTTTATATGTTCCTATAACACCTTACATATACCCATCTAAGAAAGAAGCTGATAGTATAGAATTCAACAAGAAAAAGACCACATGCTTATGTGCATTTTTATATATATATATATATATATATATATACACACACATATATACATACATATACACACGTATATTACACTTTATTTCCTAACAAAATTAAAGACTCTAGTAAAATCTCAGAAGCACTACTTGGTGAACATGCATCCTTTTGCCTTCTGACTCTTACTCCACGACGGCCTAATTTCGAAGACTGCCAAAGGATATCAAACACATATAAAAAGTGTTTAAATCTTTCCACTCTGATGTCATATAATTTAAATAAGAATGTTTAAATTAGCAAGATGATTTTAACTTGAACAAAGTTATTTTACAAATACTTTTACTTTGAAAAGTTCAGAAAACACTTTTTGCTGTTTTCTTCAGAGCTTCAAAAATTTGATGCGGTTCATTACCTATAATTTGAAAAAACTGCCCTACATCATAGGATTTTTAATCTGAGGGCTCCCCATTTAAATAGATATGCCACTTTCCACTAGATCCTGATATTCAGGAGAACTGAAGTCATCTCTTTTTCATCTTTGTATTTCATAGCCTATCACACCGTCTGGAAGAAGGGTCTCCAAAAATATTTGTTGAACAACTGAATTTTACCAAGTAGTTCAACAAATCTTTTGTGCACCTACCATGTCCCATGACCCTCAGCCTTCTTATGTTATCTCAAATAATGCTAATGATACATACTCTGGGGAGATCAGCCAAGGTTTTGTCTTTATCTGAAAAAAAAAATTATATACGTTTGGGAATGGGGGATAGGAAAGGTATTCTAAGAGGTAAATGGAATACAGGCAGGTTTTGTAAACAAGACATACATAAAGGACAGAATACATTTATAGAATCTATATCTTGCAATAATAAATTACAAGTTTGGGATCTTTTAAAGAATATTCCATTCATATTTAAGATATGTTATATTTATAATGAGCAAGATTCTGCTGAAAAGTTAAACTGAGTTTGCACTTCCTGAACAAAGCTAATTTCTGGAACTCCCCTAGGCTGTGACATTTGTAGTAATGTGTTCAGAGAAATGAATACAGTTTAAGTAAATAGCCAAATAACTGTGACTCAATGATCAATCAAATCTAAGAATGCATTTTTAAAACTATTTTAACCATAAATGTAAAGAAGTTCACCCAGGGTACTAGTAGAACTCTAATAGCATAATGAAATAAAATATAAAAAGCCATCAATTCATTTATATTTTATTGACAACACCTAAATATTCTCCATAATTCTAGAATTATATTCTACCTAGTTAAAGCAAATAAAATGCATAGCAAGAGGGAGGAGAGCTTTTCACAGGTAGCAAATTTCACAAGAAATAAGCAAAGTGTAGAATTATAGTCTACCTAATTAAAGCAAATAAAATGCATAGCAAGAGGGAGGAGAGCTTTTCACAGGTAGCAAATTTCACCAGAAATAAGCAAAGTGCAGAAATGTTGGGGAAAATTGTAATCCTAAGGTATTAACTAAACGTAACTGAAAAAAAGATTAAATTCAGCAAGCCATTTTTTTAAAAAAGCATCATAAAATAAATCTCTGCTAAACAGATTTTTACCTATATATTTATAATTAACAATTCTGAACAGACTAAAAACTAAATAAAACTAGCACAGTAATTTAGCCTTTGATTTATATTTGAAACACTTTTCCTCCAGTATCCTATTGAGACCCCTCCAAACATTTTTAAATGCTTCCCCAACCCCCTCAGACGACTTGTTTAAATTAATTGTATTCACAAACCCCTATGTTCAAATTCACAGTCCCTTCTAATCACAAATTTTCCATCCTCCTCAGAGGTTTACTGAGCGTCAACTATACATAGTACATTTAGAAAATATAAAAACATTCTACATTCAAGATCCTTTCCTCTGAAGTCTTACAATCCAGCCCTAGGAAAAGGTCAAAATGTCCAAAGTGTGATACTCCAAGTATTCAAGCAGTAAAGATCTTCAACCATATTCAGTCCTTCTGTTCCCCTTCTTGGAATGCTTTTCCCCTGGCTGGATTCTTCTCATCTTTCAAATCTCAGAGATAGTTCATGACACCATTGAGCTATTTTCTACAGTAGCAACCCATTCCTTTCCTTCACTGCTTTTTTCCCAGTTTGTAATTACATATTTGATTGCTTGTTTGCTGGTTTATTATCCGTATCCAGTAAGAGAATACTCTACAAAAACATGAACTCCACTGCATTGTCAGTGATTACCAAAGCACTCAATAAACACCTGATAAATTAATGCACAGGTCTGGTGTTCCGAAGAAAGGTCTGAGCTAGACACACTGGGATATAGATGATAATTTACCATGAAAACTGATTTTATAAATTACCAGTGGGACGTATGTAGGGTTTGAAGAGAACCTAGAATGAACACCTGAAAAGGCCCTATATTTAGAGTTCTGGTAGGATAGGTAAAGGAGACTGTCTCTCTCCTCCAATCCACTTTATGCTTTTTAACTGTGATATAACTATGCCACTTAAATATGACTGTGTAACTATTTTACAAGTATTACTGTCATCACCCCTTACTTCCCCTATTGGACGCTTAAGTTTCTTGGAAACAGAACTGATGTCTGCTCATCCCATGATACGCTCAGCATATTGCAGGAAGTAAGGTTAGATAATCATGAACCTGGAAAAAGGGCTTCTTACTAGGTAGCTGTGCCTGGCATTTCCGAGATTTCCAACGTGCACCCGCCAACTCCGCCGCCCTAATCGCAGAGCTGCCCGAGCCGCCGACTCCCCGGCAGGGGGCGCCGCACCCTCCTCCGAAGGCCGCTGCCGGCTGCAGTCCCCGCCCCCAGCCCCGCGGTCACCTGCAGCGGGTGCACTCAGGCCTCCGCTCGGCCGGCTCCACCGGCAGCTCCCACAGCCCGTCCGCACTGTCGTCGTCCGCCTCTGCGCCCAGGGCAGCCGCCGCCGGCACTGCGCCGCCCTCCCGCCGCTCCTTGTCGTTCGGCGTCTGAGAGCTTGAGGCCCCAGAAGGCCGCGCAACGGGCTCCTGGAGTGTTCGTGCCTCTTTCTGCGACTCCATGGCGGACACTCCGGTCAGGCCGTGGCATTGAAGCCCGGCTGCCGCCGGGGGGCGCCACGCGCTGTAGAAACCGGCCCGCGCCGCGTAGCGCAATGCCCGCACGCCACGTACGGGGGGCGGGTCTCCGAAGCCCAGGCTGGAGGTCCCACCCTGCCGCTGGGAAGGAACGAGCCCATTGGTCCGTGCCCAGTGGGACCGTTCACCTAGAACTGGGTAGGCAAGTGTGGGCAGTGTTGGAGTGCTGGTGAGGTTAAGTAGCGTCATTGGGAGAGGTAAGGGAAACCTCCCCGAGAGGACCCCAGTACCAAGCCCGAATTTAACTCCTTTAAAAGTTAAAATAAAATGGAATTCTGCATTTTCCGCCTTGGGATGGCAGTTTAAGAATTTGCAGGATTTCCACGCGTGCATGCATCGCAGGTGCGGCAGCTGATGCACTTATTATTTAAAGGCCAACAAAGGAGAGGTTATATCCACTGGGAACTACTCACAGCTGGTCCGTTTCCTTATGTGAATTTCCTGCTCTTCTATGTCTTGTGCTAATAAGACATCAAGCATGCTATTTTACACTGGACACCAGATATTTGTTAAATTAGATTTTTAGATCGTCCCCGATCAGGAAGCAATAGGAGAGCTGGCCCGGGGTACCAATAGGTTTTATGTATGAGGAAACAAGCCCTAGAAAGGTAACGTTGCCCAGGTATTTAACAACTACTGGATACGGCGGTATATAGCACAGCAGCTGTTTTTTAAAAGCCAAAATGAAATCTATGTTAGAATGAAGGCAGAAATACTATTTACCCAAAATGGGTATCGAATTCCTTTTGTTTATTAATGCTTTGTGTTACTTCCAGCAATACACAACATTAAAACAGAATTAAGCTTGGTTTTGATCAATCATGTGAATTAAGCTTAGGAATCACAGTTGTCTTAACTCTATAGTTGTAATAGATTAAATGTGAGGCAAAGTAGACAACACAGTAATAGAGCAAATACTGTATTTCTTAAAATGTTTATTTCACATTAGATTTTTCAGTCATCTTAAAATCAAGTTTGTGAATAAAATACCGTGCTGTTTTCAACTATCCTACGTTCTTTCCCCCCGGAAACAGCACCTCTCTTTTCCTTTGGAGCGTCCTATGTGAGGGATAGAAAAAGGCTGAAACACCCACCTGGTGATGGACGTAGAGTGGGAGAAAGAACTAGCAATTATGCCATTTGGAATCGGAGGATAAACAAAATCCAGAAACTGTAGGAAAGGAGATGAATCAGAAAATTCATCTTGTCTGTAGATTTAGGTTGGGGAACCAATTCTTTAACTGCCAAAATTAAATTCTCATGTGACTTATCTTTAAACGAAAGGAAGCTGCTCATCTTTAATTTCAAGAGGTGAAATGTGCTCAAGTCCTCTAAGGTCCCTTGAGACTCCCAATTGTGTGGTGTGAGAAGACAGATGATAAGGAAAAAAAAAAAAACTTTTTATCTAAGGAATGCGAGCAGTCATGTCTCACTCTCCCTTGAGCTAAATAATTACCTCTTGAAGGCACTTGCTATGCAGGCCCTAGACTGACACCGAGTAGCCATAAAACGCCGTATACCCTATAGTTCAACAATATGTATAGCCAATCACTAACCAATGTTATTTCTGTAAATAAATGACACTTCCTGAGACATAGCTTTTGTAATGCCCCCCTCTGCTGATTCGTTCTCTTTTCTTTAAAAACTCCAGCCCATTTTGTTCTCCAGAGCACTCTCCACAGCAACCTGGAAGTACGACCTAGGCTACAGTCCTCAACGTTGGCCCAAATAAACTCTCTATATTAATTTTGCCTCTGCTCCTTCCTTTTAGGTTGATGTGAGCCTACTTACTTGGGGCTTCCTTTTAACACCCCATATCAGATTATTGGCTTTACCCTTCAAAGTATTCAAAATCCAAACATTTATCTCACCTACTACTTCTGCCCTGGTTCAAGCCCCCGTCATCTCTTGCATAGAATATTGCCAAAGACCTAAGTGGTCTCCTGCTCCATCTCCGCTCCTTATGAAGAAAATCCCCTACAAGTCCATTGTCTCAGAGGCTGACCAAAATCAAAGAAAGCTTCCATCCAGGCAAGACACAGAGTTGAGAAAGGAGAGCCATTTTCCTCTATAGGAAGCAAGAAATTCACCCAATATCCAGGTTTGTGAACAATGACCTTCAGACGCCTGAGGAAACATGCAGGTGAGGTTACCACCTTGGGGCAGACCCAGGTATCAGACCATCAGTGACTCAGCTTCTGGGAAGTGCCAAGACACCAGAAAGGGAAGTAAAATATCCTTTATGGGATACAGACAACTTACTAGTGTCAAGATAATGTATTGAGGTGTTAATGTATGTTTTGTTTATCTCCCAACTTCAGGTAGAAAACCAGACTTTTATGCTCCTTTGCCTCAGAGGAGTTTGGGTAGTAAAGACTGAGGACAATCTTAGGTCCACGCCTGGTGTTGTGGGAAAAGGAGATCCTGTTACTGGTAGAGGAAAGGGCCTCAGTAATGTAAGGGATTGAATATCCTGCCAGGCCTGCAGTATGAGGATTCAGCATTGTATAAGATTTGATTTAAATGAAATAAAAACATGGTATTTTTTGCTATATTCATTTTCTATCACTGTGGAACTAATAACCACAAATTTAGTGGCTTTTTCCTTTGTTTTTTTTTTTTTTTTTGAGATGGAGTCTCGCTCTGCCGCCCAGGCTGGAGAGTAGTGGCGTGATCTGGGCTCACTGCGACCTCCGCCTCCCGGGTTCAAGCAATTCTGCCTCAGCCTCCCGAGTAGCTGGGACTACAGGCTGCGTGCCACCATGTCAGGCCAGTTCTTTTTTTTTTTTTTTTTTTTTTTTTTTTGAGACGGAGTCTCGCTCTGTTGCCCAGGTCGGACTGCGGACTGCAGTGGCGCAATCTCGGCTCACTGCAAGCTCCGCTTCCCGGGTTCACGCCATTCTCCTGCCTCAGCCTCCCGAGTAGCTGGGACTACAGGCGCCCGCCACCGCGCCCGGCTAATTTTTTGTATTTTTAGTAGAGACGGGGTTTCACCTTGTTAGCCAGGATGGTCTCGATCTCCTGACCTCATGATCCACCCGCCTCGGCCTCCCAAAGTGCTGGGATTACAGGCGTGAGCCACCGCGCCCGGCCCAGTTCTGTATTTTTAGTAGAGACAGGGTTTTACTGTGTTGATCAGGCTGGTCTTGAACTCCGGACCTCAGGTGATCCACCCGCCTCGGCCTCCCAAAGTGCTGGGATTACAGGACTGAGCCACCGCGCCTGGCCACTTATTTTTCTTTTAAGTGAAAACCAAGTTTATTAGGCAAGCAAAAGAATAACAAATGGCTACTCCACAGGCAGAGCAGCAGCTTAGGCTACTTCATCAAGGATACTTTTTTTTTTTTTAATTATTATTATACTTTAAGTTCTAGGGTACATGTGCACGACATGCAGGTTTGTTACATATGTATACATGTGCCATGTTGGTGTGCTGCACCCATCAACTCGTCATTTACATTAGGTCTATCTCCTAATGCTATCCCTCCCCGCTCCCCTCACCCCACAACAGGCCCTGGTGTGTGATGTTCCCCTTCCTGTGTCCAAGTGTTCTCATTGTTCAATTCCCACCTGTGAGTGAGAACATGCAGTGTTTGGTTTTCTGTCCTTGCGATAGTTTGTTGAGAATGATGGTTTCCAGCTTCACCCATGTCCCTACAAAGGATATGAACTCATCCTTTTTTATGGCTGCATAGTATTCCATGGTGTATATGTGCCACATTTTCTTAATCCAGTCTATCATTGATGGGCATTTGGGTTGGTTCCAAGTCTTTGCTAATGTGAATAGTGCCGCAATAAACATATGTGTGCATGTGTCTTTATAGCAGCATGATTTATAATCCTCTGGGTATATACCCAGTAATGGGATGGCTGGGTGAAATGGTATTTCTAGTTCTAGATCCTTGAGGAATAGCCACACTGTCTTCCACAGTGGTTGAACTAGTTTACAGTCCCACCAACAGTGTAAAAGTGTTCCTGTTTCTCCACATCCTCTCCAGCACCAGTTGTTTCCTGACTTTTTAATGATTGCTATTCTAACTGATGTGAGATGGTATCTCATTGTGGTTTTGATTTCCATTTCTCTGATGGCCAGTGATGATGAGCATTTTTTCATGTGTTTTTTGGCTGCATAAATGTCTTCTTTTGAGAAGTGTCTGTTCATATCCTTTGCCCACTTTTTGATGGGGTTGTTTGATTTTTTTCTTGTAAATTTGTTTAAGCTCTTTGTAGATTCTGGATACTAGCCCTTTATCAGATGGGTAGATTGCAGAAATTTTCTCCCATTCTGTAGGTTGCCTGTTCACTCTGCTGGTAGTTCCTTTTGCTGTGCAGAAGCTCTTTAGTTTAATTAGATCCCATTTATCAATTTTGGCTTTTGTTGCCATTGCTTTTGGTGTTTTAGACATGAAGTCCTTGCCCATGCCTATGTCCTGAATGGTATTGCCTAGGTTTTCTTCTAGGGTTTTTATGGTTTTAGGTCTAACGTTTAAGTCTTTAATCCATCTTGAATTAATTTTTGTATAAGGTGTAAGGAAGAGATCCAGTTTCAGCTTTCTACATATGGCTAGCCAGTTTTCCCAGCACCATTTATTAAATAGGGAATCCTTTCCCCATTGCTTGTTTTTGTCAGGTTTGTCAAAGGTCAGATGGTTGTAGATGTGTGGTATTATTTCTGAGGACTCTGTTCTGTTCCATTGGTCTATATCTCTGTTTTGGTACCAGTACCATGCTGTTTTGGTTACTGTAGCTTTGTAATATAGTTTGAACTCAGGTAGCATGATGCCTCCAGCTTTGTTCTTTTTGCTTAGGATTGTCTTGGCAATGTGGGCTCTTTTTTGGTTCCATATGAACTTTAAAGTAGTTTTTTCCAATTCTGTGAAGAAAGTCATTTGTAGCTTGATGGGGATGGCATTGAATCTGTAAATTACCTTGGGCAGTATGGCCATTTTCACGATATTGATTCTTCCTATCCATGAACATGGAATGTTCTTCCATTTGTTTTTGTCCTCTTTTATTTCATTGAGCAGTGGTTTGTAGTTCTCCTTGAAGAGGTCCTTCACATCCCTTGTAAGTTGGATTTCTAGGTATTTTATTCTCTTTGAAGCAATTGTGAATGGGAGTTCACTCATGATTTGGCTCTCTGTTTGTCTGTTATTGATGTATAGGAACGCTTGTGATTTTTGCACATTGATTTTGTATCCTGAGACTTTGCTGAAGTTGCTTATCAGCTTAAGGAGATTTTGGGCTGAGATGATGGGGTTTTCTAAATATACAATCATGTCATCTGCAAACAGGGACAATTTGACTTCCTCTTTTCCTAATTCAATACCCTTTATTTCTTTCTCCTGCCTAATTGCCCTGGCCAGAACTTCCAACACTATGTTGAATAGGAGTGGTGAGAGAGGGCATCCCTGTCTTGTGCCAGTTTTTCAAAGGGAATGCTTCTAGTTTTTGCCCATTCAGTATGATATTGGCTGTGGGTTTGTCATAAATACCTCTTATTATTTTGAGATACGTCCCATCAATACCTAGTTTATTGAGAGTTTTTAGCATGAAGAGCTGTTGAATTTTGTCAAAGGCCTTTTCTGCATCTATTGAGATAATCATGTGGTTTTTGTCTTTGGTTCTGTTTATATGATGGATTACATTTATTGATTTTCGTATGTTGAACAAGCCTTGCATCCCAGGGATGAAGCCCACTTGATCATGGTGGATAAGCTTTTTGATGTGCTGCTGGATTCAGTTTGCCAGTATTTTATTGAGGATTTTTGCATCAATGTTCATCAGGGATATTGGTCTAAAATTCTCTTTTTTTGTTGTGTCTCTGCCAGGCTTTGGTATCAGGATGATGCTGGCCTCATAAAATGAGTTAGGGAGGATTCCCTCTTTTTCTATCAATTGGAATCGTTTCAGAAGGAATGGTACCAGCTCCTCCTTGTACCTCTGGTAGACTTTGGCTGCAAATCCATCTGTTCCTGGACTTTTTTTGGTTGGTAGGCTATTAATTATTGCCTCAGTTTCAGAGCCTGTTAATTTGTCTATTCAGGGATTCAGCTTCTTCCTGGTTTAGTGCACCAATAATATTTATAGTTATTTCTTGATTATATGTTAAACAAGGGGTGGATTATTTATGAGTTTTCCAGGAAAGGGGTGGGCAATTTCCAGAACTGAGGGCTCCTCCCCTTCTCAGACCACACAGGATTACTTCCTGATGTTGCCTTGGCATTTGCAAACTGTCATGGTGCTGATGGGAGTGTCTTTTAGCATACTAATGCATTATAATTAGCATATAATGAGTGCTGAGGACGACCAGAGGTCACTTTCTTGGCCATATTGGTTTTGATGCGATTGGCCAGCTTCTTTATCACATCTTTATGACCTGTACCTTGTGCTGACTTCCTGTCTCATCCTGTGACTTAGAATGCCTAACCTCCTGGGAATTCAGCTCAGTAAGTCTCAGCCTTATTTTACCCAGCTCCTATTCAAGATGGAATTGCTCTGGTTCAAACGCCTCTGACATATTTCCCACCTTCCTTTCATACGAGAACCCTTAATGCTAAGGGTTTTAGAGGGACAAAGATCCATCTTCTGTAGCTTCTTCAGGCTGAATAGGGGTGATGATATTCCTGCCTAACTACTAGGGTCTCTTGTATTTGGGGTAGAGAGGAGCTTAGTCAGAAAGCATCAGTATGGTGAGGGCCATCCATAACTCTGCAAAAGGTGATATCTGGAAGATTAATAGGTGTCCAATTTAAGATAACATTGAGTAAACTTACCCTGAATTCTTACACGGAGAGTACAGCAGCAACATATTCCGCAACAGTAAAACAAAACTATCCCAAGTAAACTAGTTAAGAAAGCTTTCCATGAACTGGGCAATTTGAAACCAAGCTGATATGGTGTCACTACCTGATTCCAATATATGCCCAGAATTACAATATTGATCTATATTTTTACATTATCCATCCCCCTTGTTTTGTTTGAGCAGCAGGCAGAGATCACTGACTGGTTCACAGGAATGAGTGTTCAGTCTAAATTGCAGGGAAAACATCCTCAAAAACAACTGATGAGGTTACAATCTAATAATAACTGTACCATAGTTCTTGAAACATAGTTTTTCTCTCTTCAATCTCCCATTTTTACTAAATACAAATCATGGTAAAACCAATTTGCCTTATTATACTTAGCCTGATTATTTGTATAAAGTGCAGCAGGAATAATTATTTGCCGCATAGGCTTATTTTAATTAGCTTTGATGGAACTTTTGTTCCATCAAAGGAATCTTAGATAAGACTTTTTTAAAAGCCCAGCCCAGCTATGGGGTTGTACTGTCAAATACCTATGAGTTGGGTAAGTTCCTCTTCTCTTGAGATCCCAAGATAATTTGGGGCTTCTGGGCCTGTCAAAAACTGACATTCTTTACTTACCACAGGTCTGGAACTCTATACAGGGACTATGTAGACAGGGTATGAGGTGAGGCCAGTTTCCCAAGGGGTTTTTATTGGATTTATAAGTCAAATTTGATTCCTTAAAAGAAAGCATGCTATTCCAGTCAAAACCTTGGTAAAATAACCAGTGTCTCCAATTGTGTCCCGTTACAAAAGAAAACAGATACTTATTGCACTTATGCAAATAACTATATTGCCATAAATTGAGAATGCTCACAAATAATTTCCAATTCTGGAGAAATCAGGTAGAGAGAAATAAATATGCTCCAAATTTTGTTCACAGGAATAGACTTTACTCAATTGATAAAAGCTGTAAGTAACTTGAAAGTTTTCTTGGCTCTGAAACACAAAACAAAGGATCAGCAATGTTTTAAACAAAAAAGTCAAAAAGATTACTTCAGTCTTCTATTAATTCAGTCTATGTAATTAACTCCTGTTGTGCTTGATATTCATGAACATTCAGCTCTCCATGCGAGTCCTGAAACTTTTTTCGTCTACTGTAATGTTACAATCTCCAAAGTTATTAGAAATGTGCACTTAAGAGCACCTGTCAAAGTCCTATAGCTGATTATAAACCACCTTTTGAAGAGGATCAAAATTAGACAATTGTCTGTGGATGACAGTCTTAGGTCAGCCACTATTAAGAGCCACAATTGACAAGAAAATTTGGTTACTTCTTTGGCATACAACAATTTTACATAACAATTATAACTATTAATAACAAAACTAAGTCATATTAGAATTATGAGTTTACATGATTTTGGAATACACACCAATTACATTTATACAAATACAGCCCAAAGAAAGCCAAATACCATTTTATATTTGACTACACTTCCTGTATGATTTTTATTTTTATTTCTATTTTTGAGTCAGAGTCTCACTCTGTCACCCAGGCTGGAGTGCAGTGGTGCAATCTCAGCTCACTGCAACCTCTGCCTCCTGGGTTCAAGTGATTCTCCTGCCTCAGCCTCCCAAGTAGCTGGTATTACAGGCACATACCACCACGCCCAGCTAATTTTTGTGTTTTTAGTAGAGACAAGGTTTCACCATGTTGGCCAGGCTGATCTCAAACTGCTGATCCCAGGTGATCCATCTGCCTCAGCTCCCCAAAGTGCTGGGATTACCAGTGTAAGCCACCATGCCCGGCTCTACATGATTTTTGTACCAAATAAGCCAAATATGTCTCTTTTGAACTTTAGGGGACCTAATATCTAAAAGATTAATTAGGTCAGAGAAAAACGTAATTTAGAGTATGATTTTGGAAAGTTTGTCAGACATCAAAGGTTTAAAACACGATAACATAAAATAGAATCCCAGGCCACCATAAGTTATTCATTCAGGCAAAATGATGACTTAAAAATATTTTTAGAGGCAAAAACCTTTATTCATTAAGAGGGAAGACTTAGCTTTCTAAACAATCTGTGTCTTTTTTTTTCTTTTCTTTCTTTTTCCTATAGTTTATTTAAAAGGCAAACAAAAATCTTTCTTTTTTTTTGATAGTACATGAAAATCTTGTTCAAGAGAGAAAACCAAATTTTACCCTTTGCGTTAGTGTACTATTAATGTCAACCCCAATTTTTAATAAAACTTTATAGACAAATCTATCCAATTTTTATGTCTGATCATAAGGTAAGATTCTCATAAACCTTTTACAAATCTTTACAAATTTTTGTTAAAGAACAGATTAGTGCTGTAAGAAAAACCTGTTATGCCTTTATTCCAATATTCCAAAGGGTATTCCAATGAATACCCTTTTAACTTTAGCCAATATGTTCACACATAGAATTTCTTTTACAAGATTAATTTTTCACAAATCTTCCACAACTTACTCAAACCTTCAGCTTTATTCTACTTAACTTAAAACAATCCTTTAACCGTTTAGGCACACAAAAAAATCTACATTCTCATGACATCTTATAATCTTTTACAAAAAACACATTTCGCTTTCCTTACACATCTTGCATGTAAAGCTGTTTTTATTTCCAAGATTACTAAAGTCATGTGAACTAAAAGGCATTAAAGTTTTTACTTTTCTGACAAAATATTTGAGTTAAGCGTTTATTATTTTTAAAACAAATAAAGCTCTTTCTTATGTAAACATCACACACACGGCCAGGCGCGGTGGCTCACGCCTGTAATCTCAGCACTTTGGGAGGCCGAGGCAGGTGGATCATGAGGTCAGGAGTTCGAGACCAGCCTGGCCAACATGGTGAAACCCCATCTCTACTAAAGATACAAATATTAGCCAGGTATGATGGCGGGTGCTTGTAATCCCAGCTACTCAGGAGGCTGAGGCAGGAGAATTGCTTGAACCCAGGAGGTGGAGGTTGCAGTAAGCCAAGATCATGCCACTGCACTCCAGCATGGGTGACAGCAAGACTCCATCTCGGGGAGAAAAACTAAGTAAATAAAAATCATACAATCTCCCTCTCCCTCTCCCTTTCCCTTTCCCCCTCCCCCTCCCCCTCCGCCTCCCTCTCCGCACGGTCTCCCTCTGATGCCGAGCCGAGGCTGGACTGTACTGCCGCCATCTCGACTCACTGCAACCTCCCTGGCTGATTCTCCTGCCTCAGCCTGCCGAGTGCCTGGGATTGCAGGCACGCGCCGCCACGCCTGACTGGTTTTCGTATTTTTTGGTGGAGGCGGGGTTTCGCCGTGTTGGCCAGGCTGGTCTCCAGCTCCTGACTGCGAGTGATCTGCCAGCCTCGGCCTCCCGAGGTGCCGGGATTGCAGATGGAGTCTCGCTCACTCAGTGCTCAATGTTGCCCAGACTGGAGTGCAGTGGCGTGATCTCGGCTCGCTACAACCTCCACCTCCCAGCCGCCTGCCTTGGCCTCCCAAAGTGCCGAGATTGCAGCCTCTGCCCGGCCGCCACCCCGTCTAGGAAGTGAGGAGCATCTCTGCCTGGCCGCCCATCATCTGTGATGTGAGGAGCGCCTCTTCCCGGCCGTCATCCCGTCTAGGAAGTGAGGAGCGTCTCTGCCCGGCCGCAACCCTGTCTGGGAACTGAGGAGTGTCTCTGCCCCGCCGCCACCCCATCTGGGAGGTGAGGAGCGTCTCTGACCAGCCGCCCCGTCTGAGAAGTGAGGAGCCCCTCCACCCGGCAGCCACCCCGTCTGGGAAGTGAGGAGCCCCTCCGCCCAGCAGCCGCCCCATCTGGGAGGTGTACCCAACAGCTCATTGAGAACGGGCCATGATGACAATGGCGGTTTTGTCGAATAGAAAAGGGGGAAATGTGGGGAAAAGAAAGAGAGATCAGATTGTTACTGTGTCTGTGTAGAAAGAAGTAGACATAGGAGACTCCATTTTGTTCTGTACTAAGAAAAATTCTTCTGCCTTGGGATGCTGTTAATCTATAACCTTACCCCCAGCTCTCTGAAACATGTGCTGTGTCCACTAAGGGTTAAATGGATTAAGGGCGGTGCAAGATGTGCTTTGTTAAACAGATGCTTGAAGGCAGCCTACTCGTTAAGGGTCATCACCACTCCCTAATCTCAAGTACCCAGGGACACAAACACTGAGGAAGGCAGCAGGGCCCTCTGCCTAGGAAAACCAGAGACCTTTGTTCACATGTTTATCTGTTGACCTTCCCTCCACTATTGTCCTATGACCCTGCCAAATCCCCCTCTCCCAGAAACACCCAAGAATGATCAATAAATACTAAAAAAAATAAAATAAAATAAAAATCATACACACATCACATATAAATATAGACAGAAGAAGATCCAGTAATTTTAAGATTTTTCATTTGCCAGTTTTTTTAATTACTGACTCCAGGGTGGAGCCCTTGGAGGAACAGGGCCAGGAAAGCATGAAGTTCCTATGGCCTAATAAGCAGGCACAGCTGAAAGGCAAAACATCCCTCAAAATTAAGGGTCTCATTTTTTACCAGATCCTGGATCCCAAAGAAAGAGAAGTGCTATGGAATAAGACAATGCAGTGATTTTGCCATGCATTTGATTGCAAAGCAATACAAAGCCAATCAGCCCATTCTGTAATTAGCCCATCTTTCATGAGAGTCTTACCTCTCAGTAGCGGGTAGGGACATTTTCATTTCTTTTAGGTAGCCAAAGGCATGCTTCTCTAATCCAAACATGCAAAGAGCTATCTCCCCATAACTTCCATTAGCCAGCCCCAGAAGTACATTTCCTATCTAGTTATTACAACCAAAGCTCTCTCATAGTGTGAAGTAATTTCTGCTAACCCCAAAAGTCAAAACCATTAGATAAGGCAATGCAAAATACAACAGAGCTTTAGATTTTGAGAAGGATTTATCTGCTTTCAATTCCAGGGGTTTCATGAGGAAAACAGAGGTTTTTCCCAAAACAGGGTCTGTGGTGCCTCCTCTGTTTTTCCCAGGGAGTCCCATAAAACTTGAATATCCACTTTTAAAAAGCTGACTTTTAACCATAGTACTCTTTAAAAAATCTTTTTAAGTCTCTTATTACATGACTTTAGCCAGGCCAAACAGCCAATATTTTTGTGCTCAGAGAAAGGAAAATTCAAGACAGTTAGTGGAGGGGAAGAGAATCAACAAATAGTGAAGGTCACACAGACAAACCAGAAAGGACTCATTCACTAAGCAAGGAATTGAACCCTGAACCTGGGCCACCATTAAGAAAAGATAAAGCCTTAGCCACTAAGCTACAGCATTGGGCAGTTTCTGATGCTTTTTCCCAGAAGGAGCCTAAAGCATCCAATTTTGTGCTTTGCAATGGGTTTTAACTGCTCAAGACAATTTTTAGAGCTGACTATGACATGAACCCTAAAATTCCTTTTCCCTGGAAAGGGGAGAGCAAGCAAAAGTACTGCCACATGATTACAAGGACATTTTTCAGTGTGTGGTCTCTGGGCAAGATGTTTGTCCTGAGTAATAGAAAAGATAAGAAAGGGAAAGGAAAGGGAGAAAAGCATTGCCTGAGGCAGGGTGGGGAAGGCAAGGTGCTCAGGGAGGCCAGAGAAAGACCCACCCAATGCAGTGACACTGAATCAAAAGTTCAGGCAGCCACTTGTCAGTTGGGGAGGGATCTTTTCCAGCAGCTCCGTCAGCTCTAAAGTTTCCCCCTTTGGGGATGAAAAAGCTCCCCATGCCCCACGGTCCTGTACATGACTAACCCTGTCACCCATAGCCTTCAGCAAAGAATGCAAGGCAGATTAATCCAAAGAGAATAGTGGTTAACTTCCCATAATAACAAATCTATTTTTAACCAAAAGGGACTTTACTGAGAGGGTGGTCTCTAACCCCCTAAATCTTAGGGAGGACTCTAACCTTCCTAAGTTCAGCCTTGACCCTAAGTTTGGTCAAGCATCCTTGCCTTTTATTAAGAGGGGCTTTTAACCCACTCTGTCTTAGGAGAGACTCTAACTCCCCTAAGCTGGGCCTCTAACCCAATCCCATCCTTTACCCAGGTACAGCACCACTTACCCAGAGTCAGCCAATCAGTGCTGCAGTCTGTTTCCTTTGAGTCCGGGGTCTCCTCAGTATCACTTCTTTGGGATTCATCAGGAAGATGTTACCAGAAAGGGGTCCTGATCCAAACCCCAAGAGAATGTTCTTGGACCTCACACAAAGAAGAGTTTGAGGCAAATTCATAAAGTGGAAGCAAGTTTATTAGGAAAGTAAAGGAATAGAGAATGGCTACTCCATAGGCATAGTAGTCAATTTAGTGGCTTTTTAACAGATACTTTTTTTCTCCAACCCCTCCTACCAACATACATTATTTATCTTACAGCTCTGTATGTCAGAAATCTGACATGGATCCCACAGGACTAAAATCTAGATGTTGGCAGGCTGGATTCTTTTGGAGGTTCTAAAGGATAATCTGTTTTCTTGCTTATCTAGGTGTTGGCAGAATTCAGTTCATTGTGGTGGTTATTTTCCTGCTGTCAGCTAAAGGCTAGTCTCAGCTTCTAGAGGTAACCCATGTTCTCTGGCTTATGGCCCCCATCCTCCATCTGTGAAGCCAGCAGGGGCAGGTTGAGTCCTTCTCATGTTCTGAATCTCTCCTGCCTCTTTTTCCATTACATCTTTCTAACCAACTCTCTGCCTTCCTTTTCCACTTCCATTTCTACCCAGATAATCCAGGATAATCTCCCTATTTTAAAATCAAATGGTTATCAAACTGAATTCCCTTTTGCCGTGAAGCAACATATTCATAAGGCTTTATACCAGAGGACAAAGATCACAGGGGTCAAAATTCTGCCCACCATAAATTTGCTCGCCTGAATTCCTGCTTGCAAATTCATACAAACTACATATGAAAAAAATGGAAATATATTTACCAAAAAAATCAATATTTCTATCAAGATACTGAGATTAAAGGTCTGGGTGTGTTTTTCTTATATCTTACAGATATTCTACACAATGACCATGTAAATACTATTTTTAGAAGAATATGGAACGTTAACTAGACATCAACATCTAATAATGGTCTGTTTAATACCAAGCTATATAAGTGGAAGATAGTTTCTATTAATTCCCTTCTTTGGTTAACTTGCTGACCTTTCCTTAATAATGTATTTCTAATTTTTTCTTTTCTTTTTTGAGACGGAGCCTGCTGTTGCCCAGGCTGGAAATGCAGTGGCATGATCTCAGCTCACTGCAACCTCTGCCTCCCAGATTCAAGCCATTCTCCTCCCTCAGCCTCCCAAGTAGCTGGGATTACAGGCGTGTGCCACCACAGCTGGCTAATTTTTGTATTTTTAGTAGAGACAGGGTTTAGTAGAGACAGGGTTTCACTATGCTGTCCAAGCTGGTCTCGAACTCCTGACCTCAGGTAATCCACCTGCCTCAGCCTCCCAAAGTGCTGGGATTACAGCCATGAGCCACCACACCCAGCCATATTTCTAATTTTTTAATGTGAGTTAGTAGTGAGTCCAGTGATGCTAATATTTAATGCAAGGTCCTCAAGTACAACTATCATGATTATTTTTATATAAGTTATTCTTAAATGACTTCGTTGATGATAGAGAGGTCTCCTTCTTTCTCTCAACCTCCAGGTTGAGATAGTTTTTCTTAGGGCAGGGCCTTCCTTCACAGCTTCATGCCTTTCACCCTTTCACCCAAATTGTCACCAATATGTCCTGAACCGTTTCTTTATTAGTTATACCATTGGTATAATGCTTGTCTTTTTGTTTCTTTAAGTTTCCTGACACTAGCTATCTATAAAAATGTCTTTTTCTGCCTGATTTTCCTCAGGGATCTATTCTAATTTTTATATTTTTTGGCTGTGCAGTGTTGCTTTTATATTTTCTTAAAATTCTAGGTTAATTAAATTGGATATTTATTATTTCTTCTTTTTCACATGTGAAGACCCACTATATTACTTCTTATCCACATATAGAATATATAATCTTAAAATAATCTTAGTCTTCTGCCTGTAGGATTTCTTTTTAGAGGAATGTTGCATAGGCTGAACTAGAACTCCTGGCCTCAAGCAATCTTTCTACCTCCTGATTAGTGGGAATTATAGGCACCGACTGCAGCAAAGGATTTTTTTTTCCTTTTTTTTTTCTCCATCTTGGTGAATACAGGGATTTTTTTTTAAAGCACTTTATTTGCTTGGATTTGTTTGTTTCACCAATCAGTTTTATAACAGGGTGTGTATATATATATATATAAAATATGTAAAATATATAATATAAATTTATAATTACATATAATATAAATTTATATATAATATATATTTTATATATATATATATGTGTATTTTTTGTAGACAGAGTCTCACTCTGTCACCCAGGCTGGAGTGCAGTGGCTCAATTTCCCCTGGGTTCAAGCCATTCTCCTGCCTCAGCCTCCTGAGTAGCTGGGACTATAGGTGCACACCACCATGTCCAGCTAATTTTTGTATTTTTAGTAGAGACAAGGTTTCATCATGTTGGCCAGGTTGGTCTCGAACTCCTGACCTCAAGTGATCTGCCTGCCTTGGTCTCCCAAAGTGCTGGGATTACAGGCATGAGTCACCACACCCAGCCAATTTTATATTTTGAATTAAATATTCCTACTGGGAGTTAAATAATTAAAATTGTAAAACCCAATTCTGATTACTGGGAATTTAATTTAACTATTTGAATGAAATAAAAATTAACTCTATTACTAGAATCATCTAATTTTCAAGCAAGAAAGGCATTTAAAGATTACGTAGCACAGTACTCCTCCAGCCTGGCTCACATTAGAATCACGTGAGGAACCCCCAGGCCAATTACATTAGAACATGGTATCAGGGGGAAACTTGCAGGCATTAGTACTCCTGGGAAATCTGTCCTGCAGCTTGAATTGAAAACCGCTGACCTAATCTAAGATTTTACTTCTACAGATGAAAAAGTTAAAGCTCAAAGGAAAACGACCAGGTAAAAAATTCAAGCCTCCTGACTTCAAACCTACTGAGTTTTCTACTCCACAGATTGTTCTCCATCTTTGAGGTGTTCGAAGGCTTCTCTAGAGCATTCATAATTGTTCATGAAGTCCTAGGTTCTACCTCAAACCTAATGAAGCAGAATTTGTCACTCCTTAGGTAATCCAGATGAGCACCAAAGTTGAGAAACATTGCAAGTTACCTAAAGTAATGAGGTTTTTATCATATAAAAAAATATAACTTACATTTCTGTCTTCCATTTTTTAAATTAATGGCTCTTTGTTTTTGTTAGATATATTGTTATTGTTTTTTTAATGTACCGCAATCCAATTTGGGGGACATTTTCACCACAGCAGTAATCATTACCACAACCACTCTTCTTTCCTTTGTTTTTCCTCTCTTTTTGTAGTCCTAAATTCTACAAGATGTTGAGCTGAGGCAATAAGTAATTGAACTGGAAAAATATGATGCAAAATGATTAAAACTAGAATGTCTAAATAGCTGCAAAGGCGTTGGCAGATATAATTGTTTAATTAGTCTAGAAAAATATAATTTAATTAATAGTTCAGTAAGTCTTAGCAAGAAGAACATTTATTGAAAACTCTCCATTTGTCAGGCACCATACTAAGCACTTTACATGTAATCCTAAGACTATCTCATAATCTTAGGATTAACTCTATAAGGTAAATATTATGTTTACCTCTACAAAGAAAAAGACTGAAGCATAGAGAGATTATAACACCAGGCACAGTGGCTCACACCTGTAATACCAGCACTTGGGGAGGCCGAGGTGGGAGGATCACTAGAAGCCAGGAGTTCGAGACCAGCCTGGCCAGCATGGCAAAACCCAGTCTCTACTAAAACTACAAAAATTATCCGGGCATGATGGCAGGCACCTGTAATCCCAGCTACTCGGGAGGCTGAGGCAGGAGAATTGCTTGAACCTGGAAGGTGGAGGTTGCAGTGAGCCAAGATCTTGCCACTGCACTCCAGCCTGAGAGACAGAGCAAGACTTCATCTCAAAAAAAAAAAAAAGAGAGAGAGAGACATTGAGTAACTTGGTCATGGTCACGGTCACACAATAGTAACTTTCAGAATTTATAAATTGGAATCATTAACAAAGATGTCCAAGGCCAAGGAACTTGTCTGTCTCCTTAAAAGCACTGAATAGACACAAATAGTTCTAGAAGTTAGCAGTATTGAGTACAAAGAAGAACCACTGAGAAGGCATTGAGCTACTTTCATATTCTATACTTTATATTAACTCAATTTTTCAAGACTGCTGGCTGTCCTCACGATTTTCTGGAAATTTTAGCTTCAAAACTTGACACAGGAACAAAATAGAAGAACTGAATAAACCAATACCATGAAAAATGTGTCAAAGAATTGCCTCCAGTATACTCTAGGCTCAAATAATTCTGCAAATGCATAATTTCAAACATTAAAAGATTAAATGTGATTAAAACTGTCATGGAAACATGGAAAGCTATTCAGTTATTTATTTTATTTTATTTTATTTTATTTTTGAGGCAGGGTCTCACTCTATCACCCAGGCACTCTATCACCAGTACAATGGCATGATTATGGCTCACTGCAGCCTTAAATTCCTGGATTCAAGTGATCCTTCTGCTTCAGCCTACCAAAGTGCTGGGAGTACAGGCATGAGCCACCATGCCTGGCTCAGATCTTGGTTTCTAATATGCTGAAATATATTCATTTATATTTAGTACTGTTTAATTAAAGGAACCAGGGCTCTTTGGAGAAATGGTCAATTCCAAAAATGGGGCAGGAAATAAGATAAATCTTGAGCATCTTGTAGTGCCAGAAAGTAAGGAATTATAAAAATAAACATAATTTTAAATAATTCATAAGCACAATGATGTAGGTACATCAAAGGGACAGAGAAGCCAATGGAAAGAGCTCCCAGTGACCAATGCTAGAACAATTTGAGCCACAAAATAGTTTAATAAATAATGAGTCTGGGCACAGTGGCTCATGCCAGCACTTTGGGAAACCAAGGTAGGGGAATTGTTTGAGCCCAGGCGTTCAAGACCAGCCTGGGAAACATAGTGAGACCTTGTCTCTACAAAAAATTTAAAAAATTAGCTGGGTATAATAGCATGCACCTGTAGTCCCAGCTACTTGGGAGGCTGAGGTGGGAGGATTGCTTGATCCCAGGAGGTTGAGGCTGCAGGGAGCCATGATTGCACCAGTGTACTCCAGCCTGAGCAAGACCCTGTCTCAAAAAAAAAAAACAAAAAAAAAAATATTGGATTATAACCCAATGTGTAAAATGAAAACCCATGGGTTTATAGTGATATAAATAAACACTTGAATAAATAAATGTGGGAGGAAAGACAAACCTCCTATGCAGAAGAGTCCCAAGTAATTTATGTAAGTACTCCATTCTCAAGGAGGGGCATCATAATTCTTCACTCCCTAAGAGTGGTCTGCGCATAGTAACTTTCTTCCAAAGAATACAGCATGGAAAGGGAGTGGGAAGAGAGTAATTTTTCAGTGGAAAAATTTGACAAACACTAACTCAAGGTCATTATGAGCAATATAAGTCATGATGGTAGTGTGTGCCCTTGTACCATGTGATGTAAATGAAAATAACCCCAGCCTAATTATGAGAAAAACACCAGACAAATCCCAGTTGTGGGGTATTTTATAAATTACCTTATCACTACTCCTCAAAACTGTCAAGGTTATTGAGAACAAAGCAAAACAGAAGTCTGAGAAACTGTCACAAACAAGAGAAGCCAAAGAACACGTGATTAACAAATATAATGTGGTAACTTGGATGGAATCCTGGAACAGAAAGAGGACATTAGGTAAAAACAAAGGACATCTGAATAAAGTACGGATTTTAGTTAACAATAATGTATTAATATTGGCTCATAAATTATAATGAATGTACAAGACTAACAAGATGTTTATAATAGAGAAACTGGATACTGGATATGTAGAAACTTTCTGTACTATCTTCACAATTTTTCTGCAAATCTAAAACCAATCTGAAAAAATTTATATTTTTAAAGAAGATAATTGTAGGCAGTTAAAACGTAAACTAAAACAAAAGGTATCTTCCATAATAGAAACATGAAATACTTAGGACTAATCCTAATAGGAAATTAACAAGACCTATGTGATGAAAAGACATAAAACTTCAGAGTGTGCTCACTTCAGCAGCACATATACAAAAATTGGAATGATACAGAGAAGATTAACATGGCCACTGCACAAGGATGACATGAAGGAATTAAAAATTTTAAAAAAAGAAAAACTTCACTGAGTAATGTGAACATTTTTAGTAACTAAAAATGTATAGCATTTGCCTTTATAGAAAACTGAATATCACTAACGTGTTGTTTCTTCCCAAACTATATAATCTTAATTCAAACCTAAAAGGGGCTTATTCACTGCTAGTGAAAATGTAAAATGGTAGTACTATGACAGTTTCTTAGAATTCAAATATATACCTACCTTTGGACCAAGCCCTTTTACTCCTCCTCAAAAGAAATGAAAATATATGTTCACACAAACACTTGTTCTTAAATGTTCATAGTAATTTTATTTGCAATATCCCTCTCAGTGGGGGCTGCTATAACAAAAATACCATATACTGCATGGCTTATAAACAACAGAAATTTATTCCTCACAGTTCTGGAGGATGGCAAGTCCAAGATTAAGCCACAGGCAGATTCAGTTTTTGGTGAGGTCCCACTTCCTGGTTCATAGACAGATGGCCATCTTCTCATTGTTTCTTCATACAGCAGAAGAGGCAGAGGAACTCTCTGAGGCCTTTTTTATAAGGACAGCAATCCTATTCATGTGGCCTCCAACCATATGACCTATCATCTCCAAAGGCCCCACCTCCCAACAACCATATGACCTATCATCTCCCAAAGGCCCCACCTCCAAACACCGTCACATTAGGGATTATTAGTTTTCAACATATGAATTTTGGGAAGACACAAACATTCAGCTTATAGCAACCTTAAAACTGGGGGAAAAATAAGAAATATTCATCAATAGATCAGTGGATAAAGAATATGGTATATCTATACAAATGGAATAATACCCGATAACAAAAGAGGAATTAACTACTAATAACTGCAACAATATTGTTGAATCTCGAAATCGTTATGCTGGTGAAAGAAGCCAGACACACCATATAATTCCACACATAAAAAGTTCTAGAAAATGCAAACTAGCATATACTGACAGAGAACAGATCAGTGGTTGCGAAGAGCCAAGGGCAGAAGGGAGGTTATATGCAAAGTGGCTCAAGAAAACAGAGGTGACAGAAATGTGCCATACATTGTGTAATACAAGTTTCACAGGGGTTATACATCTGTCAAATATCACCAAATTTTACCTCTTAAATATATGCAAGTTATACATACATTTGTATGTATGTAAGTTATACCTCCAAAAAGTTTTTTAAAAACCTAAATCAGGTAAGGGCCAGATATGGCAAAATAATTTTTTCTTATTTGAGAATAGGAAAGAAAAAAAAATTTAATGAAAGGTAATGAGTGGGTCCTGTCAAAAAGCAAACTCAGACTTAGTAAGGAGACTTTGTTGGAAGGATTATTCTAAGAGGAAAAGGGTCTCTTTCAATAGGAGAAGGGGAGCTATTGCAATAACAGGAACTCTTTGACCATAATACCTGCAAGCTTCTCAAGAGTTAGGTGAAAAGAGTTTTTCTTTTATAGAGAGGAGTAAACTAGATTAGAAAGATTTGGATGTGGGCAGGTGGGATAAGAGAATGGGATTAAAGAATGTTTTACCCAGAAGCCAGCCTTCTCTCCAGAGATGCTGTTGAAGAAGGGTTACATGCTGACTCAGACTGAGGATGGGCCAAGGTTCAGAGACCTGGCGGATAGATAGAATCTTAACCAAAGTGTGATTAACAAGCATTTTGTTCCCATTGATCATTAGTACAAACAAGCTTAGTTAATCATTTATGAGGCAAAGAGTGGGAATTTGGAGTCTGTTTCTGGCCTTGTCATAGGTAAACAAGGCAGTATACATGAGTTTTATCTAAATTATATGGGAAAGGGTGCTTCTTTGCAGCAAGGCCTTTCTGAAACACAAAAGGGTGGGGGATTTCTCCATCTTGCTCTTTTCCAGGAGCACAGAACTTAGGTGAAATTCAACACTGTCAATTTCTTCTAAACAAGGCTGCCATGTTGCACAATTCTAGAGAGCATTTTATTATTTCCCAGATAGGCATGTAAAGATATGATAATTAAGACTAATCAACTGAAAAAAATAGATAACTGTTGAAGAGAATTCATTACAGTACATAGAAGAACCTAAAACATGATAAAAAATGTAATAGCCATCAATGAAAAAAATCACACATTATTAAAAGTAAGACATTGCCGGGACGCCCACCTCACACGTGCGAGGGTGGCGGGAGCCATGGGGGCTATGGGGATGAGCCACATGCTGGCCTCTTTCTTTGACCTGGACAGCATGCTCATCGACATGGCCAGGGTGAGCAGGAGAGACCTGTTGGAGGTGATAAAGCTCTTACAATCAAAATATCATTTTAAGAAAAGGCTGAAATCATCTGTGATAAAGTTCAAGTTAAACTCAGGAAGGAATGTTTTCATCCTTACAGTACATGCATTACTGATCTAAGGACTTCAATTGGGAAGAAGCAGTCCAGGAAACAAAAGATGGTGCCGCCAATAGAAAATTGACTGGAGAATGTCACTTCCTTTGGAAATCTACACGTTTACAGCTTATGACACTAGCAGAAAATATCAAAGTCATGCTCACCGAACTTTGAAAGAAGGTCTGCCTATTTTTATTAAGGAATGGGGACAGACAGATCCAGAGGGAGAAGATTGAGCCTTGTGCCTGTCAGTCGTATTTCCACGCTATTGGAGGTGGAGAGCAGAGAGAGAAGCCAGCACCATCCATATTTTATTACTGCTGCAATCTTCTCAAAGTACAACCTGGGGACTGTATGATGGTCAGTGATACGTTAGAAACCGACGTCCAAGGAGGCCTCAATGCAGGACTGAAAGCAACAGTCTGGATCAATAAAAATGGAATAGTGCCACTGAAGTCCTCCCCCCTTCTGCATTACATGGTTTCTTCTGTGCTGGAGTTACCTGCTCTCTTACAAAAAGTATACACCACAAAGTCAGGATGTCCGCTTAAAGCACATAAAAGGGCATGATTATGAACTTCAGAATCAATGTGCAGAGTTTGAACTAAGAAAAGTTAGGGCATTCCACTTACTATGGTCCAGAATAATTTTACTTATGATTTAATGACCAATATTGCAAAGGTCCTCCCAACCCTATTGCTTTTAAGTTCAACCATTGACTGGTATTTGTATCTGAAAATTCAGATTGCATTAATACAAAGTAGTATAGCCCAGAAAATTTGAGGAAATATATTATTTGTTAGTCTGTAACAGGAGATTTTTAAAATTAATTTTATTAATCTTTTAGTACCTTGACTGCATGATACCAAGCAGGCTAGCTTACACATGGATACACAAATGCCAGGTTTTTCTTCTGGCTTAAAAATAGATATTTTTTAAAAATAGATTTTCTAAAACACATAATAGATTTATCACAGCAACTGAATCTGGTTAATATGAAATAAGTTCTAAGTCACATGCAAATCAAGGTATTTCATCATGAAATTATTTTGCATGTTTTTAAAACATAAAACATATTTTTGCCTATTTTGGAGGTATACTTCCTTTTCTATTATGAATCTGATTTTTTTGCATGACTTTTTTTTTCAGAGGAGAACACAATTTTCTTGGTGGTGTGTGACAGATTCCTCCAGTTAAAAAATAAATAAATAAATAAAAGCTTAAAATCTACACATGGTGGCTGAGTAGGGCGAGGCAGCTCACCTGAGCACGGCTGGGCCCAGTCCTGGGCTGGGGCCGGGGCTGGGAATGGGGCGCAGTGAGGCTGTGAGCCGGCCCTGAGCCAGCCCTGCGTCGGGTGAGCGGGGCTCAGGGGGCGCCAGAGCTGGAGGCGGAAGCGTGAAGTCAGGACTGAGTGGGTGAAGAGAACCTGGGCTGAGCAGACATGGCCACTTATCACCAAGAAGGGCAGATGCAGCTGCCCCTAGCTGATGCCATTCGTTCATGTCTCATCGATACTTTCTCATCTAGCATTTGCAAGGCTTGAGCCAAGCTGTGCCGTGGCACACTATCAGGGAGTTACTTCATCCTTCCCACCAGAAGAAACTTATGTTGGGAGATCAACACCAGCTAGTGTGCTTCTCCATAAAGCCTCAACGTATAGGACAGATTTCACATGCCCAGAGGCTGTTGAGCAGGCTTCATGTGCGCTGCACTCAGAGGCCACCTCTTTCTTTGTGGGCCGGATGGGTCCTTGAGTGTCCTCTCTTCACAAACTTCGTCATCTTCCTCATCTTTTTGAATATGATCGTATTGATGGTTGAAATAGAATTGCTGGAATCCACAAATACCTAACTGTGGCTATTGAAGCTGAGCTTGGAGGTGGCAACTTGGTTTATCTTGTTTATTTTCATCCTGGAGATCCTTCTTATGTGGCTATCCTAGCTTTTCCTTTTTCCGGAAGAGTGTCTGGAATGTCTTTGACTTTGTTGTTACCATGTTGTGCAGGCACTGATGAACTTGGAAGACAAAGCAATGGATGGCTTCAATATCCTTGGGCCCAGCAAAAGATAATGAAGGGAATTGTTGGAAATAGAGAATTCAAAACATAAATGTCTGTTCAGATAGAAAAAAAATCCACACATGGTCCTCCTTTCTTACCTGTGCACAGTGAGCTTGTAGCTTCCTTGTAGTCTTTACCTCTCAAGGAAATGTTTTTACTATCTTTTCCCAGATACACAATGGGGTTGAGGGAGCTAGGCTGTCTTGCTGGAGATAAGTGCAAGCCACATGGCACCAAAAGTCATTTTTCTTCTGTGGATCCATAAAAGCAAAATTTCCTTGGTGCAGCCTAAGCATGCAGCCCCCCTTCTGTTCTCTACTGACAGTGGTTTCACCCATATGATGAACCGAATAGAAAATTCGGTTTCGCTATGAGCCATTTCCAGAGCGCCATTTTAATACTTGAGTGACTCTTCTTAGAGTTACCATCAGCCTTAAATCTCCTGTTTTTCACATTTTTGAATATATCGTTGTTTTGCAGATTTCTATATCTAATTCAGGATTTACTTGGAGCTTAATTATTAATGGCTCCGTAGCAAGGCATCATCTTGCAACCAGAGAATTTTCTCTGGACCATTAGGCTGGACAATCTCACGATTACACTTACCAAACTTGGAGTAAAGTAGTTGATAAAGAATAAAGGAGGTTATTAAAGTGGTTAATAAATATAATTGGATTGGTTTTTGGTGGGTTTTTCTTTTAACCGTTGGATAATAAACTACTAAATAATTACAGCTGTTTGTGGTGGCCCACACCTGTAATCCTACCACTTTGGGAGGCCAAGGCGGGTGGATCACTTGAGGTCAGGAGTTCGAGGCCAGCCTGGCCAACATGGTAAAACCCCGTCTTTACTAAAAATACAAAAATTAGCCAGAAATCACTTGAACCTGGGAGGCGGAGATTGCAGTGAGCTGAGATTGTGCCACTGAGCTCCAGCCTGGGCAACAGAGCAAGACTACGTCTCAAAAAATGAAATAAACTAATAATGGAAAATATTAGATTGTGTGTTTGGATGTATAGCTATGTCTCCAAGATTAATAGTCAGAGAATCAAATTGTATATTGTACCTATCTGTGAACTTATTTCTTTAGCCAGCTGTTTTTCTGTCTACTGCCAAGAAACAGGATTCTCTGTCTTGTGTGAATGCCCTTTTGTGTTTACTGCTTACTCTTGATTTTTAAAAATGTGATTGTACCCTTGACTGTCCCAAAGTGTTGTTTCTATACCACTGAACATTTGTGAACAGAGTGTATTTGTAGTTTCAGATACAGTACCTATATGACATTGATCATATTTTAGCTATTTAAAACTTAAGTTGGAGGATTTTGGCAAAAGTAGTTATGTGGATGATTGCTCTAATAGACTGGTTGGCATGTGTGATGCTGGGGGCTCATTCTTTTAGCTGTCCCACAGGATGGATGTATAGGCAGTGTCACATTCATTACACTATGGATAAAGGTTCATCCCTTTTACACAGTGGTGACAAATCTCAACAAGGTAGTTCCTAGGATGTTAAGTGAGCAGTTCTTCAGCAAAAATAATGTAGGAGAAAAAAATGGAATTATTTAATTTCCTTGTCTTCACAGTTTGTATTCTACATAGTACAGTAAGACAATATTAAATTCCATTTGCACCCTTCCTTACGGAAGAACTTTGTGGTTATCTACCTTCTGAGTGGAATGTTACTGAAGATATTTTTAAATATTGAAATAAACCCATGATTTTATTAATAATTTTTCATTTTAGACTAAGATCCCTTAAAATTAAAAAATGTTATAACAGTGAAAAAAAAATATGATATCTTTGGATAAAAAGCAAGTTAGAACTACACATGACATGAAAAAACAAAAACAAAAACAAAAAAACAGGTCACAGAGAAAAAGTTGAATTTAAAAATGATACCACCAGGCCAAGCATGGTGGCTCATGCCTGTAATTCTAGCACTTTGTGAGGCCAAGGCCAGGGGATCACTTGAGCTCAAGAGTTCGAGGCCAATCTGGGCAACAAAGTGAGACCCCTCCATTCTATTTTTAAAATAAAAAAAAATAAAAATTTTTAAATGAAAAAAAATGGGCTCGGCATGGTGGCTCACACCTGTAATCCCAGTACTTCAGGAGGCCGAGGCGGGCGGATCACGAGGTCTGGAGTTTGAGATCATCCTGGCCAACATGGTGAAGCCCCGTCTCTACTAAAAATACAAAAAATGAGCCGGGCATGGTAGCATGCATCTGTAGTCCAAGCTACTCAGGAGGCTGAGGCAGTAGAATTGCTTGAACCTGGGAGGCAGAGGTTGCAGTGAGCCCAGATAGCGCCACTGCACTCCAGCCTGGCGACAGAGCGAGACTCCGTCTCAAAAAGAAAAGAAAAAAAAAAGATAACATCTTTTGTAAATTCAGAGAAAATATACCTTAATATTTGGTTGATATCTCTATAGGAAAGGTCTTTATAACCATAAAGGCAATGCAACAAAAGCATAAACGAAAAATGTTTATTTGATTAATAAAACCATAAAACATTTGTATGCCAAGACCAATGTAAACAAAATTTTAAAACACCTAATAAAATCTACTACTAAACGAGGCATTGTGGCTCATATTTGTAATCCCAGCACTTTGGGAGAGCGAAGTAGGTTGATCACTTGAGCCCAGGAGTTCAAGACAAGCCTGGGCAACAGAGCAAGACCCCATCTCTATTTTCAGTAAATCTTTTTTAAAAGAAATTTTTTTAAATCCACTGCTACACTCCCACCCATAAGGAGCAGATATATCTTTAACTTGGAAGTGGTTGCTGATATGGAAGAAGAAAAGATTTGGAGAAGTTATATCATAAGACCATTGAGCACAGACCTGATAATCAACGAATGTGCACAGATATGACCAAAAACCTATTAAAATGCTGATTTACAGTATCCCCTGCCTGGAGCCCCATTTTTTCCTACTTTTGATCCAGCACCAAAGAGGTAGGGTTAGCACAGAAAGAGGCCTCTAGAACCCTGATCCAGCCCTGCTATTTGCATCCATTACAATTGGTCAAATGAGTCCTATGTGGTACTGATTCTTAAATATTTTAATATTATCCTTGATTGTATAGATATCACTCAAGAGCATTTTTAGGACCAGTAGGAAGAACCATCTCCTCCTCATCTTCCTTCCTCCCACTCGTGCTGTGATATAGCTATGTTAAAGAAGTTTACTTTTGTAATTACCTGGAGGGATGAGAAAGAACATTATTTACTGAAAATGTTCGGCATTAGGAGACTGGAATAATACTCAATAAAATAATTATCTGTGATGCTAAATAAAACATTTGTCAATAGGGGTGAGAAGTGAGGAGAGAGAGAAGAGCAAAGCTCAAAGGCAATGTATGGGAAGGCACCACAAAAAGGTAATGGAAGATAGACTCCTATTTGTCTGTGGCAACTCACACTACCTCTCCTCAGGGATTCCAAAGCTGGTATCAATAGTCTAGGCTTATGGATATTGTTCCATATGTTAAACTATCTAAGGAGATAAAAATCCCAACCTTGGAATTCCTTGAGGAACATCCCCTCCCAAAATTTTGAGCCCCAATAAGCACCTTGGTCTAACATGTCACCTGTTATCTCCTCATTCTAGCCAATAACTAAAAGTCATAAGCCCTGAACCTATCTCTCCTTTTGAATTATTCTGCTTTGAAATGAAATGTAGACAGAAGTATAACTTCGTTTAAAAGCATCCTGGCAGTTACCTTTTGCTCTTTATCCTTAAATCCTTGAGAGAAAATGTTGGAAAATAATTATTAGTAGATTTTGGGCTTTAATGTTCAAGTTCCATAATCAGTATACACAGAGTCAAGATCCTTGAGCACAAAGAGGCCACTTTTGCTCATCTGCTTCCTCCAGAGCAACAACCCTGTATGTGAGTTTCTATGGTAGCCTGCAAGAACCTTAAAATTAAGAACTGTCTTCTATCAACCCGCCCTTCATGTAGTGAACCTAACTATTAACAAAGAGCCTCAGAATTGTGCTAGAATTCAGTCTGAGACTAAAATATGGGGACACAAACCATCCTTATATAATTATGAAATTCTGGAACCACTAGGCTCCTCAGTGATAATCTTGTATAACCTTATACTTAAAGAAACTAAGAACCAGATATTTTAAGTTACTAGTGAAAGATTTGACAGAAGGCAGTGGTAGATAGAACCAAGCCCCCACTTCCTTTCATGTATTTTCATAAAGGTACTACATAGGCTGGGCATAGTGGTTCACGCCTGTAATCCCAGCACTTTGGGAGACCGAGGCAGGGAGGATCAGTTAAGGCCAGGAGTTTGAGACCAGCCTGGCCAACATGGTGAAATCCTGTCTCTACTAAAAATACAAAAATTAGCCAGGCATGGTGGTGCACGCCTGTAATCCCAGCTACTCCACGGGTTGAGGCACAAGAATTTGAACCAGAAAGCAGAAGTTGCAATGAGCCGAGATCACGCCACCACACTCTAGCCTGGGCAACAGAGCGAGATTCTGTCTTAAAAAAAAAAAAAAAAAAAAAAGGTATCATATAAACAATTAGGAGAAGTGAAACTATAATGGTGCTATCTATGAACCAATCATTCTGTGCTAGGTACAACACATTGCTTAAGCTTGTCCTGCAGATTTAGGGTAGCTAAAAGTGAATATGTTTTATTTAGACAATTAGAGATAGCTGAACAAAATCTACAGATTATAGTAGTGTATCTATGTTTATTTATTTAAAAAATTATAATGGTATAACAGAGTGTCCTTGTATTTGGGAATTAAACACTGAAGTATTTAGGGATAATGAAGTATCATATCTGCAACTTACTCTTAAATGGCAGAAAGTGTGTGTGTGTGTGTAGAGAGAGAGAGAGACAGACAGACATTGCTTTGTAATAGGATGATAATAGAGATGGGAAGAAATGCACAGATTAAATGTGTTTTAGAGCTAAAGTCAAAAGATTAGCTGATGGTTTAAATATATGGCTAAATGAAAAAGAATCATGGGAAACAGATTTTGGACTGGAGTAACTGAGTGATAATGGTATCATCAAATGAGATAGAGAAGACTGGGGTAATCAACATGTCTGGAGGAGAGGGGTGACAAAATAGGGTACCAAGAATTCTGTTTTGTTCATGCTGTATTTAAAGTACCACATCAAGATATCAAATATTCAGTTCTGTGTATATATATATATATATAGAAATATATATGCATGCATATACATATATATACACACATACCTATACACATATATGTATATACGTACACACACGCACACATATATGTGTATAGGTATGTGTGCATATATATACGAGAGAGAGAGAGCATGGCTATATTATGAAAGAGTCAGGGATAAAAACAAAGATTTTAAATAAATGGTAACATTATTCAAAGTGACTTTGATTTTTTTAAAAAACAGGCATTCAAGTGTACCTTAGAAATACCTACTGTTTGCCTGATTTCAGAAGGGCAGCAAATAAAATGAGCCATCATTTTCCTATATATAGGCTTTACTAAAGCTAGAATAGCTCCATGAGATCTTTTCAAATCCCTTTGATTGTACTGTAAACTTCTAACAGATCTGGAACACAAAAATGACCATTGGTTCTTCTATAAACATCTGTTTTCAGAGCCGGGTGTGGCGGTGCCTGCCTGTAATCCCAGGACTTTGGGAGGTGATGGAGGAGGGTCACTTGAGGCTGGGAGTTCGAGACTAGCCTGGGCAACTCAGCAAAACCCTGTCTCTACAAAAACTAAAAAATAAGCTGGGCGCGGTGGCTCACACCTGTTGTACCAGCTACTCAGGAGGCTGAGGCAGGAGGATTGCTTGAGCCTAGGAGGTCGAGGCTGCAATAAGCCAAGATTGTGCCACCATACTCCAGCCTGGGTGATAGAGTGAGACCCTGTCTCATAAAAGAAAAAGAAGAACGTCTGTTTTTAGTTTACTGTTTGTGGGGGTGGGAGTTGGTGGACAAAGGAATGGAGAACAAATAGGGGAAAATCAAGTAATTCTCAAAACAAAAGTAAATCATTGAAATAGTATATGTATGAGTTAACAGAAATGAGTCAGAATTCTAAAATAAATATCCTTTGAATTTCATTATACCAACCTAGAAATTCCTGCAAATATGAATATGATATAGCCTTGCCACTGACGTACCCCTTTCAATAGTCTGAAATAGAGCAGCATTATGTTGAATTCCATGCTGTAGCAAATGGTACTATAGCAAAGCCCTGGTGTTATTTCTGAAATTATAACTTTGCAATTTGTAAAGTCCTTTTACCAACACTATTTAATTTTGTACTTCCCTACAGCCTTAAAATATAAATAAGATATGTATTATCATCTGTATCTGATAGATGAAGAAAATGACAGCCTCTGAAAAATGAAATGGCTTGCCTAAAGTAACATGGCAATTTTAAGTGAAAAGACTATATTTAGAAGCCAGATCTTCTAATTCCTGGCCAACTGCTCTTTCTGTGACATCATAAAGCCTCTTTCATCCTTCCCACATTGTTGAGTGTAGTTATTTACTAGCAGTTTCCCAAATTTTATGAGGTACAAAATCAAAATAACGTAGAGTAAAAAGAATGACTGACATGACATTACATCAGAAATAGCTAAGATTAAAGTTTATATTTCCTGAGTCACTATTTCTTAACTAATCCATTAAATATTCACGGACGACTCAGCTATAGATGTTTACCATTGTTTTTTTTTGGCAATAACTATGTAATACCTTGAGCTAAAACTATGGGGAAAATATACCTGGCATTCCCAGCACTTTGGGAGGCCGAGATGGGTGGATCACCTGAGGTTGGGAGTTCAAGACCAGCCTGACCAACATGAGAAATTTCGTCTCTACTAAAAATACAAAATTAGCCGGGCGTGGTGGCACATGCCTGTAATCCCAGCTTCTCGGGAGGCTGAGGCAGGAGAATCGCTTGAACCCCAGAGGCGGAGGTTGCAGTGAGCCATTGCACTCCAGCCTGGGCATCAAGAGTGAAACTCCATCTCAAAAAAAAAAAAAGAAAAGAAAAGAAAACGAAAAAGAAAAAGAAAGAATGCTTGGGCCAAGGGCGGTGGCTCATACCTGTAATCCCAGCACTTTGGGAAGCTGAGGTAGGTGGATCACCTGAGGTCTGGAGTTCAAGACAAGCCTGGCCAACATGGCGAAACTCCTTCTCTACTAAAAATACAAAAATTAGTCAGGTGTGCTGGCGCACACCTGTAATCCCAGCTACTCAGGAGGCTGAGGCAGGAGAATCACTTGAACCCGGGAGGCGGAGGTTGCAATGAACTGAGATTGTGCCACTGCACTCCAGCCTGGGCGACAGAGTGAGACTCCATCAAAAGAAAAAAAAAAGAATGCTTATAATTCCATTTCCCACTAATTTTACTATATTTTTCCAAGTTTCCAAAGAGATAATGGTTATATTATACAAGCAACATAAATGTTTTTAAAACCTTTTTGCAGGAGGAAGTTTAAAAATCACAAAATTGCTAAAGCAGATGTGGCAATTACCAAAAAAACAAAAAAAAAAAGAGGAAGTTTAAAGAAAAACTAAATATAGAAATAATGTTAGACTATTAGATGTTAGAATGCATGAGTGGAGTTATTGTGGCAGCCACATATGGGAAATCTTAGATTTTACATTTTGGGACATGTTCTGCACAATACCTCTATTCACTGAAAATGCCATTATATGAGCGTATGATGGATGATTGATTTTGTTTATTTTAGGAGAGATGTGAGTGTAGTTTAACAAAAGCCCAGAGAATAGTAAGTTGAAATGTTTCTCTTCTAGATATCATGTTTCTCTTCTAAAATACTCTTTTTTGTTAAAAAAATCATTTATTCTTATATTCATATAATAGCTTTTGAATACAAGCTCCAAAATTAAAATTAAATACGGTAACAAGTCAGCTGACCACAGTTAATTTTGCCCCAAGTCATATAATTACAGTCTCAATTGACTCGTTATTTACCCTTAGAAAGTCACTCCAAGCTGGCTGTGGTGATTCGTGACTGTAGTCCCAAGTACTTGGAAGTCTGAGGCAGAAGGATCATGTGAGTCCAGAAGTTGGAAGCTGCGGTGAGCTGTGATTGTGGCACTGTACGCCAGCATGCACGACAGAACAAGACTCTGTCTCTTAAAAAAAAAAAAAAGTTACTCCTATACTAAAAACACACACAGTGACCCACAACTATTACATAAAACAGACTAATAATTGAAGATTGAAAAGATTCATACTCCGCTATACATATATTCAGTTAAACCAGAATTATTCTAAAACAGTATAATCCATAATGTGGAAGATCAGTAGTGTATATAATCCAGAATAGTCCATAACCCCGAAAGAGAAATTAAGGACATGCATTTTGGTAAGATATGAATATTTGACATCCTGATAGTTCATACCTCCTTAAAAAGATGAAGGTATATTATGAATACTAAAGATCTGACTAGATAAGAGCTAAGTTTTACATTCTGGCTCCTAACTACAATGTTTATTTTCTTTCTTCTTTTTTTTTTTTTTTTGAAGGAGCCTTGCTCTGTCACCCAGGCTGGAGTACAGTGGTGTGATCGGCTCACTGCAACCTCCACCTCCCGGGTTCAAGTGCTTCTCCCGCCTCAGCCTCCTGAGTAGCTGGGATTACAGGCCCCACCACCATGCCCGGCTAATTTTTGTATTTTTAGTAGAGACAGGAATTTCATCATGTTGGCCAGGCTGGTATCAAACTCCTAACCTCAGATGAACCACCTGCCTGGGCCTCCCAAAGTGCTGCGATCACAGGCATGAGCCACCGTGCCAGCCATCCTAATTACAATATTTTCAAATAAAAAATTATGATAAATAATCTTAAATAGTCTGAAATCAGCTCTGCTATAGATAATTCATAAAGGCTGTCCAGCCCATTTCTGGCTCCTAGTCCAGTTTCCTGTCCCCATACTCCAAAGTCCTCTTCCCAAGACAGAAGTTCTTGATTCCCTGCCTGGCTTCAAGCTTTGGAAACAGTGCTGCCTTTCCTCAGGTAGGACAGCCAAAAAGTTATTTTTTTATTATGCTTTTTTGTATTTTCTAAATGTTCTATAATAAACTATTTTAAAACTCAGTTTTTAAGAAGCAATAAAAATATTGTAAGGGATTTACATTCAATTTGCAAGTGATTCAGTAATAAGTGATATGTGATCTTGCCATTTGTTGCATCCTTGTTCTGATTTCCCATAACAATTACCATATTCATAACCTAGGCCTTCCTGGTTGGAAATTGTCTTGTTCCCTCTGCCACCACAGAGGACTTAGAGCCCTTCACTGAGCCCTGCCTCCTGCCACTCTCATCTGTGGAACTGGGACCCTGTTAACTAACGGCTTACTTCTCCCATATTGCATGCCATAACAACACTCATGCTCAGGTTATCCTGTTACACCTGTGTGAACCTTCCTGCTAGGAACCGCTTTTCTGGCTCACCACTACTACCTGTTGCTGTTTTCCCTAGAGACCAAGTTCTGTAAGTCTTGAGGAGGTTGCAAACTGATGGTGCATAGGGCAAATTTAGCCCGCTAACATATTTGGTTTGGCACATTCAATGTTTGAAATGTTTACATTTGAATGTCCTTAGGCCAGACATATGTTCCCCAGTTTGCCATAGCCTCCAGTACTCCCTACTGTATATCTGCCCCTTTACTGGTTTACTTACTTGCTTGGAACATGAAGTCATTTGAGTTAGATCCTTAGGGAGAGAGTCCCTCCACTATCCCTACAGAACTTACCATCTCAGCTGGGCTCTGCTTATCTAGTAACTCAACAGAATGTCTAATTCTAAGTCTCAATTTTGCCTAGTCTTTCTGGCTCCGTTGATGTCAGCAAGTCCATTGTGTGAAATAACAATACTGCCTCAGTTGCAAGAAATTGAGCTAGGAAGATGATAAGATATTGGATGCTACTCTAGACTTACTGACTTGTTTACTACATCCCTCCAAATTATAGCTGTTCTCTGAAGAAATCTAAAAAAAAAGAAAGAAACTCACCAGAAGAGGGAAGCAAAGAACAGCCCAGATTTGCAGAAACATACAAATCTGATGGCTACTGAAGTAAGCATTACTGCACTTATTGATGACTTTAAGCAACTATCACAAGGATGGATGTTCATTGCCCAACCTTTCCATATGTAGTAGGTCCAGAAAATGCGCCCAGCCCCAGGCCCACATTCACTAAAGGATTGAATAAAGGATTCAATCCTTTATTCTCTACTGCATATTGAGAATTTGTTGAGTTTGAGAAAACATAGCATATCAGTTAGGGGAAAAGTTGGAGGAGGAAAGAGTCCAGATAGGGAGAACGTTGAAGGAGAAGTAAGAATAGAATAAGAAACAACCAAGCAAGCATGCGTGTAAGTAAAGAGGAAGGGAGGGGCCAGGCATGGTGGCTCACAACTATAATCCCAGCACTTTGGGAGGTCTAGTGGGAGGATTGCTTGGAGCCAGGAATTCGAGACCAGCCAGGGCAACAAAGCAAGACTGTAACTCTACAAAAAGAATTTTTTTAATTAGCCAGGCATGGTGGAGCACACGTGTGGTCCCATCTACTCAGGAGGCTGAGGAAGGATGATTCCTTGAGCTCCTGAGTTCCCAGGAGTTCAAGGTTACAGTGAGCTATGATCATACCACTGCACTCCAGGCTGGGTCACAAAGTAAGACCCCATCTCTGGGAAAAAAAAAAAAAAAAAAAGAGGAAGGGAGGAGGAAAGGCAGGGGAGCAGGAAAGCAAGTTAACAATTTATTGAGCATGTACACATGTGTACTTGATCCTTTTATAGATATCATTTCATTTAATGCTCACACCTTACTAAAGGTCACAGGGGCTCAAAGCAACAAAGTTGGAACGTATGTGAAGCCAAATATGTGACTCACAAGTCCATGCTCTTTTGATAACACCACAACTCTCTCAAAGGTGATTTATTTTAATCTGTGCAGCAAACTTTTACATAAGAGGTAACTCAACAGTACTTCACATGAGGAATAGATAAATTTAACTTTGAAAACAATCCTGTGAGGTACAGTTGGCCCTCCTTATCTATAAGTTTCACATCCACAGAGTCAACCAAACATAGATCAAAAATAGTTTTTAAAATGAAAAATAATACAAATGTTAAAATATATATATAGAACAACTATTTACATAGCATTTACATTGTATTATGGATTATAAGTAACCTAGAGATGATTTAAAGTATACAGGAAGATGTGCATAGGTTATATGCAAATACTATGCCATTTTATATGAGGGACTTAAGCATCAGTGGCTTTTGGCATCTAAAGGAGTCCTGGAACCAATCCTTCCCCTGATATGAGGGAAGACTGTATTGTGTTTTCCATTTTCACAGATGAGGAAACTAAAGGTCACAAAAGTAAAACATCATGCTGACAGCCAAGGGCTCTTGCAAACATCTGCAGTATCACTGGGTGTGTATGCCACAGGCAGAAGGGTTACCCCATTCTCTGGGCATCTTGCAAAGAGGTGAGCTAAGTAGGGCCAGGGTGCAGCTGGATGCATAACAGGGCTGTGCTTAAAGAGAGGAATCCACCCCTGTTCCTCTCCCCTTTATAGGGCAAGATGAAAGTGGAATTATGAACAAGGGACATAAAGTCTGGTCTGGGACACTAAATGGTCTGAATTTGGGTGCCAGTCATCTGGCAACACTGCTTATTAGTTCCTATGGAAAGTTGATTTTGGTCACAGCTCTGCCCACTGGGAGAAAAGGAGCAACAGTTACCAAGACAAGTTGTTTCAGACATAGCCACTTTCACTGGCAAAAGGAGAGGAGGCCCCAGCTTCAGCTAGTTCATCCAAACAACCTAGAGAGAACTTCTAGTGTCAAGAAGTCTTTAATCATTCATCAAAAATAGTGACAGAGCCAGGACTTGAATCCAGGTTTCGTTATCTCAGAATCCAGGTAGGAGCTATAAAGCTATTCCTTCATAAGTGAGGGACAACAGCCAAATCCAATAGCTATAGCAAATTTGAGGTTGTTTCACATGACTTTAGATTTCAGTTGTTCAAATGGCAGGTGAGTGTCAAACAAGGAAATGGTTCCAAGAGAATGATTCAATCATAACACCCCAGACACGGCTAGGGACATGAAAAGGAAGAACTGGGAGGAAAAGGGTACCTCAGAGATTAACAAAGGAATCACTCAATTGTCTTATTTATTTATTTGCTTACTTTATTTTTACTTTAAGTTCTGGGATACATGAGCTAAACGTGCAAGTTTGTTACATAGGTATACATGTGCCATGGTGGTTTGCGGCACCTATCAACCTGTCATCTAGGTTTTAAGCCCCCCATACATTAGGTATTTTTCCTAATGGTCTCCCTCCCCTTTCCCCTCACCCCCTGACAGGCCCCGGTGTGTGATATTCCCCTCCCTGTGTCCATGTGTTCTCATTGTTCAACTCCCACTTATGAGTGAGAACATGTGGTGTTTGGTTTTCTGTTCCTGTGTTAGTCTGCTGAGGATGATGGTTTCCAGCTTCATCCATGTCCCTGCAAAGGACATGAACTCATTCTTTTTTATGGCTGCATAGTATTCCATGGTGTATATGTGCCCCATTTTCTTTATCCAGTCTATCATTGATGGGCATTTGGGTTGGTTCTAAGTCTTTGCTATTGTGAACAGTGCTACAATAAACATATGTGTGCATGTGTCTTTATAGTAGAATGATTTATAATCCTTTGGGTATATACTCAGTAATGGTATTGCTGAGTCAAATGGTATTTCTGGTTCTAGATCTTTGAGGAATTGCCACACTGTCTTCCACAATGGTTGAACTAATTTACACTCCCACCAACAGTGTCTTCTTTTGAAAAGTGTCTGTTCATATCCTTTGCCCACTTTTTGATGGAATTGTTTGTTTTTTTCTTGTAAATTTGTTTAAGTTCCTTTTAGACTCTGGATATTAGATCTTTGTCTGATGGATAGATTGCAAAAATGCTCTCCCAATCTGTAGGTTGTCTGTTCACTGTGGTGATAGTTTATCTTGCTGAGAAGAAGCTCTTTAGTTTAATTACATACCAGTTGTCAATTTTGGCTTTTGTTGCAATTGCTTTTGGTGTTTTAGTCGTAAAGTCTTTGCCCATGCTGATGTCCTGAATGGTACTGCCTAGGTTTTCTTCTAGGGTTTTTATGGTTTTAGGTTTTAAGTCTTTAATCTATTTTAAGTTAATTTTTGTATAAGGTGTAAGGAAGGGGTCCAGTTTCTGTTTTCTGCATATGGCTAGCCAGTTTTCCCAATACCATTTATTACATAGGGAATCCTTTCCCTATTGCTTGTTTTTGTCAGGTTTGTCAAAGACCAGATGGTTGTAGGTGTGTGGTGTCACTTCTGAGGCCTCTGTTCTGTTCCATTGGTCTATATATCTGTTTTAGTACCAGTACCATACTGTTTTGGTTACTGTAGCCTTGTAGTATAGTTTGAAGTCAGGTAGTGTGATCCCTCCAGCTTTGTTCTTTTTGCTTAGGATTGTCTTGGCTATATGGCCTCTTTTTCAGTTCCATATGAAATTTAAAGTAGTTTTTTCTAGTTCTATGAAGAAAGTCAATGGTAGCTTGATGGGAATAGCATTGAATCTATAAATTACTTTCGGCAGTATGGCCATTTTCACAATATTGATTCTTCCTATCCATGAGCATGGAATGTTTTTCCATTTGTTTGTGTCCTCTCTTATTTCCTTGAGCAGTGGTTTGTAGTTCTCCTTGAAGAGGTCCTCCACATCCCTTGTAAGTTGTATTCCTTATTTTCTTTGCAGCAATTGTGAATGGGAGTTCATTCATGATATGACTCTCTGTTTGTCTATTATTGGAGTATAGGAATGCTTGTGATTTTTGCACATTGATTTTGTATCCCAAGACTTTGCTGAAGTTGTTTATCAGCCTAAGGAGTTTTGGGGCTGAGATGATGGGGTTTTGTAAATATACAATCATGTCATCTGCAAACAGAGACAATTTGACTTCCCCTCTTCCTATTTGAATACACTTTATTTCTTTCTCTGGCTTGATTGCCCTGGCCAGAACTTCCAATACTATGTTGAATAGGAGAGGTGAGAGAGGGCATCCTTGTCTTGTGACAGTTTTCAAATGCTTCTAGCTTTTGCCTATTCAGTATGATGTTGGCTATGGGTTTTCGTAAATAGCTCTTACTATTTTGAGATATGTTCCATCAATACCAGTTTGTTGAGAGTTTTAGCATGAAAGGGTGTTGAATTTTATCAAAGGCCTTTTCTGTATCTATTGAGAAAATCATGTGGATTTTGTGACTGGTTCTGTTTATGTGATAGATTACGTTTATTGATTTGAGTATGCTGAACCAGCCTTGTATTTTAGGGATGAAGCCAACTTGATTGTGGTGGATAAGCTTTTTGATGTGCTGCTGTATTTGGTTTGCCAGTATTTTATTGAGGATTTTCGCATTGATGTTCATCAAGGATATTGGCCTGAAATGTTCTTTTTTTTGTTGTGTCTCTGCCAGGTTTTGGAATCAGGATGATGCTGGCCTCATAAAATAAGTTAGGGAGGAGTTCATCTTTTTCTATTGTTTGAAATAGTTTCAGAAGGAATGGTACCAGCTCCTCTTTGTACCTCTGGTGGAATTTGGCTGTGAATCTGTCTAGTCCTGGGCTTTTTTTGGGGGGTAAGCTATTAATTACTGCCTCAATTTCAGAATTTGTTATTGGTTTATTCAGGGATTCAACTTCTTCCTGGTTTAGGAAATCACTCAATTTTCAACCTTTTCAGTTAAACTCATTTTTTGAATTAAAAGACAACTTCATAAATAACTGTACTCACTGTTCTTCACCAAAAGTCTCTTTATGAAGAAAATTTCTATATAAACAAATATAAGAGCTCAAAGAGCATTTCTACTCTACAAGGCTTGGATCTCTCTCACTCATTTATGTCATTTTTGCTTTTAAAATAAAGTTGACTGTATATAAGAAGTCTTATTGTGAATACTCTTGTAAATACCTACTCCATAATTTTTTTTTAATTTCCAATACTTTTGCAAATATCTATCCCACAATTTTTTTTTTTTTTTTTTTTTGAGACAGAGTCCCTCTCTGTCACCCAGGCTGGAGTGCAGTGGCGCCATCTCAGCTCACTGAAACCTCTGCCTCCCAGGTTCAAGCGATTATCCTGCCTTAGCCTCCCTAATAGCTGGGATTATAGGCACCTGCCACCATGCCCAGCTAATTTTTGTATTTTTTGTACAGACGGGGTTTCATCATGTTAGGCAGGCTGGTCTTGAACTCCTGACCTCAGGTGATCCACCTGCCTTGGCCTCCCAAAGTGCTGAGATTTCAAGTGTGAGCCACTGCACCTGGCCTTCAATTAATTTTGAAATCATAACTGAGCTCTTAAATACAGATTTCTTTATACTAGGCTCACAGAGTTCTATGACTATTATATTAGTGTTTTACCTCTGTATAGATTTGGAGCAAAGACTTGCATTGTTTTTTCTTTGAAAGGTTGAGAGGTGTTTTGTTATGTCTTGTGAAGAACTGTTCTTACTAAACTGGTACTGATCTAAGAATGCTCCTGTTTTTATTCCTTTCCATCCCTAAATTGAACCAAAGATGACAGGAAATCAAGCTTTTTCAATTCATTTCTTTATTCACAAACGGCTCATTTGATGAAATAATATTACCTCCTTTTTGCATGAGATCAAAACCAGGGCCTTAGTGTTCATTTATTCCTACATTTGCTCCTTGGAGGCATGGATCTGTGAATCAAATGACACATTGCTAGTGTTTATGAATCACAAAGGCCATTTAAAAACAGAACATTCACCCTGTATGTAGATTTATTTTTTCTCTCCCTTCTTCTATTTTCTCACCGCTTTCTTTCTTGCTTTCTTTCATTTTTTTCTTCTTTTAGCTGTACACACTATAATTTAACTCATAAACAAAACTAATATTAATACAGTTATGTTTTATGATAAGTTGAAATAATTGAGTATTAAAATATGATCATAAGAAAGTTTTGCTTCCTAGATTTGTACTATATTTTACAGTCTAGATATATCTTAGTATATTGCTAATGTAATATTATGTTTTGAATATTTGTAGTTTTTACAAGACCATTTGTATATTTGTAGTTGTTACAAGACCATTTCTTGGTACTTGGGATCAGTAGGTTAGTGAGTCGGGGGTGTGACTTACACAGTGTTTCCCCAGAAGCATATACTGAGACAAGAATTTGAATACAGGTAGTTTACTTCAGAATTAAATCCCAGAAGCACCAGTAGAGGAATAGAGAAGTGATCCAGGGAAGGGAAAAAAGAAAATCAATAATGTTACCTTCATAAGGCAGATTACAGTTGTGGACAATTGAGGCTCGATTCTGTTGATAACTCGGGCAGACGGGTAGAAGTTGTAGTTGAGTGATCAGTGGGATCACATGGAGAGCCACGGCTCTCCATGAGGGAGAAGAGAGATACAAATATGGAATGAGGGAGAATAAGAAAGATCCTGTGGTATTTGAATGGAATTATTGACATCTGTATGAACTCAACATTTTTTAAAAGCGTGTGTGTGAATGTGTGTGTATACGTACACTTACATGTGCACAGAGCATAACTAGTGGGAGTTTGAGGGTTTTGTCAACATTTGGGTCAAAGTTTTAAAGGAAGGAGCCTATCTCTGAAGGAGACAACGTAAGTGGCAGTGACCTGAAACAACGAGAAATCCCCAAAGGGGAAACCTAGACGTAAAAAGTTTTCTCCTCCTTTTTGGACAATATACTTTAAGAGGTCTTCTCTGCACTGAACAGGAAATACTTTGCATTTTTATTTAATGAGGAGATCACTTGAAAAATAATTTTATTTTCTTTTTTCTTCTTTTTATTTTAATACCACTATACTAATGAGAAAGAAATCACTTTTTTCTTAATCAGTTCAAGAAAGTAGGGTAACATTTGCCATAAAATAAGCTTGTCTTCACTTTCATAAAATAAACATAAGTGAATAAGTTTGCAAACTTAATATTTGATTTTTTTTTTTTTTTAAAGAGGGTTGTAGGAAGAGGAGGTATAGCATTAAGTAAAAGATTTAGGCCAGGTGCAATGGCCCACACCTACAATCCCGTGCTCTGAGAGGCCAAAACAGAAGGATCACTCGAAGCCAGGAGTTCAAGACCAGCCTGGGCAAAACAGCAAGACCCATCTCTACAAAAAATAAATTCGCTGGGCATGGTGATATGCACCTATAATTCTAGCTACTTGGGAGGCTGAGGCAGGAGGATCACTTGAGTCCAGGAGTTCAGCTATGATCTATGATTGCACCACTGCACCCCAGCCTGAGTGACAGAGTGAGTCCACATCTGTTAATAAATAAATCAATTAATTAATTAAAAGATTTGAGTCAGGCATGGTGATTCATGCCTATAATCCCAGCACTTTGGGAGGCTGAGATGGGTGGATCACTTGAGGTCAGGAGTTTGAGACCAACCTGGCCAACATGGTGAAATCCTGTCTCTACTAAAAATACAAAAATTTGCTGGGCATGGTGTTGTGCGCCTGTAATCACAGCTACTCAGGAGGCTGAGACAGGAGAATCACTTGAACCCAGAAGGCGGAGGTTGCAGTGAGCCGAGATGGTGACACTGCAATCCAGCCTCGGCAAGAAAGCAAGACTCCATCTCAAAAAAAAAAAAAAAAAGAAGTGATTCTTTTTAAAAAAAACACACAATGTGGATATCTGATTCTAATAGTGGCAGACAAAGTGATATAGTTTGACTGTGTCCCCCACATTTCATGTGTTGAAAACTTAACTCCCAATGCAATAGTGTTGGGAGGTGGGGCCTAATGAGAGGTGTTTAGGTCACGAGTTTGTCAAAAGATGCTAGAGAAAATTATCTCTAAATATGTTGAGTCTACTTGGAAATAGAAATAAGGATTATAGGCCGGGTGCCTGTAATCCCAGCACTTTGGGAGGCCGAGGTGGGCGGATCACGAAGTCAGGAGATCGAGACCATCCTGGCTAACACGGTGAAACCCCGTCTCTACTAAAAGTACAAAAAATTAGCCGGGGGTGGTGGCGGGCGCCTGTGGTCACAACTACTTGGGAGGCTGAGGCAGGAGAATGGCGCGAACCCAGGAGGCGGAGCTTGCAGTGAGCCGAGATCAAGCCACTGCACTCCAGCCTGGCAACAGTGCAAGACTCCGTCTCAAAAAAAAAAAAGAAAAAAGAAAAGAAATAAGGATTATAATCTGGAATGCATGACATGGCAAATCACCAGAGCATTCAGTGAAGAAAGGGTAAGGAGAGCCTTTATTAGCAAAAAATATTTACATGAGCTGCTTAGAAATGGCTCATTGGTCATGGAGTTTCTAAGCCAGAGTTGCTGTTAGTTCATTGATAGAAATGCCATTACTGGGCAAATGTTTTTCCAAGAACAGCTCAACTTAATCACTGCAGTCTTAAAGAATGTCTTGTGATAAATCTTTTGCGTTTTTTTGTTTGTTTGTTTGTTTTTTTGAGATGGAGTCTCACTCTGTCGCCCAGGCTGGATACAGTAGCGCTGTAGTGAGCTCACTGCAACCTTCACCTCCTGGGTTCGAGTAATTCTCTTGCCTCAGCCTCCTGAGTAGCTAGGATTACAGGCACATGCCACCACACCTGGCTAATTTTTGTATTTTTAGTAGAGATGAGGTTTCACCACATTGACCAGGCTGGTCTCAAACTCCTGACCTCAAGTGATCAGCCCGCCTCAGCCTCCCAAAGTGCTGGGATTATAAGCGTGAGCCACCGTGCCCGGCCATCTTGTGATAAATCTTATCAAAGGGTGTATGAAAGAAGTGAAAGGATTTTTAGAAAGTTCTTGGAACAGTTCTTATCTCAGATATGTAAGTATGAGCCTCCTCTCCTTCAGGACTTGCTGTCCCTATTTTGCCCTGTGGAGACACAGAGCTAAACCATATCATTCCACCCATGGCCTCTCCCAAATCTCATGTCATTCTCACATTTCAACACACAATCATGCCTTCCCAAAAGTCCCCAAAAGAAAAAAAATAAAGAAAATCATTGCCAGTCCCTTGAGCAGATGATATAACTCATACCAATACTTGTATAGAAGAAGCATATTCTGAGTATTCAAAATTGAATCAGACTCAGAGGTAAAAAGATATAGCCTCAAAAAATGTGGCATACCTAAAATATCCGTGAATCTTCTTACTCATTTAAATAAACTAAATTTGAATTTCAAATTCACTGACTTTTCCTATTACTATGATGTGAGACAGGAAGCGTCCTTCAAGATTTATACTTTTTAAAAAATAAATGACTACACTATTTTTCAACAGGACGAATGCTACAGGAAATGAGCATACAAAATAAGAAACAGAAAGTGGAGGCGGTTAGCAATGGCTTTAATTTGGCTCCTTACTTTCACACAAAAACACCTGCAGAGAGCTTCAAATGCTATGCATGTGCTGATGATTCTCAAATTTACAACTTCTGAAAAAGTCTTTTTTCTGACACCCCCACATCCTCCTGTTCATTCTTCAGATCTCAGCCTAAAAAAGGTCAATTCCCAGAGAATCCCTTTCCTGAGATCCAAGACTAGGTCAGTTTTAAGACAGGGGTTTTCAATCCTTTTGACCTTGATCTACCATAAGAAATATATTTCATATCATGATCTGGTGCACACATATGCAAATATGCATTCTTAAACAAATGATTATCTCTATCTGCCAGTCACTATTATAAACCACTAGGGATACAAAGTGAATAAAACGTATAAAAACTTTGCTTTAATGGAGTTTACATTCTAGTAATTCTGTTTCTGCCTTTGCCTTCCTTAAAACTATTCTCAATCCTGCAGCCAAAGTGATCCTATTAAAACATAAATCAGACGTCACTCTTTTCCTCAATGCCATCCAATGGCTTCCCATCTCACTCAGAGTCAAAACCAAGGCCCTGCCTACTACAAATCACGTAGCCTTACATGATCTGCCCCACTGACCATGACTCACCCTCTTTCCTCGTCACCTGCTAGTCCTCCCATTCACTCCCCTTCAGTCATATTGGCCTTGCTTCTCTTCAGACGGGCCAGCCACACTCAGGGCCTTTGCACTGACTATTCCTTCTGCCTGGAATGTTCCTCCTCCAAGTATCCATATGGCTAACTCCCTCAATTCTTTGAGATCTTTAACCACAAGGCGCTTTCCCAAATAAGTCTTCTCTGGCTACCCTTTTTAAAATTTTAACCCCCACCCTTCACATTTTATATACTCCCCTTCCTTGCCTTTTTTCAGCTTCTTGTCATCTTATAACATATTCTATATTTTACTAATTTATCTTGTTTATTTTCTATCTTTCCTCTTGAAAGCATACTCTATAAGCCCCTGGATTTATATATTCATTCACTGACAACGTAAGCAGAAATAAAAGTTTCACAAAAGAATACTTATCCTTATTATCTGTGATTTACTAGGATGTTTTATTATTTAGTTTGTTAAAAATACTGGTCTTAAGCCACTAGATAGATTTCATGACCCACTCATAGATCATGATCCACAGTTTACACTGTCTTAATGTAAGCTTTCATTGTATCTGACAAATTGTTTCATAGCACATCACAACTGTGTGTGTGTGTGTGTGTGTGTGTGTGTGTTTATTCCCTACCCTACTGTGGGTCCTATGCAGAGCTGAGAAGTCAGGGCTGCCTTACTCACCGCTACGTTTCCAGCACAGAGCATAGTACCATAACAAGTCCAAGTCATGTGCACACAGAAGTTAAAAGGGAGCAGAAACTATAAGCAGAAGTTAGCCACCAGGAAGACAATGAACAGAAACACAGAGGGAAATAGAAACTGACCCATGAAAGAGAGAGATAGAGCTGTAGTTCCAGTTCGCAGTCCATAAGTTTCTTTACCCCCCATTATTTTAGACTGAGTTTTTGTTTTTTGGAACTTATACTATATTAATAGCATATGAATTAAACATCTTGATCAATCAGAGCAAACAATCCAAAAACTTCTGTAAAATAAATATCAATAGTTTCTAAATTTTAGGAAAGTGATATTGGGTAAATGGAAGGATTAATTTTGTAGTCTGGAGATGGGGAAGGCAGAAAACCATGTTTGCTTCTGTAGCTTCCATGTCCCTGTACCACCTAGCCAACTTGCTTTGCTCTGCTGCTTAGCTCTGCCACACAAAAGGGCTCCTGCCTGGCCCCTTGCCCTACAGGACGAAAGATAACCTACGGTGTTTTAGGAAGATGCTTTCAAAGGTAAATGGAACTCACAGGAGTGATCTCTCTCGGTGTCCTCTCTTCTAGGAGGCTTAGGTAAAATAGGTCTGATCCTCATTCAGGGAAGTGTCTAGGTTAGTAATGCAGGCCAGCTTAAGTTTAGGTATTTGGACTTGCTCTTTTCCAGTCTAGCACATTTCTCTCTACCTCATTTTACATAAGAGTTGTAGGCCAGCACGGTGGCTCACGCTTGTAATCCCAGCACTTTGGGAGGCTGAGGTGGGCGGATCACAAGATCAGGAGTTCGACCAGCCTGGCCAATATGGTGAAACCCTGTTTCTACTAAAAATACAAAAATTAGCTGGGTGTGGTGGCGGGTGCTGGTAGTCCCAGCTACTCAGGAGACTGAGGCAGGAGAATCGCTTGAACCCAGGAGGCAGAGGTTGCAGTGAGCCGAGATGGCGCCACTGCACTCCAGCCTGGGCGACTGAGCGAGACTCTGTCTCAAAAAAAAAAAAAAAAAAAAAAAAGAATTGTAAAATCTGAGATTCAAATTTGACCATTTAGATGGTCCAATCTAACTCACTAGATTCTGTATTGGAGATGGGAGACAAAACCTCACATAGAAATAGTGTTCCTATGAATATGTTGTTTTTTGTTTCTCATATATATAAATATATGTATATGAAACCACACACACATATACAGGAATATATATTTTTGGTATTATTTTACATCCATTAATTATTTCACTTTCAAAAATTTCCTTAGTAGTGGCAGACTTATCCATAAAGCTAACAAACCTTAAGCTTCAGTGCTTTGCATTGTTTGGGCCCCTTCTAAGAAATGAATGTAATTTTGTCTATCATTTTGAAGAGAGCCTCTCAAACTGTATAATCTTCATGCGCCATAAAGTCTGGATCTAACTATACCTTCAGGAATGTTATCGGTTGTATTGGCTGAGTAGGGTTAAAGGTTTCAGGAACTCAGGTTTGACCAGCAGCCCTAGCTTTCATAAGGAAAAAAAAGAGACAATATAATAATAATATATAGGCCAACAACAGAGAAGTCCACTCATTTAATGCTTACTATATTTAAAAACCTTCAAATCTGCAAGGCTATACGTTTCTTTCTGAAAGCAAAAATTGGGGTATAATGTAGGGTTGCTATTTATCCCATCAATTAGAAACTTTTGGTGGCAGGATGGAAAAAAAAATCCTTGCCTTTCTCAGGAATGGAACTATTCTGTTCAAGTTTGCTTCTGGCCACTGCATCTCCAAAGCCTCTGCAGCATATGTGCAGTGAGCAGCCCAGAAGAAGGCTGAGTACAGTGTATGAGACTGCATCATTGCATATAAATTGACTTGAATGATAATTCCAGAGTCTCCCAAGGCGGGCAGATTACCTGAGTTCAGGAGTTCGAGACCAGCCTGACCAACATGGAGAAACCCCATCTCTACTAAAAATACAAAATTAGCTGGGTGTGGTAGTGCATGCCTGTAATCCCAGCTACTCAGGAGACTGAGGCAGGAGAATCGCTTGAAACCTGGGAGGCAGAGGTTGCAGTGAGCCGAGATCGCGCCATTGCACTCCAGCCTAGGTAACGGAGCACGACTCTGTCTCAAAAAAGAAAAAAAGAAAATAGTACTTCACCTCTGTGGTATTCTCCCAAAATCGTATAGCTTCAGTACAATCATGAGAAAACAATCAGAGAAACCTCCGTAGAGTGATATGCTACAAAATACTTTACCAGTACTCCTCAAAATTGTCAAAATCATCAAAAACAGAAAATATCTGAGAAAGTGTCATAGGCAAGAGGAGCCTAAGGACACATAATAACTAAATGTAATGTGATATGCTTAATGAAATCCTGGGACAGAAAAAGCATATCAAGTCCAAGAAATATAAATAAACCATGGACATTAGTAAAGAACAATGTATCAATATTGGTTCATTAATTTTAACAAATATACCTTTTTGTTTTTGGTTTTTTTTTTTTGAGACAGAGTTTTGCTCTTGTTGCCCAGGCTGGAGTGCAATGGCACGATCTCGGTTTACCACAACCTCCGCCTCCCGGGTTCAAGTGATTCTCCTGCCTCAGCCTCCCGAGTAGCTGGGGTTACAGGCATGCACCACCACACCCGGATAATTTTGTGTTTTTAGTAGAGACGGGGTTTCTCCATGTTGGTCAGGCTGGTCTTGAACCCTCAACCTCAGGTGATCCACCTGCCTCGGCCTCCCAAAGTGCTGGGATTACAGGCGTGAGCCACTGCAACCGGCCTACAAATATACCATATTAATGAATGTGAATAATAGAGAAAGTGGTATGGGGTATATGGGAATACTGTACTATCTTCTCAATTTTTCTGTAAATCTATAAGTGTTCTTTAAAAAGTCTATCATTTTTAAAAAGTTTTCAGTTATTCTAATAAAAGCATATCATTTCCACATTAAATCATACTTTCTGTTAGTTGAAGTCATTTTAGGAGGCTAATATTTCTGAATCTTTAAAAATTTATGCTACTGATAGGCTTAATTCTACTTTAAAGTGAAATAGGCAACTGATTTAATTAATCTAACTTATGGTATGCTTTGGATATTGTGTGGATTTTTTTAATTAGCAAAAAAACTAAATTAAATTCAACAAGAAATCCTTCTTTCAATTTATTTTATTTAACACAATGACCAGAAACCTACAGAAGCTATAAAATTTCTTAACGAAACATTTCATATGGGAGGAAAAGTTTTTATCCCCTACATAAAAAGGTTATTACAGAATTGATCTATACCAAAATTAAAACATTTTTGAAGTTTTATAAAACTACATGTTAACATAAGACTCTCCAACCTTGTAATTTTCTAGCACCTTTTATCTGTGCAGTCAGGCATTTCACAGCACCTTATGATACATTTATAGTGACTTTTCCTAAATGGGAGAAGCAGATGAGTCAAATGACTTATACTAGATTCTCCATGAGTCAGAGGTACGACTGTTCCAATGAGTCATTACCTATCAGTTCTAAAGTAATTGTCAGGAGAATCATTTAAACATAAACCCCAGAAATCATAGAAGGAAAGAACATTTTAAAACATAGCTATTTTCCTACTAGTTTTTAACAATAACTTGTTTGAGAATAAATTTAGAAGGATTCAAATACCTAAAGACATTGTTAAAATGCAATGCAAAGACATAGATTTTTGTTTGCTTGTTTGTTTTGAAACGGAGTCTCACTCTGTCACCCAGGTTGGCGTACAGTGGCATGATCTCGGCTCACTGCAACCTCTGCCTCCCAGGTTCCAGCTATTCTCGTGCCTCAGTCTCCCAAGTAGCTGGGACTACAGGCGCATGCCACCACGCCCCGCTAATTTTTGTATTTTTAGTAGAGAAAGGGTTTTGCCATATTGGCCAGGCTGGTCTCAAACTCCTGACTTCAGGTGATTCGCCCACCTTGGCCTCCCAAGATATACTGATATCTGTTGCATTTATGATAGCCTACATAGGAAGTACATTAGACAAATGAATAGTTTTCTTTTTTCCTTTTTTTTTTTTTTTTTTTTTGAGACGGAGTCTTATTCTGTCGCCCAGGCTGGAGTGCAGTGGCATGATCTCGGCTCACTGCAACCTCCGCCTCCCATGTTCAAGCGATTGTCCTGCCTCAACCTCCTGAGTAGGTGGGATTACAGATGCCCGCCACCACGCCCAGCTGATTTTTGCATTTTTAGCAAAGACGGGGTTTCACCATGTTGGCCAGGCTGGTCACAAACTCCTGACCTCAGGTGATCTGCACGCCTCAGCCTCCCAAAGTGCTGGGATTACAGGCGTGAGCCACTACGCCCGGTGACAAGTCAATAGTTTTCTACTAATTCCGTCATTACTATCTGGTATCCTGGCTTGTAAGATAACCACCTTATAAGTAATCTAACAAATAACACTGTGGCAGAAAATATAATTATAAAATTATTAGATGTTATAAAACAAGAACATCTGATCACAGAGTTTTTGCTACTTTGTCCTTTAGTGATAAAGTTTCTTACGAAAACACATACCAGAAATAAAGCACTAATATTTTGTATACAAGTCTAAACTTTTATAATAATTAGTTCTCACATAGACTAAAAAATAGGTTGGGCCCAGATACCCTTGTTTTCAAATTATGAAATGTAAGATTGTGCTAGTAAGAGACGTATTTCAGACAACCCATTTAAAGCAGTGTGGTTTTAAAAAGTGAATAAGTAGAAAAAAACTTGATCTAAAGCCCACTGGGAAAAAGATACGTTACCATAAGAGATCCAGTAATTCTAGAACAGTATGATGTTGGCACAGGAATCTCTAACCTTGTTGGTGGAGGCCTATGAGGTCAGTAAGATTGTGTGCCAAGCAAACAGCAGATTCTAATCAAATTCCTGGTTGCCTGGTTACAGTATTTGATAATGAAAAATGAAAACCTTGTTCTTTTTAGTTAGTACATGTTCTGTTAGTATAAATTTATAGTGACAGAACTAATAAAACTCTGGGACCTTGCCCTAAGAGTACATGTAACATAATGTAAGGTAAGTCCTTGTTGAATCCAGCAAAATGGTATTAACTACATGAAATACCCAAAAGCCCTCATTAGAAAGGAATCTTGGCTAGGCGCGGGGGCTCACGCCTGTAATCCCAGCACTTTCGGAGGCCGACGCAGGAGGATCACCTGAGGTCAGGAATTTGAGACCAACCTGACCAACGTGGTGAAACCCTGTCTCTACTGAAAATACAAAAATTAGCCGGGCGGGGTGGTGGTGCCTGTAATCCCAGCTACTCCAGAGGCCGAGGCTGGAGAATCGCTTGAACCCAGGAGGCGGAGGTTGCAGTGAGGTGAGATCGCGCCATTGCACTCCAGCCTGGGCGACAATAGCGAAACTCCGACTCAAAAAAAGAGAAAGGAATCTTATTGTGGACCCAATAGGTACCCTGAGGACAATACCTTACCTTATATCTTCACCATTAATACCCTTTGCAGGGCCCCAGTAGGGAACTCATTGTGAGTGGGACCATGTACCTTTCTTCAGGATCACCTCACGAGTAATTTTCCTTGGTAGAGTCTAAGACAGACCTGTATCATCAAGGAAAGTCCAATTTCACTAAATACCTGTACAATTTAAGTTTCTATTTTATGAACCAATTCCCATATCCAAACAAATTACCCATGAATCGTAAGGCAGTTTACATGGTTCAACAAATTATACTGAATGGAAAGCGCTATATAAAAGTTTTGTTCCCAAACACCAAAATATCCAACGTGACTACTCTGGAATTAATTCTTTATGCTCTGTGTTTGTATGCTGGGACCTTAATCGGCTGCAAAACAGGAAAGAAGAACAGAGAAGTGACGTAAACAGGAATAGACCCACTGGGCAACTCTAAAAACGTGTAAAATGCAAATGCTGGCAGGATAGAGGAGCTAGGCTAAGGAAAAGGTTATTGCTTTTTTTTTTTTTTTTTTTTTTTTGAGACTGTGTTTCGCTCTTGTCGCCCAGGCTGGAGTGCAATGGCACGATCTTGGCTCACCTCCACCTCTGGGGTTCAATCAATTCTCCTGCCTCAGCCTCCCAAGTAGCTGGGATTACAGGTGCCCACCACCATGCCCAGCTAATTATTGTACTTTTAGTAGAGACAGGGTTTCACCATGTTTGCTAGGCTGGTCTTGAATTCCTGACCTCAGGTGATCCACCAGCCTTGGCCTCCAAAAGTGCTGGGATTACAGGTGTGAGCCACCATGCCTAGCCGTTTATTGCTTGCATTTATTTATTTACTTATTTATTTATTTATTTATTTATTTATTTATTTAGATGGAGTTTTGTTCTTTGTTGCCCAGGCTGGAGTGCAGTGGCGCCATCTCCGCTCACTGCAACCTCTGCCTCCTGGGCTCAAACGATTCTCCTGTCTCAGCCTCCCCGGTAGCTGGGATTACAGGCACCCGTCACCACGCCTGGCTAATTTCTGTATTTTTAGTAGAGACAGGGGTTTCACTATGTTGGCCAGGCTAGTCTCCAACTTCTGACCTCAGGTGATCCACCCACCTTGGCCTCCCAAAGTGCTGGGATTACAGACGTGAGTTACCGCGCCCAACCTACCATGATTGCTTTTAAAGTGCAGGGAGATGTAGAGATAAAAGAAGGGATACTGGGCTGGGTGTGGTGACACATACCTGTAATCACAGCACTTTCGGATGCTGATACAGGAGAATCACTTGAGTCTAGCAGTTCCAGACTAGGCTGGGGAACGTATTGAAATCCCTGTCTCTACAAAAAATAGAAAAAATTGGCCGGGTGCGGTGGCTCATGCCTGTAATCCCAGCACTTTGGGAGGCCAAGGCGGGTGGATCACCTGAGGTCAGGAGTTCTAGACCAGCCTGGCCAACGTAGTAAAATCCCATCTCTACTAAAAATACAAAAATTAGCCTGGCGTGGTGGCAGGCACCTATAATCCCAGCTACTCGGGGGGCCGAGGCAGAAGAATTGCTTGAACCCAAGAGGTAGAGGTTGCAGTGAGCCGAGATTGCACCATCACACTCCAGTCAGGGGTACAAGAGCAAGACTTCGTCTCAAAAAAAAAAAAAAAAGAAGAAAGAAAAGAAAAAATTAGCTGGGCATGGTGGTGCATGCCTGTAGTCCCAGCTACCTGGGAAGCTGAGGGAGGAGGATCACTTGAGCCCAGAAGATTGTGGCTGCAGTGAGCTGTGATCATGCCACTGCACTCCAGCCTGGGTGACAGAATGAAACCTTGTCTCAAGAAAAAAAAAAGAAAGGGCACTGTGCAAATGGATTTGAAGCCTAATCTGACATGAATTTTGTCCCACATGACAAGATTAAAGCAACAACAAAGAATTTCCTGATATAAAAGTCATCCTCTTCACTAACAAACCAACCCAAGAAGACACTTGCTTTATTATGATTTTATATATATATATATATATATATATATATATATATATATATATATTTTTTTTTTTTTTTTTATACGGAGTTTCGCTTTTGTTACCCCAGGCTGGAGTGCAATGGCGCAATCTCAGCTCACTGCAACCTCCGCTTCCTGGGTTCAAGCGATTCTCCTGCCTTAGCCTCCAGAGTAGCTGGGATTACCGGCATGTGCCACCACGCCCAGCTAATTTTGTATTTTTAGTAGAGATGGGGTTTCTCCATGTTGGTCAGGCTGGTCTCGAACTCCTGATCTCAGGTGATCTGCCTGCCTTGGCCTCCCAAAGTGCTGGGATTACAGGCATGAGCCACCACGCCCAGCCATTTTATTATTTTTTGAAAAAACCTTTGTGATCTACACTTTTAGCAATTGGCTTCTTTTAAACATTATTTAAAACCAGCAATTTTAACGTCCTATTAAGTTTGTTCAAATGGGAGTTTAATTATACTGAATTTTTCCATTTCTTAAACTAATTTATAGCAAATGGCCAGTGGGGAGAAACAACTCTTCTACGAAAAAACTGAATCGCATTTAGGGGCTGAGCCAAATGTCTGCTTAGATTAAATGAGATGTGACAAAAATCAGTATGAGTCCTTGTCCTTGTAGTGAGAAAAAATAATTTTAAAAAAATCAATCCAGGCATGATGGCTCATGCCAGTAGTCCCAGTTATTTGGGAGGCTAAGATGGGAAGATCTCTTAAGCCCAGGAATTTGAGTCCAGCTTGGACAAAATGCAAGACCCCATCCATAAAAAAAAATAATAAATCTAAATAAATAAAATGAAAATCAGTATTAGAATATGTCTAGGCCGGGCATGGTGGTTCACGCCTGTAATCCCAGCACTTTGGGAAACCGAGGCAGGTGGATCACAAGGTCAGGAGCCCAAGACAAGCCTGACCAACATGGTGAAACCCTGTCTCTAGTAAAAATACAAAAATTAACTGGGCGTGGTGACGCATGCCTGTAATCCCAGCTACTAGGGAGGCTGAGCAGGCAGAATTGCTTGAACCTGGGAGGGAGAGGTTGCAGTGAGCCAGGATTGCGCCACTGCATTCCAGCCTGGGGGATAGAGCAAGACTCCGTCTCGTGAAAAAAAAAAAATATATATATTCAAATATGTCTAGAAGAATACCCAAAACAGTGATCACCTCCAGGAACTGGGTGGCTGGAAGACAAAAGAAAAACATCTTACTATATACCCTTTTGAATCTTTTGAATTTTAAACCATATGAATGTACTATCTATTCAAAAAAAAGGAAATAGAATTTTTTAAATTAAACTAACAGTTTCCCTTGAAATATTATGAAGACCGATAACATAATCTACTGCGAAAACCCTATTGTTAAAACAGTAAAATACACAGCAAATGCCATCCTATCCCTCAGGTTAATAAGCTGTGCTATCTTGCAATCAGGAAGAATGCAGTCAATCAAGCGTCTTTTGGAGTCAAAGAACAGTACTCCAAAAAGCCATATCAACAGTAATATTTTGTTGTGTCCCATCATATGTTATTTAATATACTCCTTAGGGTGAAAAATGGGTGTGGTTCCAAAATTAAATCTTTCACCTTTATGGATAAAAGGGTAAGTTAAAGTACAAAGGGAAAATAATGTTAAGCTTCTTTTTGTTTTTAAACCTCAAAAGGTTTTATTAATCTCAAGACTGACAGACACAAAAACCAAACTTTGATAAAGGAGATGGACAAGAACATACATAATAGATTATGAATTATTCAGTATAGCCTATTTTAAATCCTGCATTTAAAAATACTTCTGACAGATGCAGTGGCTCACGCCTGTAATCCCAGCACTTTGGGAGGCCAAGGCAAGTGGATCACGAGGTCAGGAGTTTGAGACCAGCCTGACCAACATGGTAAAACCCCATCTCTACTAAAAATACATAAAATAGCCATGCGGGGTGGCACGTGCCTGTAATCCCAGCTACTCAGGAGGCTAAGGCAGGAGAAGTACTTGAACCCGGGAGGCAGAGGATGCAGTGAGCTGAGATCGTGCCACTGCACTCCAGCCTGAGCGACAGAGTGATACTCCGTCTCAAAAAAAAAAAAAAAAAAAAAAAAAAAAAAATATATATATATATATATATATATATATATATATATATATATATATATATACTTTCAGTATTGTTACTACTGATGGGGATTAAAATGATTGAATCCACTAGTAACAACAAAAAAAATCTTGGAATTACTTTTCTTTAATACTAGTATCAAGAAATTTGATAGAGACACAAAACTGCAGGCAGCTGGGTGTATGTAAGAGGCAGGAGAACATAATGGCAATAGCACTTTTTCAGGCCCACTTCTCTGACCCTATCTCTAGCTCTATACCAACACACTTTTCTTCCCGCCTTCCAATAGATTGTCCCAGGCAGCAGGAATTATATAAACTGTCTCTGGACAGGTATACAAATAACCAAACAAATATCATACAGCTAATAAATGATAAACACCATGCACAAAGCGCTATGGACACAGAGAAGCATAGCTGGTGTTATTCTGACCTGGCCACTTTCTAGTGCTATGAGTACTGGCATTGCCATAGCAACATCGTTGACCCACTGTAAATGAAGATAAAGTTTAGATTAAGGGCTGTGTTTAGATAAAGTTTAGATTAAGGAAACAAAATTTAATAAACAATCTATTGTAAGTACAGTATATGAATGGGTACATACAACTTTGCTTCCCCTTGGGAATTAATGGTAATTTTTTTTCTGCTAAAATCTTTTGTTTTCTCCTCTTGGCCCGCATAGAGGAAGTAAAAAAATAAAAGAATATTAAAAAAAGAAAATAAATTTTGTTAACTTATTACAATTTTAAAAAATGTTTCTCTCTTTAAATGATGGGTGGCAGTACTATGAGTATTTGAGAGCAATTCATAATGTAAAACCTCTATTGTGCTTTGAAATGCATTTGAGGAAGAAGGGAGCTAAATGTTCACCTTCCTTATTGCATTTTGCTTAAGCTAATACAACAATTAATTTTAATCTATTAAGACATTAATGATGTTTAAGCTGAGTAAATTGGATGAAGGAAAATGCTAACTAAAATTTCGCAGAGTTGGCCCATAGAGAAGGTAATTCAAACTCCAACATACATATGAGGCATTTAAGTCCAAGAAAAGAATATCTTATTCTTTTCTTTTTTTTTTTTTGGACGGAGTCTCACTCTCTCATCCAGGCTGGAGTGCAGTGGCGTGATCTCGGCTCACGGCAACATCCACCTCCCGGGTTCAAGTGATTATCCTGCCTCAGCCTCCTGAGTAGCTGGGATTACAGGCATGCACCACCACACCTGGATAATTTTTGTATGTTTAGTAGAGACGGGGTTTCACCATGTTGGCCAAGCTGGTCTTAAACTCCTGACCTCAGGTGATCCGCCCGCCTCGGCCTCCCAAAGTACTGGGATTACAGGCGTGAACCACCATGCCTCGGCCTCCCAAAGTACTGGGATTACAGGCGTGAACCACCATGCGTGGCTTCTTTTCTTATTACCATTAAAAATGTTTTCCTAAACCCTCCATACTTTCTCGATGTCTACTCTAACGCCAACTTGCTATACTTCTTTCAGCTGCTTCTAACATTCAGCTTAGAAGACGAGATTAGATACAGCAGGATCTAGTGATAGCATAAACAACCTCCCTCAGCTAAACTGGCTTGAAATAGTGAGGTAAAACAAAACAAAAATATCTTAGAGACTGAGCTGTGAGGTTCACAGAGAAAAGTTAAACATTCAGTGTACCAACAGGGGCATTCATCAACAATATTTATATGAGTGTCTACTACGGACCAAACTTAGGATTGTTCTAGGATTGTTTATAAATGACTAAATTTACAGTGACAGGCCCTAATTCTGACCACAATTAAATTTGATAATGATAGTTAAAATGAGGAAATACCAGAAGGGGCATATATGACTTGTTATTTTATTTATTTTTATTTTTTTCTTTTGTTAATAGAGAAGGTATCTCACTATGTTGCCCAGGCTGGTCTAGAACTCCTGAGCTCAAGTGATCCTGCTGCCTCAGCCTCCCAAAGTACTAGGATTACAGGTGTGAGCCACTGCCTCAGCCAATTTGTTATTTTATTGAAAATAACAATGACAACCATTAACATTTACTATGAATAATATAATATTAAGTATTTACTGTTTCTCAGAAACTGAGCTAATCACTTTACTTATCTAAACCTCTCTTATCTAAGTAACTCCATGACGAAGGCACTGGTTTTTGAGACAGTCTTGCTCTGTCACCCAGGCTGGAGTGCAGTGGCATAATCTTGGCTCACTGCAACCTCCGCCTTCTGGGCTCAAGTGATTCTCCTGCCTCAGTCTCCCGAATAGCTGGGATTACAGGTGCTCACCACCACGCCTGGCTAATTTCTGTACTTTTAGTAGAGACAGGGTTTCACCATATTGGTCAGGCTGGTCTCGAACTCTTGACCTTAAGTGATCCACCAACCTCAAGTGATCCGCCCACCTCAGCCTCCTAAAGTGCTGGGATTACAGGTGTGAGCCACCGCGCCCAGCCGAAGGCACTGTTTTTACCATTTTACAGATGGGGAAACGAAGACAAGGACACATAGTATCATGGCTGACCAAAAAGCCCATGTACTTACCCTGCTGTACAAACTTTTGGGATTTTAGTGATGAAGAGGAACAAATTGGTATGATCTATATGACTATGAAGTGATACACGCTGGTGGGGGTGGCTCACGCCTGAATCCCAACACTTTGGGAGGCCAAAGTGGGTGGATCACCTGAGGTCAGAGTTCAAGACCAGCCTGGCCAACATGGTGAATTCTTGTCTCTACTAAATACACAAAATTTAGCCAGGCATGGTGGAGTGTGCCTGTAGTCCCAGCTACTCTGGAGGCTAAGGCGGGAGAACTGCTTGAACCTGGGAGGTGGAGGTTGCAGCGAGCCAAGATTGCGCCACTGTGCTCCAGTCTGGGCAAAAGAGTGAGACTCTGTCTCAAAAAAAAAAAAAAAAAAGTAAAAATAAGGTGATACATGTTGGTATCTTAATAGTAACTACACATATAAATTATTTCAATTTAATTTAATTTTATCTACCAACTTCTACCTTTCAGGTAACCACATTCCAATTAGGCATACAGTTTGGGCTATAAAACTAATAGTTAATATTAATTGAGCCTGTAATATGGTGTAGGTGCTGATCTAATTTGTGAGGCAGGTGCTGTTTTGGACATCCCTAGTAAAGCCCTGAGAGTTTAAAGTTACATGGCCAGTGAAGTCCAGAGCCAGGATTCAAACACAGGCAGTCTGGCCCAAGCCTAACCACTGCTCTGTAGAGCCCCTCAACTAAAAGAGGCTAATGAGCCAATAACGATGAATCTTGTGCCTTGAGAAATGAGGGTCAAAGCACAGTTCCTTACAGGAGCCAGGATTTCCATCATTTTTACAACAAAATCTTTCCTCCTTTGCTTTTAGCCCTATGGGGGAGCTAAATTTTAGTCAGAATTAGGCATTGAAAGAGAGACGAACGGCCGTGGTTATTCAAGTAGCCTAGACACCCCTAATATCTGCTCACACTGAAAGTCTGGTCATTAGTGCCAGCCTCTTCCTAATGGAGCAGCTGGTAAGGTTCACTGAGGACTTGTAATTTACTATTAAGGAATAAACATGAACTCCTTCACAAAAGATGAATTTTCTTTCTAATTGTCCATCAGTTACTTGCTCCTCCTGTCACTGTCTTAACTCAGTCCATAACTTTGGGCAGGTTAAATGCTTTATGCTTGTTCACCTTTGAAATGGCTTATTAATACCTGAGTGGAAGAAACACTATAAACACAAAATATTAATTATACTTACCTTCAGGATTATAAACATAACTAGATTCTTCAATGAGATGACATAAATTAACATTGATTCAGTGCTTTAAATTTTCACAATCTTATTTATGTACAATTGCAATGTCATTTTCATTCCTCAGTTGCAGAATCAGAGTCACAGTTTTGCAAAGTAACTTGCTTAAAGTTTCATGGCATAATATTAGTTGGGATTCCTAGCCTGGACTACTCTTTGTCCATATGTCCATATTCAAAGTTCTTTTTTTTTTTTTTTTTTTTGAGACAGGGTCTTGGTCTGTCACCCAGGCTGGAGTGCAGTGACATGATCAAAGCTCATTGCAGCCTCACCCCGCTGGGCTCAGGCAATCCTCGCACCTCAGCCTCCTGAGTAGCTGGAACTACAGGTGCACACCACCATGCCTAATTTTTTCATAATTTTTGTAGAGATGAGGTCTCACTAGATGCCCGGTTCTGGTCTTGAACTCTTGGGCCCAAGTGATCCACCCATCTTGGCCTCCCAAAGTTCTGGAATTACAGGCATGAGCCACCACATCCAGCTCATATTGAAAATTCAGAGAAAATTAACTCTTAGAGATGTCAAATCATTTTCCGAAGATTGTATGTTTATTAAGTGGCACAGAACCTAGTTTCTCTGACTCCAGAGCATTTCTAGGATTTCATTTTGATCTAAACCCTAGGGAATGGGAGAACATATGTAAAATATTTCTCTCACCTAAAAAGTAAAGCAAATAATGGCAATGTGCCATGAACAAGGAAGTTAGCTTAACCCTCTAAACCTGAGATCCAAAACTAAAAGGAAAAAAAAGGATATGACATGTTTCTGTTTCCATCATTAGGTTTTTCATTGCTTATACTCTGAAAATAATATGTTTATACTCTTTGTAATATTTATATTAATATGACAATATCTTTATATTACTCAGTAAAAGTACTGAGTAAGGCTGGGCGTGGTGGCTCCCACCTGTAATCCCAGCACTTTGGGAGGCCAAGGCAGGAGGATCACCTGAGGTCAGGAGTTGAAGACCAGCCTGGCCAACATGGCAAAACCCCAGCTCTACTAAAAATACAAAACTTAGCCAGGTGTGGTGGCAGGTGCCTGTAATTCCAGCTACTTAGGAGACTGAGGCAGGAGAAGCCCTTAAACCTGGGAAGCAGAGGTTCTGGTGAGCCAAGATTGTGCCATTGCACTCCAGCCTGGGCGACAGAGTGAGACTCTGTCTCAAAAAAAAAAAAAAAAAAAAAAAGTTAAAAAAATACTGAATAAGGGCATTGAATTATGGTTCAGTTGGCTTACTGTAATACTTCTCTTCATGTACAGTGTTTACTAACAACAGTGCTACATAACAATAATTAGAAAACCATCAGATGATAGCATGGAATGTTGGGTTTAGGTTACAAAATGATACTACAAAAACAGAAATGATATTTGTGTGTACACATACACAGATACAAGCACATACACAGGCACATAAAAAAATATGTATTTGTTATTCAAGTATAAGAATACAGGCAGCCAGGCATGGTGGCTCACGTCTGTGATCCCAGCACTTTGGGAGGTGAAAGAGGGCAGATTGCTTGAGTCCAGGAGTTCAAGAACAGCTTGGGCAACATGGTGAAACCCCATTTCTACTAAATATATATAAATTAGCTGGACATGGTGGCGTGAGCCTGTGGTCCCAGCGACTCAGGAAGCTGAAGTGGGAGGATTGCTCGTGCCCAGGAGGTGGAGGTTGCGTTGAGCACCACTGCACTCCAGCCTGGGCGACAGAGTGAGAGACCCTGCCTCGAACAACAACAACAAAAAAGAATACAGGCCACCTTTGTAAATATTCTGAATATCAGAACATAACTGCTTTCCAATTGAATAACATCTGGTTAAAAGTAAACACATTCTCATGAATTTATGCTTATCTGGAATCCAGAATGAGGTTTTAAAATATTGCAGCAACTGGGTGATGGTGGGAGAAAGTATGTCATTAGAATTGAATATGTGGCATAATTCTTAAGCTAAGTTTTAGGGCAATTAAGAAATAAGTGAGACTATCAGAATCAAGATATATTTATAACAGTAAAAATCAGAAGCTTTTCAGCTAAAACATTCTATGTACTAATACAAAATTATGCTTTTACCAAATCCTTTCCCTTACTCCAAATTTCTTTATTTAAGGTAGGGATCAAGGGGCACATATTTTCCACATTTGGAAAATATGTTCTTTGGTAACAAAGAAGAGATAATACATACTGTTTGTAGATCCCTGGACCTGCCACACAAACTGTTTGCAGGTCCCTGGACTGGCCGAGCTGCTTCATAAACCTTGCTTAAGCTGCCTTTGCTTATGCTACCCACTTGGCCTGGAAAGCCTTCCCTTTCCAGAAAAGTCCAGAAGAAACTGTTCCATATCCATTACTATTTCCTTCCCTTTCTCAAGAACTGATGATTTCCTTCATATGGCAAATCCTGTTTGCCTGACAGGTTGCTTCTCTAAGATTATTTATATCGGTTATTGTATTTACTTGATTACATGCTTCTGCCACATAGCTGGATTGTGAGCTCTTTTGAATGCTGGCATTTTGCAGACTCCTTGATCCTCTTCAAATATGTAGCTTTTTGAAGTATCATGAGGGCTAAGATCTTAGTTGAGTGCCAGAGCATTCCTATTTTAATAATAGCTACCTCCTTAGGAAACACTAGAATACTCAAAATTCTTTAATTAGCTGACCATTCTTTTTGTTGTTGTTAAGACAGGGTCTCATTCTGTTGCCCAGGCTGGACTGCAGAGACATGATCATAGCTCACAGTAGCCTCAAACTCCTGGACTCAAACAATCCTCCTGCCTCAGCCTCCTGAGTAGCTAGGATTACAGGTGCATGCCACCATGCCCAGCTACTTTTTGAAACTTTTTTTTTTGTAGCGACAGGGCCTCACTATGTTGTCCAGGCTGGTCTTGAACTCCTGGTCTCAAACCATCCTCCTGCCTCAGCTTTCCAAAGTTTTGGGATTATAGGTGTGAGCCACTGCATCCAACCCAGCTGGTCATTCTTAACTGGGCTCCTCCTGAGGTCAAGAACCCTCAGGAGCACTTTAACTCATGACTTCCAAAGTTTTGGGATTATAGGTGTGAGCCACTGCATCCAAACCAGCTGGCCATTCTTAATTGGGCTCCTCCTGAGGTCAAGAACCCTCAGGAGCACTTTAACTCATGAACTATCCCCAAACATATCTACTTTCTCTGTAAATGTTAACATTCTAATCTAGCTAACAAGCTCTAGTGAGCACAGTGAGTTTAAAGCTGTCCTCGCAAGGTTAACAAGAATTCTGGAGAGAAATATAGTTATAATTAAGCATTATCAGGCTGTACTTTGACCCACTTCCTTGTACCCAAAAGTCATCTAACACTAGATACTGACAACTTGCATTCCCATTTTTCCTATCAATAGGATTTCTGATGTTAGAATCATAAGGCTTTGTTTAAGAATTGCTTAAGCAGGTCACACGGATGGTCACGCCTGTAATCCTAGCACTTTGGGAGGCAGAGGCGGACGGATCACCTGAGGTCAGGAGTTCAAGACCAGCCTGGCCAACATGGTGAAACCCTGTCTCTACTACAAATACAAAAATTAGCCAGGCGTGGTGGTGGGTGCCTGTAATCCCAGCTACTCAGGAGGCTGAGGCAGGAGAATCACTTGAACCCAGGAGGCGGAGGTTGCAGTGAGCCGAGATGAAACCACTGCACTCCAGCCTGGGCGACAGAGCAAGACTTCATCTCAGAAAAAAAAAAAAAAAAAAAGAATTGCTTAAGCATAGCCTGAATTCCAGCAGAACAGCTGATGCCAATGAGTTTAAAGATCCTTCCCTAGGAACCACAGAGGAACTGAATCAGCATGATAATACAGTTTTTTCATCTCTCTGTCACATGATTTCACCCTGCACTCTTTCTTCAATCAATGATATCCATACTTCAGCCCAATCTAAAACCCTTAAAATTCCTAGCCCCCTCTTGCCTGACACCGTGTAAAATGTGACTTTGCCCCTCATTCACCTTCTGCCATGATTGCGAAGCCTCCCCAGCCATGTGGAACTGAGATTGAGTGTTTTGTGGGATCAAGCCCTGCTTTTCCCTTCGGTTTCTGAACTGCACCTCCTTGGCAGATTAAAGTAATGAAAGGGGTCAGAATCTACTGGTGTTAAGAAGTCAGCCTCAGCACTAAGAGAAAGAAGGAAGGCAGGAAGGCAGAAAGGCAGGCAGGTAGGCAATGAAAGCATTTTAAGAAATATTTATACGGCAAATATTACAGAGAAAAACCTCAAACCAAATTTTATTTCAAAAAATGTTGGAGGAAGTGTTATATATTTTTATGTGCTTAAGAAAACGGTTAAAAAGAATTTCACAGCATTGGGTCTATTAAGTACATTTATTCCAGTGATTTTCTGGATATTTCCAAGTTCCATTTAAAACAGAAGTCTCCTATCAAGCAATCCTTTGAAATTATTTATTCTTTTATGGTTGTAAAGAATGGAAATGTAATACTTTTAATGGAAACCCTAATAAACAGAAGAAAAAAAATCCTAGCCCCAAGCCCCTTGAGGAGATGGATTGAAGTTTCCTCCAATCCCCTCATTTGGCAGCCTTCTGATTAAACCTCTTTCTCTGCTGCAACATAGTGTCTCAGCATATTGACTTGCTGTGTACATCAGGAAATGGATCTATTATGGTTACAAGTTTTGCCATTTCTGGCAAGGGGTTATATTTTAGGGGTGAATTTAGTTATTTTTTTAACAGTGTAGTCTAAGTGACATTTTTCTGTTTTAATGTTAAAATATGACCCACGAACAAACAAGATTAAGTCTGGATTTTCTAAAGGAATTTCTAATCTATTTAATGCACAGATATTTCACAAACATAGGTTAGACAGTCAAGAATTTCCTTTTCTTCAGGTGATGGAAGGAAAGTAATAGGATTTTCCAAGATTATAACAATGATTAGAAATATGTAACAGAGAAGGTAATAGGATTTCATAAGAGATAAGCTTATTTACTAAGAAATGTTGTATATATTCAGTGAGAACCAAAGATTACACAGCGTGAGGGACCATGAAATTTAAAGGAGACTCCAAAAACAAAAACAATTGCTGAAGTCTCTGCTAGTTTAGCTGCTGCTGTGGCTACTCAGACTAACCACACAAAGCTACTGAAGGGCTCTTTTTGTTTTTTGTTTTTTTTGAGACAGAGTCTCACTCTGTTGCCCAGGCTGGAGTGCAGTGGCGCAATCTCGGCTCACTGCAACTTCCGACTCCCAGGTTCACGCCATTCTCCTGCCTCAGCCTCCTGAGTAGCTGGGACTACAGGTGCCCGCCACAATGCCCGGCTAATTTTTTGTATTTTTAGTAGAGACGGGGTTTCACCTTGTTAGCCAGGATGGTCTTGATCTCCTGACCTCGTGATCCACCTGCCTTGGCCTCTCAAAGTGCTGGGATTACAGGTGTGAGGAAGGGCTCATTTTTAACTCAAGAAAGACTCGTTCATATTTAGATTCCCAAAGAAGCGGTTTGTTACAAAGACTGGTTAACTCATATAGCTTCTTTGAACAGACACTTGTTGGAACTCACAAAATAATATCTGAGCCAAGAACAGTGGCTCTCACCTGTAATCCCAGGACTTTGGGAGGCTGGGGCAAGATGACTACTTGAGCCCAGGAGTTTAAAGTTTAAGACCAGACTAGGAAACATAGTGAAACCCTGTATCTACAAAAAATAAAATAAAAATTTAGCTGGGTGTGGTGGTATGTACCTGTAGTCCCAACTACTTGGGAGGCTAAGGTGGGAGGATTGCTTGAGCCCAGGAATTCGAGGCTGCAGTGAGCAACAGGGCGAGACCCTGTCTCAGAAAAAAAGAAAAAGAAAATGATACCCCAAAATATGGTGCTTTGACATGCTACACTGAAGAAGCAGACTTAAAGTCTATCTCTATGCTACCTCCCTGTCTCTCATTCTCTTTCCCAAAGCACCAAGAGGGACTCTCCTCTGGAATTTTCATATGGGACTAAGAAAAATTCTTCCAACAGAAATGCAATTGTCCCAGCCTGGCCAACATCTCTACTGAAACCCCGTCTGTACTGAAAATACAAAAATTAGCCAGGCACGATGGCACTTGCCTGTAATTCCAGCTACTTGGGAGGCTGAGGCAGGAGAATCTCTTGAACCTGGGAGGCAGAGGTTGCAGTGAGTTGAGATCGTGCCACTGCACTCTAGCCTGGGTGACAGAGTGAGACCCTGTCTCAAAAAAAAAAAAAAAAAAAAAGAAATGCAATTGACTTAAGAACCCCTCCCCAGGAATCTCATCAAATAACCAGGAAAAATTAGCCACCTAGAGAGGAGAAGCTACAAGGAATCACCACACCCAGACAGGCTTTTCGTCTGTTCATCTGAGGGCAGGGCCCACAGATTATGTGGAAGACTTTATCTGTGTAATGAGACAAGCTTTGTTTCTGTGCCATTCTGCCCCTCACCCTCCCATAACTTGCAACTCTTGGTCTCATCTACAAAATAGTCTCATTTACAAAATAGTATCTGCTGCCATAAATCTATATAAGCCTCGACCATCTGGCTCCTCTTCTAGTCTCATACTTTGTATATGGCTCCTGTATCCATATGCATGTTAGTAAGTTTTGCATGCCTTTTTCTCCTATTAATCTGCTTATTGTAAGTTAATTTTCAGTGAAAATGTAGAAGGCAGAGGGGAAGCTTTCCCTTGACTTCTACACACTGTTGGGCGCCCACTGCCTGAAAAAGCCAATGTCAACTAGGAGTCTTCTTAATTGTGTCTTAGTTAGTGGCTTAGCAAAGTTTCAAATGGCCTATAATCTGTCAGAAGGATTTATCTCCTTGGGATGTGCTATGGTCTGAATGTTTCTGTACCCCCCAAAAACCGTATATGTTGAAATCCTAAGCCCCAAGGTGATGGTGTTAGATGATAGGGCCTTTGAAGTCATGAGGTCATTTGGGCTGAGCCCTCATGAATGAGATTAGTGCCTTTTTTTTTTTTTTTTTTTTTTTTTGAGATGGAGTCTTGCTCTGTCACCCAGGCTGGAGTGCAATGGCGTGATCTCAGCTCACTGCAACCTCTGCCTCCCAGGTTCAAGCGATTCTCCTGCCTCAGCCACCCGAGTAGCTGGGATTACAGGCGCCTGCCACCATGCCTGGCTAATTTTTTTTTTGTATTTTTAGCAGAGACGGGGTTTCACTATGTTGGCCAGGCTGGTCTCGAACTCCTGACCTCAGGTGATCCACCCGCCTCGGCCTCCCAAAGTGCTGGGATTACAGGTGTGAGCCACTGCACCTGGCCATTAGTGCCTTTATAAAAGAGATACAAAACAGATGCAATGTTATGTGCCTGTAGTCCTAGCTATCAGGGAGGCTGAGTCAGGAGGACGCTTGAGCCCTGGAGTTTGAGTCCAGCCTGGGCAAGATAGTGAGACCCCATTTCTAAAAAACTCTATGTAAGGAAAGTTTGGTTTAAAAATAAAAAAAGACACAGAGAGACCCTTGCCCCTTCCACCATGTAAAGACACATGGAGAAGGCACTATGAAGTGAAGTGAGAATGAGGGCCCTCAGCAGACACTGAATCTGCCTTAATCCTGGAATTCCCAGTCTCCAGAACTGTGAGAAATAAATTTCTGTTTTTTATAAGCTATCTAGTTTATGATATTTTGTTATAGCAGATTGAACCAACTAAGGATAAATCATGTCCTAGCTAATGAACTTTACTTTTATAAAATTATAACTTCTCTTTGGAAACCTTATGGCATTTCTGAGCTAAAACAGCAAGTAAAGAGATGGAATCAGTCTTAGGATTTACCTCATCTTTAGAACACAACAAAAAGTAATCTACATTTGGGGTTTATGTTGTTTATCTTTGTTGTTGTTGTTTATTTGTTTTTTTACTTAAACATAGCATCTTATTATGTTGCCCAGGCTGGTCTCGAACTCCTGGTCTCAAGCAATCCTCCCACCTCAGCCTCCAGAGTAGCTGGGACTACAGGCATGCACCACCACACCTGGCTTCCATTTTGAATACAGGTAGAATCACTGAGAAACTTACATTCTTTGAATTCTTGGTTAAGGAATTGTGAAAAGTAGGAGTGTACCTCAATAAAATTCTAGGCGTAGTTGCCCAGGACTATTGTTGATTTTCCCAGGAAAAGGCAAACAAATATAAACTCTTGATCTAAAATATCAAGGGGCTGGGCATGGTGATTCACACCTGTAATCCCAGTATTTTGGGAGGGTGAGGCAGGAGGACTGCTTGAGGCCAGCAGTTCAAGACCAGCCTGAGCAACCTGGTGAGACCCCATCTCTATGAAAAAATTTCAAAAATTAGCCAGGTGTGGTGGCATGTGCCTGTAGTCCCAGCTACTCAGGAGCCTGAGGTAGGAGATTGCTTGAGCCCAGGAGGTTGAGGCTGCAGTGAGCCAAGATAATGCCACTGCATTCCAGCCTGGGTAACAGAGTGAGACCCTTTCTCTAAATTAAGTAATTAATTTTAAAAAATAGCAAACAGTGGAATTTCCTGGGAGAACCATCAACTCTTTAATAGAAGTTATCAAATAGCTTACATCCCAAATCTCACCACAAAATTCTTACCTTGCTGTGTCTACCAATTCTAAACTATAAATCCATTTAATTCATGTAATGATCTATATCTAATCCTAGTCAACACCATCACACATACTGGAATTAAAAGGTTTGCCTTAAATCAAATTTCAACATCTCAATAAATATCCCAACTCTGTTCTTCCTTCTCTGAGACACTATTAAGACTGTTGAAGTAGTGTTCTCTCTCACTACAGTAAGCAATAAACAACTTTGTCTTATTAACAGGTTGATTAGGTGATTTGGGGGAGCCAGCTTTCGACAGTCCCTGAAGATCAAGGATTATTTCTTATTTATTTCCGTGTTTTATAACATCTAGTAAAGCATAAGATGCTTACTAAACATTTATTTATTTATTTACTGAGACAGGGTCTCAATCTGTTGCCCTTGCTGGAGTGCGGTGGTGTGATCATGGCTCACTGCTGCCACAGCCTCCCAGGCTCAAGTGATCCTCCCACTTTAGCCACCCAAGTAGCTAGGAATACAGACACGTGCCACCATGCCTGGCTAATTTTTTATTTTTTGTAGAGACAGGGTCTCTCTATGTTGCTCAGGCTGGTCTCAAACTCCTGGGCTCAAACGATCCTCCTGTCTTGGCCTCCCAAAGTGCTGGAATTTACAGGCATGCACCAACATGCCCAACCAGTAAATACCGTAAAATGTTGCAAATCAGTATTTGCTGAATGAATGGATGATTGCAACATTTTGAGCTCTAGAATGTTGAGCAAGTTGGCAAGGCTTTCTGAGAGGAGTTGGTTCTCCTAAGAGGTGTTACCACTCTAGGAAGCCTAAGGATTACAGTTGTTAGATTTAACATATGAAAATATAGCAAGTTGGAGCAAAGAGGATTTTTAGGGAAGTGATATTACCCTGCATGATGCTGTAACAGTGGGTATATTATCATTATACTGTCGATGAAAAGAGTCAAACTATGTAACATATTTGAAGAGATTTATTCTGAGCCAAGTATGAGTGACCATGGCCCATGGCATAGCCCTTAGGAGATCCTGAGAACATATGCCCCAGGTGGTTGGGGCACAGCTTGCTTTTATACATTTTGGGGAGACATGAGACTTTAATCAAATACATTTAAGAATGGCTGGACAAGCTGAAGCAGGGCTTCCAGCTTACAGGTAGATTTAAAAATTTTCTGGTTGACGCCAGGTGCAGTGGCTCACGCCTGTAATCCCAGTACTTTGGGAGGCCGAGGCTGGCGGGTCACCTGAGGTCAGGAGTTCGAGACCAGTCTGGCCAACATGGTGAAACCCTGTCTCTACTAAAATTACAAAAATTAGCCGCTTGTGCTGTCACCCAGCCTGGGTGACAGACCGAGACTACATCTCAAAAAAAAAAGAAAAAAATTCTGGTTAACAATTTGTTGAGTTTATATAAAGACCTGGGATTAACAGAAAAGAATGTCTGGTTAAGGTAAGAGGTTGTGGAGAGGAAGCCTTCAAATAGCAGGCTTTAGAGAGAATCAGTTGTAAATGTTTCTTATCAGACTTCAAGGTCTGTGTTATTAATTCCGGAAAGGTATAATGAGGTATGTCCAATCCCCACTTCCCATCATGGCCTAAACCAGTCTCTCAGGTTAAATTTTAAGAGTGCCCTGGCTGAGAAGGAAGTCCATGCGGATGGTTGGGCATCTTAGAATTTTATTTTTGGTCTACAATACATTTGTCCAAACCTGTGGAATGTATAATACAACACCAAGAGTGAACCCTAATGTAAACTATGGTCTCCTGGTGATAATGATGAATCCAAGAGCATCAGTTGTAATAAATGCACCACTCTGGTTGGGGATATTGATACTTGGGGAGGCTGTGCTTGTGTGGGAGAAGGAAATTTACAGCAAATCTCTGTACTTTACCTTTCAATTTTGCTGTACACCTAAAACTGCTCTAAAAAATAAAATACATTTTAAAAATACAGGAGGCCCAGTTAAATCCGAATTTCAGAGGCCAGGCATGGTGACTCACACTTATAATCCCAGCACTTTGGGAGGCCAACATGGTGAAACCCTGTCTCTACTAAAAATACAAAAATTAGCCACTGTGGTGGCGCACACCTGGAGTCCCAGCTACTCGGGAGGCTGAGGCAGGAGAATTGCTTGAACTTGGGAGGCAGAGGTTGCAGTGAGCGGTGATCGCTCCAGTGCCCTCCAGCCTGGGTGACAGAGGGAGACTCTGTCTCAAAAAAAAAAAAATTTGAATTTCAGACAAACAACAAATAATTTTTAGTAAGAAGTATATCCCATGCAATATTTAAAACTTATTAAAAAAATTATTCTGGGCGGGGCATGGTGGCTCATGTCTTGTAATCCCAGCACTTTGGAAGCCAAGGTGGGCCGATCACCTAAGATCAGGAGTTTCGAGACTGGCCTGGCCAACATGGCAAAACCTTGTCTCTACTGAAAATATGAAAATTAGCTTGGTGTGGTGGCATGCACCTCTAGTCCCAGATACTCAGGATGCTAAGGCAGGAGAATTGTTTGAACCTGGGAGGCGGAGGTTGCAGTGAGCTAAGATCTCACCCCTACACTCCATCCTGGGCGATAGAGCAAGACTCTGTCTCAAAAAAAAAATTATTCTGAAATAATCTGAAATTCAAATTTGACTGGGATTCCTGTATTTTATCTGGCAATCTTACTTAGGATATGTGTGGAGCAATTTTGGTGACATATTGTAAGATGGGGGACAGTGGGGAAGTGGAATGTGTGTATACTACTGGTTATGGACTAGTCCCACACAGTGAACTGTCCCACCAAATGCCAATAGTACTACTTGTGAAAAATGACAGGCTTGTTGAGGAGGATAAAAACTTTTCCTCTACCCTCTTAGGTACATCAATGGGGACCTTTCTTTTTTTTGTTTTTGTTTTTACTTTTGCTCCACACATACAGAGAAGCTTCTCTAGTAATGATCTATAGAAATTATCCCTGATAGCATAGCAATGATCTATAGAAATTAGTAATGATCTATAGAAATTATCCCTGATAGCATAGCAATGATCTATAGAAATTAGTAATGATCTATAGAAATTAGTAATCATCTATAGAAATTATCCCTGGTAGCATAGTTTTAGGGCCTTTCAATTAGTAATGATCTATAGTAATGATCTCTAGTAATGACCTATAGAAATGATCATTTCTATATTAATGATTTACAGAAATGATCTATAGAAATTATCCCTGATAGCATATTAATGATCTATATAAATTAGGTAATGATCTATAGAAATTATCCCCGATAGCATAGTTTTAGGGCCTTTCAATTAAACTGACAAAAGGCAGATTAAGACGGGGAATGAGGCTGGCTACGGTGGCTCACGACTGTAATCCCAGCACTTTGGGAGGCCGAGGCGGGCAGATCACCTGAGGTCGGGAGTTCGAGACCAGCCTGACCAACATGGAGAAACCCTGTCTCTACTAAAAATACAAAATTAGCCAGGCCTGGTGGCACATGCCTGTAATCTCAGCTACTCGGGAGGTTGAGGCAGGAGAATTGCTTGAACCAGGGAGGCGGACGTTGCAGCGAGCCGAGATCGCACCACTACACTCCAGCCTGGGTGACAGGGCGAGACTCCGTCTCAAAAAAAAAAAAAAAAAAGAAACATCCCAGGCTAATTTGTTTCAGATGCAGATACCCAGGCTCTTGGCCTCCTGCGCATCTGGGAGAATTCCAGGAAGAGTTAGCCACTACTACAAAAAATCTGCAGTCCTCCCAAACTCAGTAGAATCTAAAACACAGAGCTACCTTAATCAGATTTATTTTCATAACCAGGTTCATGTTTTGGTTTTTGAAGTTTTGCTTGCTATTCAAGTGTGCTACTCACATCTCAAATCTTTGTTCTCAGCTTCTCAGCTTTGTGAGTTTAAATGAAATCTGTTCATATCTGACGTTCCTCAAGCAAATATTTCTTGGTTTTATTATCCTTTTTCCCAATGAATAATACAGCAGACAGTTTGGTTGCCTATCCAACAGCCATTTCCAGCCCCTCCTTTCATGCACTTCTTTTTCTAAGGCTAAAAAACCTAATTTTTCACTTCGCCATCCACCCTTGAAACTAGGGGTTTGCAATGTGGCCCACTTCTGGCCATTGATGTATAATAGGAAGTTTGCTTGGTAACTTCCTAGAAAGATTTTTCTTCCTGATAAAAGAAAAGTAGAAAGTGAGAAGCATGCCTTTTTCCTTCCCCACCTTCCTGCTTTTCTGTATGTTGTGTGGTGAGAACAAAACATTTGGTGCTTCTATAGCCAATGTGTGCCCATCAGGGGTAAGCCTACACTTTGCTGCTGAACAATTCTGGAACTATCTTTATTGTATGACTCAATTGTATGTCTTTATTTTTATTTTTATTTTTCAGAGATGGGGTCTTGCTATGTTGCCCAGGCTGGTCACAAACTCCTGTCCTGGGCTCAAGGGATCCTCCTGCCTCAGCCTCCTCTGGCATACATAGCTGGGAATATAGGCACATGCTACAACCTAATAATAAATATTTATAAAATATATATTTAATAATAACATATTATAATAATATATATTTAATAATAAATATTTTTTATTTAAGCCACTGCTAGTTGCCTAGTCTGTTATGTACAGCCTAACACATATAATATAAATATTATTTATGCATTTGAATATTTAATATAGCCATCATGTTTGCATTTGTTGATTAGTAAATATATGGTTACACTTCATTTGTTCCCTTTCTGGAATGACTGCTAGAAAGTTGAACAGGTTGTATGGAAACCTTTGGAGCAATCTAATATTTCAATTAAAAAGGAAGAGAGAAACATACAGACTACTACATTCACTCTGTATAGAAACATCATTAAAGAGATCCATAACCAGGAATTGCCATCGTAATATGAATGTGACTTTTAAACCCAATACTTTCCTAATTCTAGTCCATCTCTTACATTCTCTGCTGTTTAAAAATAGCTTTATTGAAAGATAATTCACATACTATACAATTCACAGTTCCTCTTTGAAAAGAATTTGCATCCTACTTTGTAGAATGAAGACTATCAAGTTTAACCTTTCTGACTAGATAGTCTCTATCTCTACATTTACCATGTCCAAGACCAATCCCTCCACCCTTGATTCCTTATCTCCTCTGTGTTTACTCCATCAGGAGTCTTTAGTGTCCTTCCATTTATATAAGGAGCTACTTCTTAGATAGGCCTTTCCAAAGGAGGCATAGCAGTGGGGTGTGACACAAATGGGGTTAGCTAAGGCCTGTGGTCAGACAGTAAGAGGTCTGTGCAGGGCAAGATTACTGACTAGACCCAGGCAGCAGGGCTTGGCAAGTTTAGGAGACCAAACAGGCTTTAAAGCTTCTTTTAAAGGTAGCAATCAAGGTCAGAGAAGCAAAGTAATTAGACTTTTCAAAACAGTAGTCCTGAGCCACTGCTAGAAAGGACTTGTTCTCTGCAGCCTAGGAAGCCACTGCCTTTTTATCTATTGTAGTGTAGGTATTCTCCAGTCAGCACCTTTCCCTGTGAGAGCCTTGTAGATATTAGGGCAATTTAAAAACTTCTTAGTCTCTAAAAAACAACCAAACAAATATATTTAAAAAGAAAGATTGAAGGAAAGGAAAAGAAAGATACTATCTTCATCTATTCAAGAGTTCTCAGTCTCCAGGTCAGATTCAAGCCTCCGATTGAGTCCCTCATGGCAAGCTAATTCTTCAGAGTCTTGTCATTTTCTTCATAGATTTCTTATTTCAGGAACCCGCTTGAGAAAAGGGCAAAAAGTAAGTAAAAGGGCAAAGACAATTTACACAGTGAAGGTCTCCTTATGTCTTCATCATCTAATCTAACATTGATAACCTCCACTTTACCAAAGTACATTTCTGACAGTCACTAATGACTTTCTAAAATCCTAAATCCGATGTTCTCTTAGACTTCAATTCTTTTTACTCTCTGAGCAGCAACCTTTTCCCCCCCCCAGGCACTTCCTAAAATCATTATTCCTCAATGCCCCTCCCATCCACCTGACTGCGTTAGAAGAGTTGAACCCTTGACTACTAATATTGGGTAGTCACTAAGCTTTAGTTCTCAGTTCTCTACTCCACTTTCTTCACCTTCTCCCTTGGAAATCTCCTCCATTCATGACGCTAAACTCTTGACAGAAGATAGCTCTTGGTTTTGTATTACCTGCTCTGACAGCATTCCTGAGCCCCAATCCCATCTTCCCAACTATCTTCTGTAATAGACGCCCCATGATTACTTCAACTTCTAATGCTGAAATTAGTCTTAGCCTTACCTACCCAAAATGGCTTATCCTACTATTTTCTCCCTATCTTACTACATTAGTAAAATACCATTTCCTTAGTCATCCAACCCTGCTAATTAGTGGCTAGTTTCCACTACTACTTTTCTTTTCTCTCTCTTTTTTTTTTTTTTTTTTTGAGATGGAGTTTCACTCCTGTTGCCCAGGCTGGAGTGGAATGGCACGATCTTGGCTCACTGCAACCTCTGCCTCCCGGATTCAAGTGATTCTCCTGCCTCAGCCTCCAGAGTAACTGGGATTACAGGTGCCTGCACCATGCCCTGCTAATTTTTGTATTTTTAGTAGAGACAGGGTTTCACCATGTTGGCTAGGCTGGTCTCAAATTCCTGACCTCAGGTGATCCACCCACCTTGGCCTCCCAAAGTGCTGGGATTACAGGTATGAGCCACCGCGCCCAGCTTCCATTACTTTTCTAAAAGAAATCTTCAAAATGTTTTCCCTCTTTTTTTTCCAGGATAAAAACCTTTTCTAGAAAAAATATTAAGCAAACAAATGTAATATGTCAGACACCAGACTGCATTATCTATAATAAAAAATTAGAAATATGTAAAACTACCATCATATATTTTAACATTTCGTTTTTTAAAAATAGAGATGAGGTCTCTCTCTATGTTGCCCAGGCTGGTCTTGAACTCCTGGTCTCAAGCTATCCTGCCTTGCCCTTCCAAATTGCTGGGATTATAGGCATGGGCCACTCTGCTTGGTCAAAATATTTCATTTTAAAGAACACAAGCTTGAGGGTGAGATTTTTTTTCTTCCCAGAAATATATATATAGTAGAGCAAAAATTACTTTTTCACTTACAGCAAAAGATGTTTCTTTTATCTACCTTTAGTTCTTTAGATTTAGAGAGCAAAAGACCCTACTTACTAAAAATCCATTATTGTTTAATTAAAGCAGTATGTGCAAACCTGGAGCTTTCTCTCTTTGGATGCTTTAAATCCAGGAATTATAACCAAAAGCCTCTGCACAGAGAATATGGAAGTGTTCTTCTAGAATACAGGGAAAGGTATTGTGGATATTTGCATTTGTAGCAATTTCAGTGACAGAAATGAGTGTTTTCAGAAAGCTGCTTACTGAATTTCTTTCTTAAAAAAGTTTTCTCTTTTTTTTCCTTCTGCTGTACAGGGAATGAAAACTCAGCAGGTGAAAGATTAAGCAATTCACCCATTCCTCAACTCTGCTTTCTTCTATTCATTCAGAACTCTGTTACATATTTTTCTGTAGAATTTTCACCTTGTGTCTATACTTTTGTTTTTAAAAATCCTTTTCTGGCTGGGCGCGGTGGCTCATGCTTGTAATCCCAGCACTTTGGGAGGCCAAGGCGGGCGGATCACGAGGTCAGGAGATCAAGACAATCCTGGCTAACACAGTGAAACCCATCTCTACTAAAAATACAAAATATTAGCCGGGTGTGGTGGCGGGCGCCTGTAGTCCCAGCTACTTGGGAGGCTGAGGCAGGAGAATGGCGTGAACCTGGGAGGCGGAGCTTGCGGTGAGCCGAGATGGTGCCACTGCACTCCAGCCTGGGCAACAGAGCAAGAATCTGTCTCAAAAAAAAAAAAAGTTTAAAAATCCTACTGCTGGCAATTAAAGTTAGTTTTGTCAAGTTATGTATTAAGCACCTTTCAGGAATCATATTCTTGCTTTTCTCTAATCTCTAGTGTTCTCTCTGTTAATTCATATGCTTAATACTTTCTAAAGATGCAGAAAAACTGGAATTCTCATGTTGGTGGGAATTTAAGTTATCATGTGTTAGTCTTGTTATCCAAAGTGACAGAAATGGAATTCAAGCGAACTTAAGAAAAAAAAAGTAGGTAGAGGTTGGGCATGGTGGTTCACACCTGTAATCCCAACACTTTGGTAGGCCAAGGAGGGAGGATTGCTTGAGGCCAACATAGCATGACTCATCTCTCTCTCTCTCACTATATATATATATATTATATATATATAATATATATATTTTATATATTATATATTAAATATATATAATATATATATTATATATATTATATATATATTTTATATATTATATATTAAATATATATAATATATATATTATATATATATTTTATATATTATATATTAAATATATATAATATATATTATATATTAAATATATATAATATATATTATATATTAAATATATATAATATATATATTATATATTAAATATATATATTATATATATAATATATATATTATATATATATGTAAAGTAGGTGGGGAGGATTTTGTGCTCACATAATTGGGTAGGATGGACATTAAACAGGACTGGACCAAGAGTTCAAGTGAGGTTGTCATGGCTTCCCTTTACTCCCTGTAGTAAATATCAAAAATGGAGTTCAGCTCTACTTTTCTTTCTTCATTCTTCCTAAAACACTCAAGGGTCATTTATGTTCAGGGACAATGTTTAATTACTTCAAAAATGCAAGAGTTCCCTGATAGATGCAGCAGAAAATCCTGGAGAAAGATTCTGATTGACCCAGCTGGGGTTCATCCCTGAGTCAATTACAGTAGCTAGGGAAACAGAGGTGAGGCAGTATAGACCTGCCTGGGAAAGGGCATGTGTTCTGTGTTGCCAGACATAATGGACTTAAATCCCAGCTAGCTGTGTGACCTTGGGAAATTACTGCCCTTTACTGTTTTCGTTTCCTTATCTGTAATCTAGGGATTATATTGTAAAGATTACATTCTGTGTAGAAATACACAGAACAATCCCTGGCAAGCAGAATATATTGCATAAATCTTACCGAGTAGTTTTATTATCGGTCATGTGTCTTTCCTTGTGGTTTGAGTGGGAGGGGTTGCTATGAGTAGGAGGTGGTAGTGGAGATGGAGAACAGTGTAGAGGGTTCGTTTTTTCTCTTGTATAGAGGCAGTATACTATAACAGTTAAGAACTTCTCCCTCTACCCCTTACTATGTGACTTGGGCAAGGAAATTTACTCTGTCTCAGTTTCCTTACTTGTACAAGTTAGAAAATAATAGGGGAAAATAATGGGGGAGGAGGGAATAATAGTATCTATCTCTTCAGGTTGACATGAGAATTAAATGAGTCAATACAGAATGCTTAGAATAGTACTTTACTAAATATTCACTTGATGTTAATGACTACAATGATTACACAATTGATATTTCTTTTTAATTTGCCCACGGTATCTAACTGGTATCTATACTGCTAGACTTGGTTCCCATGTCCCACTTTGTGAAATGTGTAGGATTTATGTAATCTACTTCTAATGAGCTCTCTGATACTTGCCAGACTTATAATCCTCTTCACATGGGAATTACTACTGGAATTTGGACCGTTCCCTTAATTCAGTGTAGGGCCCTGGAGCCTATGTGTTTGCTAACGAGAGGTAGCCCAGGTTGTGGTTGTTCATTTCTCTTTTTATTCATCTCTCTTGTCAAACTAAAACAAAAGAAGCTGAGCCTCAGAATTAATATAGAGTATATTTGGGCCAAAGTAGAGAACAGCTGCCTGGGACACACTTCCAAATTGTCTTGGGAAGTGCTCCGTTCAGACCTTTGCTACAAGCAGATTTTTTTTTTTTTTTTTTTTTTGAGACAGAGTCTCACTCTGTCACCCAGGCTGGAGTGCAGTGGCGCGATCTCCGCTCACTGCAAGCTCCGCCTCCTGGGTTCACGCCATTCTCCTGCCTCAGCCTCCCGAGTAGCTGGGACTACAGGCGCGTGCCACCACGTCCGGCTAATTTTTTTGTATTTTCAGTAGAAACGGGGTTTCACTGTGTTAGCTAGGAGGGTCTCAATCTCCTGACCTCGTGATCCGCCCACCTTGGCCTCCCAAAGTGCTGGGATTACGAGCGTGAGCCACCGCGCCCGGCGCTACAAGCAGATTTTTGAAGGCAAAAAGAGGATAAGGAGTGGGCTTATACAAAATTGTTTGTCAGGAATTCTCATCAGTTCACAGAAATAACATTGATTAGTGATTGGCTATACATTATTGAGCTACAGTGTGTGGGTTATACTGTCCAGAATGTGGCATTGTTAGATTAATTTATAGTTACTTGTAGAAACAGCGAATATAGCTAGTAGTTTCTTTTTTTTTTTTTTTTTTTGAGATGGAGTCTCACTCTGTTGCCCAGACTGGAGTGCGATCTTGGCTCACCACGATCTCCAGCGGGTTCAAGCGATTCTCCTGCCTCAGCCTCCCCAGTAGCTGGGATCATAGGCGGCTGCCACTACTATGCCTGGCTAATTTTTGTATTTTTAGTAGAGACAGGTTTCATCATGTTGGCCAGGCTGGTCTCGAACTCCCAACCTCAGGTGATCCACCCACCTCGGCCTCCCAAAGTGTTAGGATTACAGGCGTGAGCCTCCGTGCCCAGCCACGAAAGCAGTTTCAAGAGATTACATAGTTCAAGGAGAGAAATAGGATATGAATGGTGTCTCATTTTAATGCCTTCCTGGGCCTGATAATTTAAAAGGGCTTACATTCCTCATATAAAAAGTGTGTGTGACCAGGCATGGTGACTCACACCTACAATCCCAGCACTTTGGGAGGCCGAGGTGGGTGGATCACTTGAGCCCAGGAGTTCGAGACCAGTCTGGGCAACACGCCAAAACCCCGTCACTACAAAAAATACAAAAATTTGCTGGGCTTGGTGGCGCGTACCTGTGGTCCCAGCTACTTGGGAGGCTGAGGCGGAAGGATCACCTGAGCCTGCCAGGAGGTCAAGGCTGCAGTGAATCGTGATGGTGCCACTCCACTCCAGCCTGGGTGACAGAGTGAGATTCTGTCTCAAGAAAAAAAAAAAAAGTGTGTGTGTGTGTGTGTGTGTGCACGTGTTTATAATTCTTTTTTCTTTGTCACTCTCTAGCAGCTATTTCCACTTCCCTCAGGCAGAAGAGATAAAAAATAAGAATATACGGTAGTTCCAGTTCACATCTTTTTTTTTTTTTTTTTTTTTTTGAGACGGAGTCTCGCTCTGTCTCCCAGGCTGGAGTGCAGTGGCGCGATCTCGACTCACTGCAACCTCCACCTCCCGGGTTTTACACCATTCTTCTGCCTCAGCCTCCCGAGTAGCTGGGACTACAGTCATGCACCACCTACGCCCAGCTAATTTTTTTTGTATTTTTAGTAGAGATGGGGTTTCACCGTGTTAGCCAGGGTGGTCTCGAACTCTTGATCTTGTGATCCGCCCGCCTCGGCCTCCCAAAGTGCTGGGATTACAGGCATGAGCCACCGTGCCCGGCCTGTTCACATCTTTCTAAATTTGGATTATTTGTACAAATTCTTTTTTTTTTTGAAACAGGGTCTTCCTCTGTAACCCAGGCTAGAGTGCAGTGGTGCCAATCATGGAACATCGCAGCCTCAATCTCTTGGGCTCAAGCGATCCTCCTACCTCAGCCTCTGAAGTAGCTAGGACTACAGGCATGCGTCACTACCCCAGGCTATCAAATATCTATTTAACCTATACTATTCCTGATGAATTTTGCTGTAGGCAAGGTTGCTCTTGGCGGTAGAGGCAAGTTTCCAGAGCAACTAACATCTTCGTTGCAGAGACCCTCATATTATTTTTATGAGATAATGAGGTTAGAATGCTTGTGAAATTAAAGCAGCATACTCCCCTTGATTTAGGCTTAGTTATGAGACTAAGAATTTCCCTTACTGCTAACTTCCCTCATCTATCGGTGTTGGCAGTGGGGACTGAAGCCCCTATAGGTGGATCTAGTGACAGAGGCCCTGGGAGAATAGGGATTTTTTTTTTTTTTTTTTTTTGAAAGGAAGTCTCGCTCTGTTGCCCAAGCTGTAGTGCAGTGGAGTGATCTCGGCTCACTGCAACCTCCGCCTCCCAGGTTCAAGCGATTCTCCTGACTTAGCCTCCCAAGTAGCTGGGACTACAGGCACGTGCCACCACACCCTGATAATTTTTTGTTTGTTTGTTTGTTCATGAGACGGAGTTTCACTCTTGTTACCCAGGCTGGAGTGCAATGGCATGATCTTGGCTCACTGTAACCTCCACCTCACAGCTTCAAGCGATTCTCCTGCCTCAGCCTCCAGAGTAGCTGGAATTACAGGCACCTGCCAGCACTCCTGTCTAATTTGTTGTATTTTTAGTAGAGACAGGGTTTTACTGCGTTGGCCGGGCTGGTCTCAAACTCCTGACCTCATGATCCATCTGCCTCGGCCTCCCAAAGTGCTGGGATTACAGGCATGAGCCACCGCCCCCAGCCCTAATTTTTGTATTTTTTAGTAAGACAGGGTTTTGCCATGTTGGTCGCTGGACCTCAGGTGATCCGCCCGCCTGGGCCTCCCAAAGTGCTGGGATTACAGATGTGAGCCACTGCCCCCGGCCAAGAATAGGGATTTAGATTGGTCTATTTGGGGTGGGGGAGGAGGGTAATGACAAGGATTTCAAGAAATCAAGAGTGGGCAAGAGGCATGATTATTTCCCAATCTGAGCTAGCTTCCTATATGCTCCTTTTCTTTCCAAGAATCTCAGAATTTGGCCTGCTTGGGTTTCTTTAAACTATCACCACCCACTGACTCTTATAAAATTCCCCCTCTTCTTGAGATCGCGCCACTGCTCTCCAGCCTGGGTGACAGAGCAAGACTCTGTCCCAAAAAAAAAAAAAAAAATTCCCCCTCCTCTTGAAGACTAGCATTGAAAACCAAAACTTATCTTTGGCCTGCCAATCTCAGAAACCACATGGCACGTCGGTTATGTAAGACATCTTGCTGCTAGTAATAATGCAAACTATACAATAAAAGACTTCCTTTATTTTATTTTTAATTTTTTATTTGGTTTTTAAGAGACGTGATCTATTTTACCTAGACTGGACTTGAACTCCTGGACTCTCAACGATTCTCCTGCCTTAGCCTCTTGGGTAACTGGGACTACTGGCGCTGCATACAGCAAGACTTTTTTTTTTTTTTTTTTGTAGAGCCATCCTTTCTCTCTTATTTTTTTTTAGAAACTAAAAAAGAAAACCACCAAAGCACACAGTCAGTGAGCATTCAAAGGATGGAAGGATATAATTCAATTATAGTTGAGGGGATAATTAGACTCAATAATTCTCCGGGATTTTTTTTTTTTTTTTAAGACAAGGTCTATCGCCCAGGTTAGAGTACAGTGGCGTGATCATAGTTCACTGCAACCTGGAACTCCTGAGTTCAGGGATCTTCCTGCCTCAGCCTCCCAAAGCGCTGGGATTGCAGGTGTTAACCACTGCACCAGGCCCTTCTCCTGGATTTCTTGGATTAGCAGGTTGATTTGTGAGCCTTTGGTAGAAGGAATGTGGAGACTTTGAGCAAGTGGAATGGAGGCATGCAGTGCTGCCTTCTAGACCCGCAGTAAGGAAACAGGAACAGGAGGATGAGGGGCAAACAACCTAAAATTTACTTTCACCTCCTCCACCTTCTTATTAATCTTCCCATAAGGTCAGAGTCATGTCAAAGTTGCACAATAAATCAGGAATAGATTTAGGATTCGACAGAACCTTAGTAGGGGAATTTTATGACATTAGGAGATGATCTGTGAGGGGCAGCATCTTGGAGGCAAAGGGAATTTTGTTTGTTTGTTGTTTTTTGTTTTGTTTTGTTTTGTTTTTGGGATGGAGTCTTGCTCTGTCGCCCAGGCTGGAGTGCAGTGGCGCAAGCTCTGCTCACTGCAAGCTCCGCCTCCCGGGTTCACGCCATTCTCCTGCCTCAGCCTCCTAAATAGCTGGGACTATAGGTGCCCGCCACCACGCCTGGCTAATTTTTTTTTCTGTATTTTCTGTAGAGACGGGGTTTCACTGTGTTAGCCAGGACGGTCTTGATCTCCTGACCTCATGATCTGCCCGCCTTGGCCTCCCAAAGTGCTGGGATTACAGGCGTGAGCCACCGCGCCCCGCATCTTGTTGCTCAGTTTTATTCTAATACGTGGAATGCTCTTCAAAACTAACAAATGGGCAAAATAGAATGAGTAAACATGTTAAATTATGAACCAGCCACAGAATTTATGTGGGAGCCACACAAGTACAACAATCCTGGTTCTGGGTCTAAAATATAAAATTAAAAAGCACTTGAAGTATAATTTGAAATAATAAAAGACAAACTGTAGGTATGTTAGACCTCAAAAAATAAGTATATTTTAAAAAAAGACAAATTAAGTTTTGTCCCTTATCTTATGAAAAGCCTGGAATACATAATGAAATTCATTTTTTAAATAAGTTTCGGGTTTTTTTTTTTTCCCCACATCAGATGGGTAATGTGCAGATGATGGCGCAACAAGGTTTGAGGGAGGGACGTCTCACACAAGTGTGAACACACAATCATCCCACTTATGAACTAAAAAGTATCTCGTAAGTAGCTTTTTATTGTCAGACAAAGTAAATGTACATTGCAAAAAATGTAGTAAAAATAAAAGGAAATAAATTTACTAGTACTCGTCCCACCCTAGTATTATTATAGTTTGAAGTCTTCATACTACAACAAAAGGGGGAGTTTCTTTATTTTCTTTTCTCTCTTTTTTTTTTTTTTTTTTGACTTTCTCTCTTGTTGCCCAAGCTGGAGTGCAATGACACGATCTTGGCTCACTGCAACCTCCGTCTCCCAGGTTCAAGCGATTCTCTCGCCTCAGCTTCCCAGTAGCTGGGATTACAGGCGCGTGCCACCATGCCAGGCTAATTTTTTAATTTTTAGTAGAAACTGGGTTTCACAATGTTAGCCAGGCTGGTCTCGAACTCCCAACCTCAGGTGATCCCCCCGCCCCCACCTCGACTTACCAAAGTGCTGGGATTACAGGCGTGAGCCATCGTGCCTGGCCTATTGGAGAGTTTTGAGGGTTGTTTGTTTTGAGACGGGATCTCACTCTGTCACCCAGGCTGGAGTGCAACGGGGGTCTTGGCTCACTACAACCTCTGCCTCCCGGGTTCAAGTGATTCTCCTGCCTCAACCTCCCGAGTAGCTGGGATTACAGGTGGGAGCCACCACGCCCGGCTAATTTTTGTATTTTTAGTAGAGAAGGGGGTTTCACTATGTTGGCCAGGCTGGTCTCGAACTCCTGACCTCGTGATTCACCCTCCTCGGCCTCCCAAAGTTCTGGAATAATAGGCGTGAGTCACCGTGCCTGGCCTATTTGGAGAGTTTCTATACACATTCATGCAACATTTACAGAACACCCTGAATGGGTGGGACTGGTGCGGTGCTAGACATTAAGGACAGACTTGTGTCCTGTTCCTCTGTATTCCAAAGAGGCTTACGGTATACAGGGGGAGACATATAAACAGATGTTTGTCAATTATAATACAAAACTTGTGTCAAAATACAATGAGAGTTGAATCTCAGTTTGTAGCTGTGACTCTGATCATTCTGGAATTCCTAGGTTCTTTTCCAAAACAAACGCTCAATGCAGGGCTGGTGTGTTGTTATTACCAGCACTATTTCAAATCACGTGTTAAGATAACTTAGGCTAAGAAAATACCACTTTCCTACTTGTCAAGTGTTCGAGCCTTTCAAAAACCATCCCGTTTAGGGACTTGGAAACACGCGCAAGGCTGGAGAAACCATTAAGCTGCTAACGTAGACGTTTCAAGGGTCACATTTACTCAAGAGACACTCAGGTCGCCCGGGGGAGCGGTGCATATTGGGACTTGTAGTCCTACCAGAACCGAGGAAACTGCAACTCCCTTTAGGATGCACTTCTCCCCTTTAAATTTTCTGGCCCAACAGTTAGATGACGCCCTAACCTAAAGCACAACTTACCACATCTCACTCATTCTGGGTTCATCAGGCTTCTGCCAGGCTTATCAGGTTCAAGCTCAAACGCACGGCGTTCTCCTGTAGAAGCCTCAAAGAGATTGGCTTATTCTCGGTGGTGGGCGGAGCCCTAGGTGGACCGGGGGTCGGGATTGGCCAGTTTCTGACTAGAAGAGGCGTTTTTATGTTCACTTGCTGATACGCACGCTGTGGTAAAAAAGTGAATTCTTTACCACAGTAGCAGCTGCCCCGAGCGAAGTCTCGCGATATTTCGGCCGCAGGGATCCAGAGGCGCGTAGTGAGTGGCGGAGGACTGTGGGGGTGGCGGGCACCGGAGCCGGGAAGGGACAGGTCAGGCGGGGAGTGCGAGCGCGTACTGCTTGCGCCACTCGGGCTGGGTCAGGAGCGGCTGCCCGAGGTCCAGAGGAAGTGTGTGGACAGCGCGGCCTTCCTGGCCGGTGAGTCGGCCCCGGGTCGTGGCCGGTGAGGGGACCCTGAGCTTCACCTGGGCTAGCGCGGGGAGTGACAGGTGCGCGAAGGAGCGCGGCGCTCCGCCCTCTCGCCGACCCGCCCCCTCCGGGCCTCGCCCTCCGGGGCTCGGGATGAGTCGCGGGCCCCAGCTGAGCGGCTCCGGCTCCAGGCGCCTGTCGCTGCTTCTGCCGTCGCCACCGAAGAGCGGCCGCCGCCCCTGAGGGAAGGAGGGAGGGAAGCAGCCGCTGACCCGTGGCATGAGCTGGATGCGGTGTCCGTTGCAGGACTAGGGCGCCGACATGAACCTGCACCAGGTGCTGACCGGGGCTGTGAACCCTGGCGACCACTGCTTCTCCGTGGGCAGCATTGGCGACCAGCGCTTCACGGTGAGTGAGGGAGGCCCTCGCGTCGCCCGTGGCCCGGCCTTTGCCCGTCATTCTGGGCCGAGCTTGGCCCAGAACGACGGGCAGAGGCGCGAGGTCTTGTCTCCCCAGGGGGGTCCTTACCACCCAGAACCCAGCAGACCTGGCCCTTGAGAACTAAGGAAGCAAAACCATGTCGGTCAGTGAGGTACTGTATGGAGCCTGAACTCAAGTTAGAATATTTTGTAGGATTTTTAAAGTTTTTGGTCTGTCTGCCTTGGGCCAGGGTGCTTTGCCAAAGTCGTTTGTTCAAAAATCTTTGTTGAGTAACGAGTTGGGGGCTTTTTTATACCATTCTATAGGTTCAAATTGTCAAATTTAGGAATAGTGGAGATTGGTTTCATTTTGTATTCTAAGTTAAGGTCAAGTATCTTTGTAGTTAAAAAGTGGGTGTCTCAAAACAATTACCAATTGTTTGCCATCAACAACTAGCCTTGAGAACAGTGTTTTTCATTTATTTTCTTTTCTAATTCCCTGAGAAATAACTTCGGAAAGAAAAAAAAGCCTTTTCATTTTTAAAAATATTTCTTGGATATTTTACAATAACCTGGTAATCCCAGGTTAAGGTTGCTTAACTTGCTTTTCATTGGTCACATATTGACAAGAAGAGGGCACCAAATTTCGGGCTACTTGTCAGTATAGTGGCATTTTTCTACCTTAACTATAGGTTTTTTTTTAATAACAATTTCAAAATATAAGTCAGTAATTGCACATGATACTTTTATCTACATAAATTTATAATGCTAATGATTTTTGCTACAATTTGTGTAGATACCTCTTTAGTTGTGATTAAAAGTAAAACTTGTCACTGCCTGGGAATACTAAGTGCTGTAGGCTTTTTTCTTTAAAAAAAATAAAAGTAAAACTTAATTTTGTATAAGTGACACAAAGTAAACAACGTAACCAATGCCCCAGGTTTAGGAGTGTTAAATTTCTAATCTTTTTCTCTGCTTTTAATTTTTCTGTGGTCTTTGTTGGTCAGAATAAATAATACTCAGCATTTAAAATGGTGGAGGCATTTAATGCCTGAATTGTACTTTTAGAATTGTGCCAAGAAGCATTTTGTTTTCAAATAGAGACTGTACCTCCCCTTTAGATTGACTCATACACATCTTAATTATCGGGATTCCAATTCTAAATGTTTGCCCAGCCTGAATACTTGGGAAAAGAGTGAGCTCTGAGGGTCCCAGTGAGCAACTATAGTTTCCTTACACCTGGGCATTGCTCTCTGCTCTTGCTGCTTGAGAGGAAAGTAAACATCATCCTTAGAAGGTTTTCCTAGTGGGAAATTATAGGATAATATTGTTGCATTCTCTGTCATTTCCTAAATTTATATGAGTGCTTTCTCCAGTGTAAATTCTAAGAACTTTTGCTTTTTAAAAACTTTTGAAATGAGGTCTCCCTCTGTCACCTAGGCTGGAGTGCAGTGGCGGGATCACAGCTCACTGCAGCCTCGACCTCCCCGGCACAAGCCGTCCTTCCACCTTAGGCTCCTGAGGAGCTAGGACTACAGATTCTAATCACCACGGCTGGCTAAGTTTTCTATTTTTTGTAGAGAGGGGTCTCCTTATGTTGCCCAGGCTGGTCTTGACTTCCTGGGCTCAAGTGATCCTCCCACTTCAGCCTCCCAAAATGCTAGGATTAGAGGCGTGAGCCACCATGCCCAGCCCTAAGAATTTTTTCTAAGAAGGCATTCACAATCTATGTAAGCAGTGGTGTGAACTTCAAAGCATATGCAGTATGATGGCCTATTTATATACCTGGATGCATTCCTCTATAAAACCTTGGTGAATGTCTGTGTATTGTTTTTAAGGAGAGATCAGTTAATGTGCCGAGGAGGATTAGATAGATGGTCATCCTGTACCATCATGTAGCTTGTTGCTCAGTTCTGCTGAATTTTAAAGTTCATTTCCATTGAGTAGGATTTAATCTCCCACCAAGCCTACTGCAGATTTCTTCCAGGTCTCTGGAAGCATTCAGTAAATAAACTAAAAATAAATTTTTAAGTATAAAGAGAGTTCAGCTCTCTTTAGTTTTGATGGAATTTTAAGGATTTAACAGTCATGGTTTTCCTTTGCAGCCTGTTCATCCTTGACTCTTTAAGTTGCTTACGCTCATTATCCTGGACACTTATATACACCTTAAATTTTTCTCTCTTGAAATCGCCCTTTTTTCTTCTCTCATGTTAAAAGGCAGAATCTATTGTTTACTTCTTGAGTTGTTTTGTGTTGTTTTTTTTTTTTGAGACGGAGTTTCGCTGTCGTTGCCCAGGCTGGAGTGCAATGGCGCGATCTTAGCTCACTGCAACTTCCGCCTCCTGTGTTCAAGAGATTCTCCTGCCTCAGCCTCCTGAGAAGCTGGGATTACAGGCATGTGCCACCATGCCCTGCTAATTTTGTATTTTTTAGTAGAGGTGGGGTTTCACCATGTTGGTCAGGCTGGTCTGGAGCTCCTGACCTCAGGTGATCCACCAGTCTTGGCCTCCCAAAGTGCTGGGATTACAGGCGGGAGCCACTGCACCCAGCCTTGAGTGTTGTTTTTAACCTTTTTTGATTTTGACTTTTCTTTGATAGGAAAATAGTAAACATTAATGGTAGATGGTATGTGAAGACTAAAATATCCCTCAGTTGCATTTTACTTGAAGTGGAGCATGACATCTTCCTCTTGCAGTTCCCCTTGAAAAATTCTTTTATTCCTTTTGGTACTTTGTGTTTTCTTTTAGGACAGTCCTGCTTTTGTAATTCCTCCCTTTGCATGTTTGCAGATAACTTACGTGTTCTTGGTTTGAAAGATTACAAGATGTGAGATCTTGTTTTACTCATAAAGCCTGACAGGTTTTAAATGGAAATGAAACTGAATGCCACTTCTCCTATTTTCTAGATTTGAAAATATGAAATTACCAACGCAGATTAGTCTATTTAAGTATTAGATACTTTTTTACTACCTCATCAGGCATCAAGCTGTTTTGACTTTGCTCTTAGTAAGAAAACCTCTTGTGGGCAATGACCATCTCTCCTGTGCTTTCAGAGCACTTTCTTTGCATCTTTATTCTATCATTAACCAGTCTTGCCTTGTGGATTGTATGTGTATGACTTCCCACGCTTCATTGTGAGCACCTAGAACAGTGATTGAAAGAGTGTTTAAACCTAACAGTAAGGTCATTACTTGGAGTTGATTTCCAATGTGGTCCCTTTTAATTAGCTGTTTATCCATTAGCAAGTTATACTCTTGGAATTTCTTTTTTTCTCTTCTGTAAAATGGGACTAAAAGAGTATTATTCATAGAGTTGCTACATGAAAAAGTGCTAAGCTGTAAGTCCATGGTTTAGCACATGTAAAACTCTCAAAAATGTCAGTTTTCATAAAATTAAGGTTATATTTATTGTAATGCCTAACAATAGAAAGTACTTCATAAATCGTGGTTGAATTAATGAAAAATGGATAGAGAAACCTTATAGTAATATAAATATTAATTGCTACATTTAAAAATAGCTTTAATCATTTAGATTTGAGTCCAAATAAAATATTCCTGTTAGTTTCTTTTTTTTTCTTTTTTTTTTTTTTTGGAGACTGAGTATCACTCTATCACCCAGGCTAGAGTGCAGTGGTGTGATCTCAGCTCACTGCAACCTCCGCCTCCCGGGTTCAAGCTGTTCTCGTGCCTCTGCCTCCCAAGCAGCTGGGATTACAGGCGCACACCACCACGCCCAGCTAATTTTTGTGTTTTTAGTAGAGACGGGTTTCATCATGTTGGCCAGGCTGGTCTTGAACTCCTCACCTCAAATGATCCGCCCACCTCGGCCTCCCCACGTACTGGGATTACAGGCGTGAGCCACCGCGCCCTGCCTGTTAGTTTCTTTTTCAAAGTCAGTTGTTAGGCATTTTATCATCAACAAGTGAGCAACTAGGGGAGACTTTAGGTATGCTAAGCAAAAATTATTTATTTTTTCCTTATTTACTGGAATGCTTCCTTCATGCCTTTTTCCTTGTTAATTTCCTACTGATCTTAGTATGTGAGAAATCTGGTCTTTTTTAAAAAAAAAACAAAAAAAAATGGAGGCTGGGGTCTCCTTATGTTGCCCAGGCTGATGTCTAACTCCTGGGCTCAAGTGATCCTCCCGCCTTGGCCTCCCAGGCTGCTGGGATTACAGACGTGAGCTGCCATGTCCACCCTGCAATTTTTGCTTTTAGAATTAAATGTATTCTGTTTATAAAAGGCAACAAGTTAAAAAGAAGACTAGTTAATTAGAATCTACATTTATAGATTCTACTTTTATGCATACTATTGATATGATACTTTTTTTTTCTTTTTCTTTTGTGGTTTATCTATACTTAGGGTTGAAACTGTGATTTGAATGATATGGAAAGGGAGATAATTTCCAAGAGACAGAAAGATTGTACCAATATATAAGACTAACTGTCTCTGATTTGGAACTTAAACATCTTAGCTATGGGAGGGAAAGCAAATATGTTATAGCTCCAATTTCCCTTTAGTATTAGAAAACTCAGTGTTTCTAGCTAAGGGAATCTAGATTAGAAATCAAAAGACTGTAATTATGTGAGTGTCATTAGAGAAATAGGGCTGAATAAGTAGTCGTCTTCAGCTTTCTGTAATAAGCATCCTTGAGTTTAGCTCTGTTTTGTTTACTTTAAGGAAACCTTTATTGGTAGAAGTGTAATTGCCAAATTGGGAGGATGGGAAGGTGTTTGTTTTTTTTTTCTGAAAGGGGGCATGTGAATCTTTTTTGGTGGGGAGAATATAGAAGGGCAAAGATTGCTACTATTCACATGTGAAGAAAGAGAAAGGTGTTTGTGGTGCATAAAATATTGCAAGTACTAAAGTGGACTTCAAAATATGTTGGCCTGTTTTAAAACATAAAGTTTTACAGTGTTTAAGTACCTTTAAAATCATTGAAATGATAGTAGTTCTCAATACTTTATTATATTTTAAAGATAAGAATTGCTGCATGCCAAACTTAAAACCTATGTCATTTAAATAGGACATATACCAGAAAGGAATTCTTTGGGGGTGTTTACCTGGTTTTGTTGATTAAAACTAGAATACTGACTGTTACAGCCTTGAATTTTATTGAAATTTAGAATATTTGAGAAGATTCTCTGCCAAAATTTAAAGTTGAAAGTTATATTTTGATTATATGCTTGATAGCACACATGTGACTCAATTCTTCCTGTGCATCGTGTTTATTCTTAAAGTTGATAAACCTAATGTTGTATGTGCCTAATAGAAGGATTTTCATTTGTCAATTTAATTTTATTGGTTAGTAATAGATTATTCTGATTACAGATCTTTTATTATTTTTTAATTAAAACATTTTTAAATAAAAAGAGATGGGGGTCTCACTGTATTGACCAGGCATGACCAGGAACTCCTGGCCTCAAGTGATCCTCCCATCTTGGCCTCCCAAAGTGCTGGGATTACAGGGATGAACCAACAGGCCCAGTGCTATTTTATTTTATTTTTTTGAGGCAGGATCTTGTTATATTGCCCAGACTGGTTTGGAACTCCTGGGCTCAGGTGAGCCTCCCTGTGATTACAGGTGTGCCCCACTGTGCCCAGTGATTATAGATCTTTTGACAGAAGCAGCTGGTGACATCGACAGTTTATTTGATAAGCCAGTGCTGCTATTATTGTTTTGATAACCTTCTATATTATAGTCAGGGCACCTTGAAATGAGTTTTTGTGAATAATTTATTTTAGACATCTGTAAAACCAGTTTTACATTTTGATTTAGAAGTTTCATGTATTGTATTACATCTTCATCTTAGGTTTTTTTTTTTTTTTTTTTTTTTTTTAAGACAGGGTCTCACTCTGTCACCCAGGCTGGAGTACAGTGGATCTCAGCTCACTGCAGCCTCTGCCTCCTGGCCTGAAGCGATCCTCCCACGTGGCTGGGACCACAGACACGTGCCACCATTCCTGGCTTTTTTTTTTTTTTTTTGTATATGTGTGTGTGTATATATATGTGTGTGTGTGTGTGTGTGTATGTGTATATATACACTTAAAAATATATGTATGTGTACATATATACATTTATTTTTTAAGTGTGTGTGTGTGTGTGTGTGTGTGTGTGTGTGTATATCTGTACTTACCTGGCGAGACCCTATCTGTACTTAAAAAATATATACGTGTGTGTGTGTGTATATATACGTGTGTGTGTGTGTGTAGATATATATACACACACACACACGTATATATTTTTTAAGTACAGATAGGGTCTCTCCATGTAACCCAGGCTGTTTTCAAATTCCTGAGCTCAAGCAGTCCACCTGCCTCAGCCTCCCAAAGTGCTGGGATTACAGGTGTGAACCACCATGCCTGGGATGTTTTAGGTTTTTATTTAAAATCAGGTAGACGGATTATTTTTTATTTAAGAATTTAGTGGTACAAGGATTATTTTAAAATCATGCACAGCCCATTCTGTTTCATTTATTTATTTAAAACAAGTTTTTAAAGATGAGGTCTTGCTGTGTTGCCAGGGCTAGTCTGGAACTTCTGGCCTCAAGTGATCCTACTGCCTCAGCCTTCCAAGTAGCTGGGACTACAAGCCTGTGCTGCTGCACCTGGCTCATATTTTCACTTTTATTTTCACAAACTTTCTAGTATTAAGGAGAACATTGAAACTGGAGATTTAGTATGCCCTTTTCTTTTAGAAATGAGACCATTTATATGGACTTGGAGCTTGAATTATTTGTCCAGCCACTGATGCCTCTGTTCTTAGCACATATTTGTGAGATATTTATTTTATTTATTTTTTTGAGACAGAGTCTTGCTCTGTCACACAGGCTGGAGTGCAGTTGTGGGATCACAGCTCACTGCAGCCTCAATCTCCTAGGCTCAATCAGTCTTCCCACTTCAGTCTCCCAAGTAGCTGGGACCACAGGTGTGTGCCACACCATGCCCAGCTAATTTTTTATTTTATGCGGAGATGGGGTCCCACTATGTTGCCCAGGCTGGTCTCAAACTCCTGGGCTCCAGTGATCCTCCCACCTTGGCCTCTCAAAATGCTGGGATTACAGACATGACCCACTGCACCCAGTCTGTGAGATATTCAGATCAAGGAGTTCCTATCATGCCTGTGTTGCAAGATGAAGATAACTATATGGAAATCAGACTTTAATTCTTGACCTTATTACCTGTTGTTTCACCGTTATTGCTACACATTTTAACTTTACAATTTATATAATTTAGCATGAGTTAATTTAGCAACAGTCTTTGTTGCCAGTATCCTTTAACTGTCTGGACCCTTTTTGTTTGCGCCAGTCTGATGAAATTCCACACACTTGATCAGTCTCATGTTCTTTCTTGTTCCTGTATATCTCATGAGCACTACTAGACTATGTAAAGAAATTCCTGTGGAAAATAAAGTCATGTTTGCCAACCTCAAATGGGACCTCAAAGCTTTCCAGGAATCCTCCCACCAGTCTGCTCATTTTTCCTTTCTTGTACCTTCTGAAACCTCCCATCCCAGTGCTCTCTTAACTCATATAAACTTGCCACCTGGAATCATTCAGATGGCAGCTCCCTCATTTTTGACTACAAGCTGAAAAATCCACTTATATCAGCATCCATTCTTTCCTTCTCTCCTCCTGGTACAATAAAATAAATGTCCCCCAGAATTGTCCAGGGTTAATCAGTCTTCTTGGTGCCGTGGATCTTATCTATTCAGGCTGTCTCTGGGAGCTCAGCCCTAAAGTTATCTCTACTTTTTTCTTTCCAGAGTTTCTAAAACATGCTTAAAATTCTCATCTTGAAAAACAGCCAACCTGAAAATCCTTTGCTGCCACATCCCTCTTTATCTTTGACTTCAAAGTCCTTGAATTGTCTGTATTTGTTGCCACTTTTATGTCCTGCTCACTTCTTAACTCACTATACTTTGGCAGCTTTTTTCTCCTTAGTCACTGGTAACCACATTGATGCTAATTTGAATCAACAGATCTCCTTTGTACCTTGCTTTCTCTTTGGCATTTGTCATGTTGATCATTTTCTCCTTAGTCACTGGTAACCACATTGATGCTAATTTGAATCAACAGATCTCCTTTGTACCTTGCTTTCTCTTTGGCATTTGTCATGTTGATCATTTTTTCCTTCACTTTCCTTGGCTTAGTTATACCATACTCGCCCCCAACCCCACCCTCTTAGTCATTCTCAGTGTTCTTTGCAAGATATCTTTCTTGTCTGTCCCTTAAATATTGGTGACCGTCAGGCCTACCAGGCCTTGGTCCTCTTCTCGTTTCATTCTACATGCAGCTCCTGGTGTATAGTCTGTGATGGTGAGATCCCTGTCTTTAGCTTCATATTGATAATTTTAAATACCTCTTGGATTGTTCCACTTGAAGTTGCTACAAATAATCAATTTTAAAATGTTCTGCACGCCTGTAATCCCAGCACTTTGGGAGGCTGAGGCGGGTGGATTGCTTGAGGTCAGGAGTTCTAGGCCAGCCTGGCCAACATGATGAAACCTGTTTCTACTAAAAATACAAAAAATTAGCCAGGTGTGGTGGTGGGTGCCTATGATCTCAGCTACTCGGGAGGTTGAGGCAGGATAATTGCTTGAACCTAGGAGGCAGAGGTTGCAGTGAGCCAAGATTGTCTCGCTGCACTCCATCCTGGGCGACAGAGCAAGACTTCGTCTCAAAAATAATATAAGTAAAATAAAGTGTTCTATACTCAGTCAACTCCCCTACCTTGGTGCACCTTCCAACCCACACCCCAATTTGTTTTGTTCGTCCTCCTGTGTTCATTATCTCTGTGAATGGTTCCATTATCCAGCTGGTTTTTTTTAAGCCAAAGATTTGGAAATATCCTTAACACCTAATCCTCCCACATTTTTCTTATACAATCAATCAAGCCCTGTAGATTCTGTCTCCTGAGTAATTTTAATATATTTCCACTTGTCTTTTCAGTAGTGCAGTTACTCTGTTGAAATAGCCTTTTAACCTCTGTCCCTGTATTTAATCATACTTGTCTTCAACTTAAACAATATTGCCAGAGGGAATCATTTTAAAAGGCAGATTAGGATAAGGTATGAATTCTTCCCAATGCATTTTACTGTACTTTTCTAGTCTCTCATCACTTTTCCTCCTCTCTGTAATAGCTGCCTCCCTAAACTGTAGCTATATCTAACGTCTTTCCATTTACACAGTAAGAAACGCTTTCTTATTTTCAAGCCATTTCACAAGCTCTTCAGGAAACTTTTCAATTACCCCTCCCTAGGCAAAAAAGATGTAAATCTGGCTAACTCATCCCTAAAGGCTTGGTTTTGATGTCCCTAGTCAGACTAGATGATCTTCCTATTTGTAGCCTATCTTATAATTCCTTTTTCAGATGTTACCCACTAGAATTGTACTACCTCTAGGGACAGTGACTTCATATTGCATTCCAAACAGCTGGCAAGGTAGGGCCTAGTAAATACATGAGGACAAATGGGACAAAGAAAACCTGTGCTGGAGTCAGAAGAGCTCCAAGGACTAAGCTGTCTGTTCTGGGCAAGGCAAAGAAGACAGCTGCGTTTGGGCTGCCTCCCCTTCTTCACTCCCAGCTTAAAATCCTCAAAAAGTCAAATCCAGATGACTTCTTGGAAGGCCTTAGGGTAAGAAAGTGTCATTTCAGCTTTCTATTCACTCCCCACAGAAATAGCACTCTTCCTTGATTCATTTAACTAACATTTATTGATGCCATATGTGTGCGAGGCATTGTTTATTGGTAGCTAAAATCTTTACCTGAGTCAGAACCTTTTTAAAATAAAACATATTTTAATGTGTAAAAACTGCTTGAGAACATACTTTGACTCAAACATCTTCACACTTAAGTCAATTAACAGGTATATATAGTTGGCTTCTGGTTAAGTTTTGTTTTTATAGGAGGAATAAGAACTCCTAAGTGTTGGATGCAAGAAGTGTAGATGAGAAGTTAATGTGAAGAAGATATAGAGCCGCAGAAACAAAGATTGAAGACCAACTTAGACTTTACCAATTTTAACCAGAGGTACCCTTGCTTAACCTTTTCGTTTTAACTAATGGGGACAAATTGAGACTGTGCATGGAGAATTTTGTTCTTACGTGTATTTGAAGGTAGTTTTTGGCCATAAGTTATAAAGGTTTTAAGAAAAGAGTTCCTTTGGAAATAAAAATTGAGTTTTTACTGCATTTGGGGTCCTGCTATCTAAAAATATGAGAAAGAATTACGAATAAACATGATTCTTGCCCTTCAGGAGCCTGATTTTATTGTTGTCTGAATTGATTGCTGACTGTCATAACTATTTCCCAGAGGAAGTTTTCTTAAGGTTATATATATATATATATATATATACACACACACACACACACACACACACACACACACACATACACGTATATACATGTTCTTAGAATGTTTTATAAAATCAATTTTTATTTTATTTATTTTTAATTTTTTTTAGAGACAGAGTCTTACAGTGTTTCCCAGGCTGCAGTGTAGTGGCGCAGTCGTAACTCACTGCAGCCTCAAACTCTTGAGTTTAAACAGTCATGCTACCTCAGCCTCTTGAGTAGCTGGGACTACAGACATGTGCCACCATGCCTGGCTTATTTTATTTTTTTAGAGACAGGGTCTCACTCTGTTGCCCAGGTTGGAGTGCAATAGTGTGAACTCAGCTCACTGTAGCTTCAACTTCCTTGGCTCAAGTAGATCCTCCCACCGCAGTGTCCCAAGTAGCTGGGACGACAGGCATGTCCCACCATGCCTGGCTAATTTTTAAAATTTTTTGTAGAGTGGGGTCTCACTGTATTACCCAGACTGGTCGTGAACTCCTGGGCTCAAGCAATCCTCCCACATTGGCCTCCCAGAGTGCTGGGATTATTTATAGATGTGAGCTGCCATGCCTGGCCTTATTTTATTTTTTAATTGATGCCTAATAGATGTACATGCTTTCAAAGTAAATGTGATAATTTAATACATTCATATAATTTGTGAAGATTAAATCACTGTACTTGGCATATCCAGCACCTTAAATATTTGTGTTTATGCTAGAACTATTTGAATTCGTCTAGCTGTTTTGAAATATACAATAGATTATTGTAAACTACATTTACAGTAGTGATCTGTCCAACACTAGGTCTTATGACTTCCATCAAACCGTTTATTAGTTCCAATTATTCAACTTCTCTTCATCGTCTCCCCCAACCTCCTTAGCCCTCTGGTAACCATCAGTCTGCTCTTTATGAGATCCACTTTTGTAGCTCCCACATATGAATGAGAACATGTGATATATTTGTCTTTCTGAGCTTGGCTTATGTCACTTAGAATGACCTCCAGTTCCATCCTTTTTATTGTTTGTTTGTTTGTTTTGTCAGAGTCTCAAAAAGGCTGGAATGCAGTGGCATGATCTTGGCTCACTGCAACCTCTGCTTCCCAGGTTCAGGCGATTGTTGTGCCTCAGCCTCCCCAGTAGCTGTGATTACAGGCATGTGTCACCATGCCTGGCTAATTTTGTATATACACACATATATATTTTTTAGTAGAGATGGGTTTCGCCATGTTGACCAGGCTGGTCTCAAACTCCTGGCCTCAAGTGATCTGCCCACCTTGACTTCCCAAAGTGTAGTTCCATCCTTGTTGCTGCAAATGGCAGGATTTCATTCTTTTTAATGGCTGAATAATATTTCATTGTGTACATATACTACATTTTTTTCATCCACTGATGGGCACTCAGGTTGATTTTATTATCTTGGGTACTGTGAATAGTGCTGCAAAAACATGGGCACATAGATGTCTTTTTGATGTACTGAATTTCATTCTTTTGCATATATACCCAGTAATGGAATTGCTGGATCATACGGTTGTTCAGTTATTAGGTTTTTGGATTTTTTGAGATAGAGTCTTGCTCTGTTGCCCAGGCTGGAGTGCAGTGACACAACCTTGGCTCACTGCAACCTCTGCTTCCTAGGTTCAAGCGATTCTCCTGCCTCTGCCTCGGAGTAGCTGGGATTACAGGTGTGTGCCACCACGCCTGGCTAATTTTTGTGTTTTTAGTAGAGATGGGGTTTTATGTGAGACAGGCTGGTCTCAAACTCCTGGCCTCAGGTGATCCGCCTGCCTTGGCCTCCCAAAATGCTGGCATTACAGCCCTGAGCCACCGTGCCTGACCAGTTTTTAGGTTTTTGAGAACCTGCATACAGTTATCTGTAGTGGTTTTACTAATTTACATTCCCACCAACACAGTACCAGGGTTCTCCTTTCTCTGCATTTTTGAGAACATCTGCTATTTCCAGTCTTCTTGTTAAAAGCCATTTTAACTGGGGTGAGATGATATATGTTTATAGTTTTTATTTGCATTTTCCTGATGATTTGTGATGTTGAACATTTTTTCATATACCTGTTGGCCATTTGTATGTCTTCTTTTTAGAAATGTCTGTTCATGTATTCCCCCCCTCACCCCTTTTTTTTTTAAGACGGAGTCTTGTGCTGTTGCCCAGGCTGGAGTGTGGTGGCTCATTCTTGGCTCCCTGCAACCTCTGCCTCCTGGGTTGAAGCAATTCTCCTGCCTCAACCTCCAGGTAGCTGGGATTACAGGTGCACACCATCATGCCCGGCTAATTTTTGTATTTATAGTAGAGACGGGGTTTTGCCATTTTGGCCAGGCTGGTCTCGAACTCCTGACCTCAAGTGATTCACCTGCCTCAGCCTCCCAAAATGTTGGGATTTCAGGCGTGAGCCACTGTGCCTGACCTTTTCCCCAAAAGCGTTCTTTTTGCTTAAAATTGTTTTGGCTATTTGGGGTGTTTGTGGCTCCACCTAAATTTTAGGGTCATTTTTTTCTATTTCTTTGAAGAATGTAATCTGTATCAGAATACCAAAAATACTCTTCACAGAAATGGAAAAAACGATCCTTGGCTGGGTGCTGTGGCTCATGCTTGTAATCCTAGCACTTTGGGAGGCTGAGGCGGGTGGATCATCTGAGGCTGTGAGTTCGAGACCAGCATGTGACCAACATGGAAAAACCCCATCTCTACTAAAAATACAAAATTAGCCCGGCGTGGTGGCACATGCCTGTAATTCCGGCTACTCGGGAGGCGAGGCAGGAGAATTGCTTGAACCTGGGAGGTGGAGGTTGTGGTGAGCCAAGATCACGCCATTGCACTCCACCCTGGGCAACAAGAGTGAAACTCCGTCTCAAAAAAAAAAAAAAAAAGATCCTAAAATTGTCTTCTGTGTGGTCATTTTAACAATATTAATTCTTCCAATCCATGAGCATGGAATATCTTTCCATTTTTTGTGTGTCTGCATCAATTTCTTTCATCAGAGTTTTATAGTTTTCCTTGTACAAATCTTTCACTTCTTTGGTTAAATTAATTCCAGCTGGTCACAGGGGCTCACTCCTGTAATCTCATCACTTTGGGAGGCTGAGGAGGGCAGATCACATGAGGCCAAGAGTTCAAGATCACCCTAGCCAGCATGGTGAAACCCCGTCTCTATTAAAAATACAAAAAAATTAGCCAGGCATGGTGGTGTGCACCTGTAGTCCTAGCTACTCGTGAGACTGAGGCGTGAGAATCGCTTGAACCCGGGAGGCAGAGGCTGCAGTGAACCAAGATTGGTGCCACTGCACTCCAGCCTGGGCAACAGAGTGAGACTTTGTCTCAAAAATAAATAAATAAATAAATAAATAAATAAATATAATAATAATAATTAATTCTGGATTTTTTCTGTTCTTCGTAGCTATTGTAATGGGATTGCTTTCTGATTTCTTTGTAAGATTGCTCGCCATTGGTGAGCATACAATGGTGTATGCTATTCTATACACCATTGATGTATAGAAATGCTGCTGATTTTTGTATGTTGATTTTGCATCCTGGAATTTTACTGAATTTGTTCATCCGTTCTAACAGGTTTTTTTGGTGCAATCTTAAGGCTGTTCTGAGTATACAATCATATCATTTGTGAACAAGGCTAATTTGACTTCTTCCTTTCCAATTTGGTTACCCTTTATTTTTTTCTCTTGCTTAACTGCTCTGGCCAGGACTTCTAGTACTATACTGAATAAAAGTGGTGAAAGTCGGCATTCTTGTTCCATATCTTAGAGGAAAAATCTTCAGTTTTTCCCTATTTAGAATGACGTTAGCTATGGGTTTTTCATAAATAATCTTTATTATTGTGAGGAATGTTCCTCCTATGCCCAGTTTGTTGAGGGTTTTTATCATAAAGGGATGTTGAATTTTATCAAATGCTTTTCCAGGATCTATTGAAACTATCATATGGTTTTTGTTCTTGGTTCTGTTAAGGTGATATATCACGTTTATTGATTTACATATTGTATTAGTCTCTTCATGCTGCTGATAAAGACATACCCAAGACTGAGCAAGTTACAAAAGAGGTTTATTGGACTTAGAGTTCCATATGACTGGGGAGGCCTCACAATCATGGCTGAAGGTGAAAGGCACATCTCACATGGCAATGGCAAGAGAGAGAATGAGAGCCAAGCAAAATGGGTTTCCCCTTATGAAACCATCAGATCTCGTGAGACTTATTCACTACCGTGAAAACAGTATGGGGTAAACCGCCCCCATGATTCAATTATCTCCCACCTGGTCCCTTCCACAACACATGGAAATTATGGGAGTACCATTCAAGATGAGATTTGGGTGGGGACACAGAGCCAAACCATATCACATATGTTGAACCATCCTTGGGTCCCTGGGATGAATGCCACTTTATCATGGTGAATGATCTTTTAATGTGTTGTTCAATTTGGTTTGCAGGTATTTTATTGAGAATTTTTGTATCTGTCTTCATGTGTGATATGGGCTTGTAGTTTTTTGTTGTTGTTGTTGCTTTGTCTGGTTTTGGTGTCAGGATAATGCTGGTCTCATAGGATGAGTTTGGAAGTCTTCCTTTCTCTTCAGTTTTTTTGAAGAGTTTGAGTAGAATTGGTGTTAGTTCTTCTTTAAATGTTTGATAGAATTCAGCAGTGAAACCATCAGGTCCTGAGCTTTTCTTTGATAAAATACTTTTTATTATGGCTTCCATCTCATTACTCATTATTGATTTGTTGAGGTTTTGAATTTTTTTTGAAGAGTTTGAGTAGAGTTGGTATTAGTTCTTTAAATGTTTGATAGAATTCAGCAGTGAAGCCATAGGTCCTGAGCTTTTCTTTGATAAGATACTTTTTATTATGGCTTCCATCTCATTACTCATTATTGATTTGGTGAGGTTTTCTATTTCCTTATGGTTCAATCTTGGTAGGTTGTATGTGTCCAGGAATTTATCCACTCACTTCTGGATTTTATTGAATTTGCTGGTATATGGTTGTTCATAAGGATTCTTTTTAGTTCTTTGATCTAGTTGTTTTGTCTTCTATTTAATTTGTTACTTACTTGGGTCTTCTCTTTTTTGCTTAGTCAAGCCACAGTTTTGTTGATTGTAACTTTTCATTAAAAAGTTTCATTTCATTGATCTTTTTTTTTGTCTCTATTTCATTTATTTATGCTCTGATCTTTATTTTTTCTTCATACAAATTTGGGTTTGATTTGTTCTTGTTTTTCAAGTTCCTTGAGGTGCATTATTAGGTTATTTGAAGTCTTTCTACTTTTTTTCTTTTTTCTGCTTTTTTAATGTAAGCATTTATTGCTTTCAACTTTTCTTAGTACTGCTTTTGCTGTATCCTATAGATTCTGTTATGTTGTATTCCCATTTTCATTTGTTTTAAGAAAGTTTTAATTTCCTTCTTAATTTTGTTATTGATCCATTGGTCATTCAGGAGCATATTTGTGAAGTTTCCAAGGGTTTTCTTACTGATTTCTAGTTTTATTCCATTGTAGTGAGAAAAGGTACTTGATATAATTTCTGTTTTTCAAAAAATTGTTCAGACTTGTTTTGTGACCTCAGATATGTCTCTTCTTGGGAATAGTCTATGTGCTGATGAAAATAATGTATATTCTGCAGCGGTTAGGTGGGTGTTCTTTAAATGTCAGGCCTATTAGATCTAGTGTATCGTTTAACTGATGTTCTTTGTTGATTCTTCTGTTAGATCTGTCTATTACTGAGAGTGGGGCGTTAAATTCTCCTACGTTATTGTATTGCATTCTATTTAGATCTATTCATGTTTGCTTTATTTTTATTATTTTTTTTTTGAGACAGAGTCTCGTTCTGTTGCCCAGGCTGGAGTGCAATGGCGCTATCTCTGCTAACTGCACCCTCTGCCTCCCAGGTTCAAGTGATTCTCCTGCCTCAGCCTCCCAAGTAGCTGGGATTACAGGCACCCTCCACCATGCCTGGCTAATTTTTGTATTTTTAGTAGAGACAGGGTTTCACCATGTTGGCTAGACTGGCCTCGAACTCCTGACTTCAGGTGATCTGCCAGCCTCCGCCTCCCAAAGTGCTGGGATTACAGGTGTGAGGCACCAAGCCCAGCAGTGTTTGCTTTATATGCTTGAGAGCTCTGGTGTTGGGCGATAGAGATATTTATAATTGTTTATACTATTTCTGGATTGACTGCTTTATCGTTATATAGTAATCTTTGTCTCTTTATAGTCTGTCTTTGATTTGTAGCGTATTTTATCTGATGTAAGTATAGCTAGTCAAGCTATTTTTTGGTTTTCAGTTGCATGGAATATCTTCTTCCACCCCTTTACTTTCAGTCTGTGTATGCTTTTGTTGGTAAGGTGGGTTTCTTGTGGGCAGTATAGAGTTGGTTCTTTTTTCTTCATTTATTCAGCCACTCTGTGCCTTCTAATGGGAGAATAAAGCCCCTTTACATTGTGTTGTTAGGTTGCTGCAAAAGTAATTGTGAGTTTTGCCTTTAAAAAAGTATTATTGGTAAGTAAGGATTTACTACTAGCGTTTTGTTGTTTTTCTGGTTGTTTTTCTAGTCCTCTCTTCCTTTCTTACTGTTATCCTTTGTGGTTAAATGCTCTTCTCTGTTAGTGTGTTTTACTTTGTTACTGTTTATTTTTAAAGTATTTATTATTGGTTTTGGCACTGTGGCTACCATGAGGCTCACATAAAACATCTTATTGAAGTGCGTTATTATCTTAAAGGTATGACAGCTTATATCTCAAAGAATAGAAACAAATAAAAATAAAATGCTATACTCACATTTTTGGCTTTCAGTTGTCTTAATTTGCCTGTTTTTATATTGCCTGTCTCTTAAAAAGTTATTGTAGATATTGTTTTTGATAGATTTGTCTTTTGGGCTTCATAATAGAGTTATGAATAGGTTACACACCACAATTACAGTATTCTTCTAGATTTGTCTGTGACTTAATTTTTCCAGTGAGTTTTATATCTTCCAAAACAATTTTTTTTTTGCATATTAGTGGTTTTTTTAATTTCATGTTGAAGAACTCCCTTTAGCATTTTTGCAAGTCTTAATGGTGGTGAATTTCGTCACCCTTTGTCTGGGAAATACTTTATCTCTCCTTCATATTAGAAGGATAACTTTGCTGGCTACAATATTTATAGAAGACAACATTTTGTCTTTTAGCATTTTGAAAGTGTCATCTAGCTCCCTCCTGGCCTATGTGGTTTCTCTTGATGAATCTTTTGCCAGACAAATTGGAGCTCCATTATATATGCATATATATATATACATATATATATATATATTTTTTTTTTTTTTTTTTTTTTTTTTTTTTTGAGACAGAGTCTCATTCCATCACCCAGGCTAGAGTGCAGTGGCACGATCTCAGCTCACTGCAACCTCTGCCTCCTGGGTTCAAGCAGTTTTCATGCCTCAGCCTCCCGAGTAGCTGGAATTACAGGCGCGCACCACCACACCCTGCTCATTTTTGTATTTTTTTAGTAGAGATGGGGTTTTGCCATTTTGGCCAGGCTGGTCTCAAACTCCTGGCCTCAAGTGATCTACCCACCTTGGCCTCCCAAAGTGCTGGGATTACAAGCATCAGTCTTGTGCACAGCGACTTCATTTTTGGTACTGCCTTTTTTTTTTTTTTTTGAGACAGAGTTTCACTCTTGTTGCCCAGGCTGGTGTGCAATGGCGCAATCTTGTCTCACCGCAACCTCCACCTCCTGGGTTCAAGCAATTCTTCTGGCTCAGCTTTCCTGAGTAGCTGGGATTACAGGCATACGCCACCATACCCAGCTAATTTTGTATTTTTAGTAGAGATGGGGTTTCTCCAGGTTGGTCAGGCTGGTCTTGAACTCCACACCTCAGGTGATCCGCCCGCCTTGGCCTCCCGAAGTGCTGGGATTACAGACTTGAGCCACTGCACCCAGCTTTTGTACTGCTTTTAGGATTTTCTCTTTGTCCTTGACCTTTGAGAGTTTGATTATTTTATGCTTCGGGTTAGTCTTTTTTTTTTTTTTTTTTTTTTTTTTTTTTTTTTTTTTGAGAAGGACTTTCGCTCTTGTCGCCCATGCTGGAGTGCAATGGTGAGATCTCGGCTCACTGCAACCTCTGCCTCCCGGGTTCAAGTGATTCTCCTGCCTCAGCCTCCCGAGTAGCTGGGATTATAGGCGCCCACCACCCCACCCAGCTAATTTTTGTGTTTTTAGTAGAGACAGGGTTTCACCATGTTGGCCAGGCTAGTCTGGAACTCCGGACCTCAGGTGATTTGCCTGCCTCAACCTCCCAAAGTACTGGGATTACAGGTGTGAGCCACTGTGCCCGGCCACTTGGGGTTAGTATTATTTGGGTCAAATCTGTTTGGGGTTTTTTGGCCTTTGTCTACCTGGATATTTATGTCTTTTCTGAAGTTTTAGAAAGTTTTCTGTTACTTCTTTGGATAAGCTTTCTACTTTCTCTTGTTCAAATCCCTCTTGAATGCCAATTCTTAGATTTCATTTTTGAGGTAATTTTTTGTATCTTGTAGGCAACTTCATTACTTTTCTTTTTTGTTTTTTTCTCCTCTGTTTTTTTTTTTTTTTTCTTTGAGACAGAGTTTCACTCTTTTTGCCCAGGCTGGGGTGCAATGGCGCGATCTCGGCTCACCGCAACCTCTGCCTCCCGTGTTCAAGCGATTCTCCTGCCTCAGCCTCCCAAGTAGCTGGGATTACCGGCGCCTGCTACCATGCCTGGCTAATTTTTTTTTGTATTTTTAGTAGAGACGGGGTTTCACCATGTTGGCCAGGGTGGTCTCGATCTCTCAACCTTGTGATCAGCCCGCCTTGGCCTCCCAAAGTGCTGGGATTACAGGCGTGAGCCACCGTGCCTGGCAGTCCTCTGTGTGTTTTTAAATAGCCTGTCTTTGAGCTCACTGATTCTTTCTTCTGCTTGATCCATTCTTCTATGGAGAGCCTCTAATGAATTTTTCAGTTCAGCAAATGTATTTCTCAGTTCCAAGATTTCTGTTTGATTTTTTAAAAATATTTCAATCTGTTTATTAACTTTTTCTGATAAATTTCTGAATTGCTTTTTGTCTTATCTTAGAGATGACTGAATAGTTGTTTCCTTAAAACTATTTTGAATTCTTGGTCAGAGAGCTCACATATCGCCTACTGGTTGGGGTCAGGTTCCTTGCTTTGTTTGGTGAGATCATGGTTCCCTGTTTGCTGCATTTATTTATTTATTTATTTATTTGACAGTGTCTTGCTCTGTTGCCCAGGCTGGAGTGCAGTGGTGAGATCACAGCTCACTGCAGCCTTAATTTACCAGCTCAAGTTGTCCTCCCATCTCAGCCTCCTTGGTAGCTGGGACTACAGGCACATGCCACCACACCCAGCTAATGTTTTTATTTTTGTTTTTTTGTAGAGGCAAGTCTTGCTGTGCTGCCCAGCCTGGTTTCAAACTCCTAGGCTCAAGGGATCCTCCTGTTTTGGCCTCCCAGTGTTGGGATTACAGGCGTGATCCACTGTGCTTGGCCTGCTGTTTCTTGTGGATGCACACCTATGTCTTTGCATTTATGGATTAGTTATTTATTCTAGTCTTTGGCTTGTTTTGGTTTATATTGGATATCTTTACTTGGAGATTCTTCACTGCTAAGCCACTGCCCCTTTTTAGGCTCCAGGTGTTGCCTTAAGTCCAGGTTCACCTTGGCTCTAGTAAACCATCAAAGGGCTGCCGTTCCTAAAGTGAGGAGATCCCACAGGAGGTATCTCAGCAGAGGGGGAATGCTGGCTAAGGGTTCATGTGCTGGAAACCTGTGGGACAAACCTCCTACAGGGTGGTGTTACTACTGAACAGCCTCTCTCATGTGGCATCTCCTTTGGCTGAGTTATGGAGCACTATTTTCAGGGATGCAGATAATAATACTGCCTGCCCTCTTTGTTTCTCCCTGTCCTCAGAGATATTTCTTTAGGCACTTGTGATGCTTCTTATGGGTTAGGGCTGGGACAGATATTCTGCTAGAGAACCCAATATGGTGGGGAAGCTGGCTGTTCACCATAATCTCCCTTTTTCCAGTGTAGAAACAATGTTTGGGGAAATTTTCTGTGCCCTAAGTGCTGGGCAGAATTGGGGGAGGGGTGTTGTGAATGTGGAAGTCTCTTTGTCTTTTTTCATTTCTGAAAATTGTCTTTTTTCATTCCTGTGGCCCCAGGAACTGTCTTGTCTTCATATGTGAGTTCTGGGTTATTTCTGGTGATACTTTCAGCACTGTATATTTGTTTTGGGTTTTCTTTTTCTTTTATTTAAGAAAAATTCTTTTTCTTTTTTTTTCACATAGGGTCTTGCTGTGTTGCCCAGGCTGATCTCAAACTCCTGGGCTCAAGCGATCTTTTCTCCTTAGCCTCCTGATTCGGTGGGATTACAGGTGCAATGTTGTATGAATCTGTTTTTCATTTTCTTTGGAGGCAAGTGAAACACCACCTTTTTGGAGCCACAGTTATTATTTTTTAAATAACAGCTTTATTGAAATATAATTTACATACCATAAAGTTCACCCTTTTAAAGTGTAAATTTTAGTGGTTTTAGTGTATTAACAATGTGTATTACCACAATCTGATTATAGAACATTTTCCTCACCCCCAAGAGAAATCCCGTGTCTATTACCAATCACTGTCTATTTGCCACTACCCCTAGCCACTGGCAGCTGCTATCTTACAGCCACTTACATTGCTTGTTTGCTTATTTGCACCAACTGCCTTACTGACTCTATGGATTTGTCTATTCTGGACATTTCATATAAGTGAAATAATAAAATATGTGGTCTTTTGTAAAGTTCATCCATGTTCTAGCATTTACTAGTACTTTTTATGGCTTAATAATATTCCATTGTATGGATATATACTATATTTTGTTTAGCCATTGACAGTTGATGGACATTTGAGTTGTTTCCCTTTGTGGCCATTATGAATAATGCTGGTATGAACATTGATGTACAGGTTTTTGTGTGGACATGTTTTCAGTTTTCTTGAATACAGGCATATCTTGTTTTCTTGCTCTTTCCCTTATTGCACTTCAAGTATTATGATTTTTACAAATTGAAGTTTTGTGGCAACCCTTTGTTGAGCAAATCTGTCAGCACTATTTTTCCAGTTGCATGCGCTCACTTTGTGTCTCTGTGTCGCATTTTGGTAATTCTCAAAATATTTCAAACTTTTTTTATTATTATTTTTGAACAGAGTCTTGCTCTGTCACCCAGGCTGGAGTGCAGCAACACGATCTTGGCTCAGTGCAACCTCTGCCTCCTGGGTTCAAATGAGCACGCCTGGCTAATTTTCATATTTTTAGTAGAGACTGGATTTCACCATGTTGGCCAGGCTGGTCTTGAACTCCTGACCTCAAGTGATCTGCCTGCCTTGGCCTCCCAAAGTGCTGGGATTACAGGTGTGAGCCACCATGCCTGGCCCCTTTTAAAATTATTATTATATCTGTTATGATGATCAGTGATCTTTGTTACTATTGTAATGGTTGTGGAATGCCAATGAACTGCGCTCAGACCTCCCTATTCACTGAGACACAATGATATAGAAATTATGAATAGTGACAACCCTACAGTGTCTTTTAAGTGTTCAGAAAGGAAGAGTTACACATCTCTTTCTTTAAATCAAAAGCTAGAAATGATTAAGTTTAGTGAGGAGGGTGTGTCAAGATGGGCCAAAACCTAGGCCTATTGTGCTAGTTAGCTGTTGTAAATGCAAAGGGAAAATTCCAAAGGAAACTATTAATTAAAGTTCTGCTCCATTGAACACATGAATGATAAGGAAGCAAAATAGCCTTATTGCTTATATGGAGAAGGTTTGAGTGGTCTGGCTAGAAGATCAGACCAGCCACAACATTCCTTTAAGCCAAAGCCTAATCCAGAGCAGGACCCTAACTCTTCTCAATTCCGTGAAGGCTGGGAGAGGTGAGGAAGCTGCAAAATTAAAGTTTGAAGCCAGCAGAGGTTGGTTCATGAGGTATAAGAAAAGAAGTCATCTTTATAACCTATAAGTGCAAGGTAAAGCAGCAAGCGCTGAGTGATGTAGAAGCTTCGGCATGTTATCCAGAAGATCTAGCTGAGATAATTGATGAAGGTGGCTATGTGAAAGAACAGATTTTAAAGCAGATGAAACAGCCTTCTGTTGGAAGAAGATGCCATCTAGGCCTTTCATAACTAGAGAGGAGAGGTCAATGCCTGGCTTCAAAGCTTCAAAGGACAGGCTGACTCTTGTTAGGGGCTAATGCAGTTGGTAACTTTAAGTTGAAGCCCATGCCCATTTATCATGCCGAGAATCCTAGAGTCTTTAAGAATTATGCTAAACCTAGTCTGCCTGTGCTCTACAAGTGGAACAACAAAGCCCGGATGACAGCACCTATGTATACAGCACAGTTTACTAAATATTTCCAGCCCGCTGTTGAGACCTACTGCTGAGAAAAAAGATTTCCTTTCAAAATATTGCTGTTCATTGACAATGACCTGTGCTCTGATCAGGCAGGTGTACAAGGAGATTAATGTAGTTTTTATGCTTGCTAAAACATTCATTCTGTAGTCCATGAACCAAGAAATGCTTCCAACTTTTAAAGTCTTATTTAAGAAAGTTATTTCATAAGGCTATAGCTGCTATAGATAATGATTCCTCTGATTGATCTGGACAAAGTAAATTGAAAACCTTCTGGAAAGGCTTCACCATTCTAGATGCCATTAGGGACATTTGCAATGCATAGGAGGAGGTCAAAATATCAACATTACCAAGAGTATGGAAGAAGTTGATTTCATCCTTCACAAATTACTTTGAGGGGTTCAAGTCTTCAGTAGAGGAAGTAACTGCAGACTTGCACAATCTTTTTTTTTTTTTTTTTTAATTTTTTATTTTTAGACAAGGTCTCACTCTGTTGCCTGGGCTGGAGTGTAGTGATGCTCACCACAGCCTTGACCTTCTAGGCTCAGGTTATCCTCCCACCTCAGCCTTTTGGGTAGCTGGGACTACAGGCGTACGCCACTGCAACCAGCTAATTTTTTGTGTTTTCTGTAGAGCTGGTTTTGCCATGTTGCCCAAGCTAGTCTTTAACTCCTGGACCCAAGCGACTCACCTGTCTTGGCCTCCCAAGGTTCTGGGATTACAGATGTGAGCCACCATGCTCAGCCAAGTTCAATAATTTTATTTGATTTAAAATTTACCAAGACTACGGAGACAGCTTTGTTAACTTCTAGTACCATCGCTGAGAAAAAGTCAAATAGTAGTAGTATGATGCAGCAGCAGCAAAAGAACAAGGGTAATTCAGAACTAGATAAGTCATTGAATGATGAAGTGGTAATTGTTATTAGTTGGTATTTTCCTCTGTATAGTACTAAGTGTTTATTTCTGGGATTACTTTACATTTCTCAACTCTGCAAGTGTAATATTTGTATTAAGTAGTAATTTGTGTGGGCTTCAAAATTAGTATAGACTTGATGTGGGAAAATTTTGGGTCATGTTTGACAAAATACTTGCAACGTAATATCTGAAATTAGGTAGATAATTTCAGGTACAACAAAGGTGAAGTTGTGAAGACATGAGTTTTTTTATTCCACTGAAAGGAAACTGAAAATGTTGTTTAGAAGGGAGCAAATCTAAATTGTAAACATGTAAAATTCAACACAATATTTTGAGAAACAGTGACAATCAGTATTCTCAAAATTTAATATCAAGGAGAAAAATTAGTTTCTAAATTATTTGAAAGACAACTTCTCTTAAAATTAGCCTTTGGAATTTATTCTTGCTAATGGTCTTATGACAAGCCTTATGATCCCATCATGGATATTTATATAGGAGAGGAGATCATCATGTGATTTTTTTGTTTGTTTGAGCCAGTTCTTTTCACTTTGTGAAACTAGTGGAATCATAATTGATTATTCTTTCTAATTTTTAGGTAAAATTCCAGGCAAGCATGTTAACTAGGGAAGCCCCTGTTGGTACCATGGAAATAGCAGGAGACCAAAAATCAAGAGATCAGGTTCTGAAGCCCCACTCTGCCACTAAGATGTTATCAACTTATTTGGGCCTTGATTTTCTTTTCCATATAGCACATTCATTTGTATGTTCTCTCAAGTCCCATTTTTAATATTTTTTGATAGAGTATACAGAATAATTTTGGTTTTGGTAGGAATTAAGGTGTATATGAAGTATAATTTTTTTTTTTTTTTTGAGATGGAGTTTTGCTCTTGTTGCCTAGGCTGGAGTGCAGTGGCGCGATCTCAGCTTGCTGCAATCTCCACCTCCCGGGTTCAAGCGATTCTCCTGCCTCAGCCTCCCAAGTAGCTGAGATTACAGGCATGCACGACCATGCCCGGCTAATTTTGTATTTTTAGTAGAGACGGGGTTTCTGCATGTAGGTCAGGCTGGTCTTGAACTCCAGACCTCAGGTGATCCGCCTGCCTCAGCCTGCCAAAGTGCTGGGATTACAGGCATGAGCCACCATGCCCAGCCTGAAGTATAATTTTTAAATATATGTGCGTGTGCAAAAATGAGGAGCAAGTAGAGAGTTGATAAAAACTTTATGAACTCAGGTTGGAAAACAGTTTGTGTTAGATGTCTTATTGTTGTAACGTGTGCCAGTCTATAATATGAATCCTAGGAGAACAACCATGTACCCTGTAATGGAAAAAACTCCCGTGATCAAAGAAGGTGGTAGGGAAAAGGACACACAAAAGAAGAGTTCTAGTTGGGAGAGTTATGCTAACTGTTGTAAAATTGAAAAAGAGCTATGAAATGCTTGGCAACAAGTCTTGAGCTATGTATACTTTCTTTTGTTGTGATGACTGTTTTTGTGAAATTAAATGCTTCATTTATTCCACTTATAAATTATTAGCTGCATTCTAGGCCCTTGTGTTAGAATTGAGGACTAGAGTAGAGAACAAGATAAACTTGAATCCTTCCTTTTTGGAATTTAACTTTTAATAATAGATAGGGACAAAAGACATTTAAAAATTGTGATATATGCCGTGAAGAAAATAAACAGTAATGTGATAGAAAGTAATGGGAGAGATAGTGGTTGGGAATTGTAGCCTGAATGCTGGAAAGCAGCTAACTAGAAAAGACCAGGCAGATAAAAGGCAGATAAACACCTTGAGATGTAAAAAGGAACAGAAACAAGAGCCAGCTGAGAGAAGGAAAGAATAGCCTGAGATGGGTTTATAGAAGGACCACCATTTAGGATATTGACCATGGTAAGGTGTTGAGATTTTATTCCAAGTGCAGTGGAAAACTGTTGAGGGGTTTAAGCAGGGAAAATAACTTGGTGCAGTAAACATTCTTCAAATATCACTCTTTGTGGAAATGCATTAGAGGGAGGCAAGAATGGAAGTTTGCTATTAGTAGAATAGGAGAGAGATGATCATGGTTCAGTTTAGACAAGGGTGGTAGCATTCACTGGAGATGAAAAAAGTGAGCCGGGCGCAGTGGCTCACGCCTGTAATCCCAGCACTTTGGGAGGCCGAGACGGGTGGATCACGAGGTCAGGAGATCAAGACCATCCTGGCTAACACGGTGAAACCCCATCTCTACTAAAAATACAAAAAACTAGCCGGGCGTGGTGGTGGGCACCTGTAGTCTCAGCTACTCAGGAAATTGAGGCAGGAGAATGGCGTGAACCTGGGAGGCGGAACTTGGAGTGAGCCGAGATTGCGCCACTGCACTCCAGCCTGGGCGACAGAGTGAGACTCCATCTCAAAAGAAAAAATAAAAAAGTGGACAGAGTTCAGAGTTGATGCATATTTTGCAGAAAGGACTGACAGAATTTGCTAATAGGCTGTATATGGGGAGGTAAGGGAAATAGTGCCAAATGTAGATTTTTTTTTTAAGAAAACACCTAAAATTGGTCTTTTAAAACATTTATTCTCCCTGCCTTAAAACATGATAGTTAATACTAGTATTCTACATGGTAAATGTTTCCTTGACACTTTTATCATTTTTATTTATTTATTTTTTTAGGCTTATGCATCTGGATGTGACATTGTAATACTGGGAAGCGATTTTGAAAGATTACAGATAATCCCAGGAGCTAAACATGGAAATATTCAAGTGGGATGTGTAGACTGTTCAATGCAACAAGGCAAGGTTTGTAATCTTCTTCTAATATACAAATTTGTTTGGAATATGGTTTTTGTCAGGATAATCTCTGAAGTGTGTATTTCCTATTGAATTAGAGACTTGGCTTTGTTTCAAAGATAGTGTAGCTAGAAGAATTTTTGGCTGTCTAAGATGCATTCTATAGAGTGCCAGAAATTCTCTTCTTATATAATTTTAAATTATAGCATCATCTTCTCTGAGAAAGAAATACAATACTTACTGATATAGAATGAGTCTAAAGCTTACGTATTTAAAAGGTGATTGGACTGGGGGAAAGGAGTAACAATGAATCTTCAATATTTACAAATAAACTAAAGGAAATGATTTAGAATATTTTTTTTTTTTTGTCTGTGAACAGGTAGTTATCTCCTTGTAACTTCTATGTAACAAGGGCTGTGTAACTTTTTGTGGAAATGAAAAACTCTTTGAGAGTTTATAATATTCTAAGCCCATAAGAAAAGTGAAAAACTTTATCTGGACTTCTATTTGCATATGAAAAGTAGAAAGGTAACCTTGAAAGTAAAATAGCAACAACATAAACAAAAGTAACAAAGTATAAAATTCTTCTAGATCAGGTTAAATACAGTTCCTGTAGTACCAGAATGAGAAAGTCATACTACTAGGCAAGGCAGCATAATATATAGCTTAAAATAACTCCATATAGGCATAGGTGGTAAGGCCTATATATAGTTGTAGCTAGACTGGACTGAACTTCGCAAATACACTCATATGATTCCACTAGAACATTTTGTGTAAGGAATCAAAATGGTCATATTAAGAGTCCATGGACCCAATCATTTGTTTTTAAATCTAATCTTCATTTGAGGTAAACTTTCTAGGATTAAAAGTTGCCATCTGGGACTTAAAGATATTAATTATAAAACGAGTTTCTGTTTTCTGAATCTTTACATATTTGTTGGACTACTGTTCTTTTTGTTACATGGTATTCCTTCCCTTTAATATAGTTACAGGTGTCCTCTATCTTTTGTTGAGGCCTCTTATGACTTCTCGCTGTACAACAAAAATGATCTTTATTATGGAATGCTGGAAATCTTTGGGTTTTTTTTTTGTTTTTTGTTTGTTTTTGTTTGTTTGTTTTGTTTTTTGTTTTTCAGATGGAGTCTCGCTTTGTTGCCCAGGCTGGAGTGCAGTGGTGCAATCTCAGCTCACTGCAGCCTCTGGCTTCCGGGTTCAAGCAATTCTCCTGCCTCAGCCTCCCAAATAGCTGGAATTACAGGTGCTCGCCATCATACCCGGCTAATTTTTGTATTTTTAGTAGAAACGGGGTTTCATCATGTTGGTAAGTCTGGTTTCAATCTCCTGACCTAGCGATTTGCCCTCCTTGGCCTCCCAAAGTGCTGGGATTACGTGAGCCACTGCGCCCAGCCTATCCTTGAGATTTTTATTTTCATTCTCTTCATGTTTGTTTGATCTTCTAGCTCTTTTGTTCTGTAATCTTTCTTAACTGTATAAAAACTTGCTTAATACCATCTGGACTCACATGGAGCTGGTTAATGTTAAAAATATAATTTAATACTTTCCAATATGAGCTATCTTTTTGTGATAGACTATATGACAGTCCAGGTTAGAATGAAGAAATCATGGCCATGTGTGGTGGCTCATGCCTGTAATCCCAGAGCTTTAGGAGGGTCAAGGTGGGCAAATCGCTTGAGACCAGAAGTTTGAGACCAGCTTGGGGCAACCCTGTCTCTACAAAAATAAAAATAATAAGTAAATAGCCGGACATGGTAGTATGCTCCTGTAGTCCTAGCTACCCGGGAAGCTGAGGCGGGAGAATCACTTGAGCCCAGGAGTTCCAGGCTGCAGTCAGCTCTGGTGGCACCACTGCACTGCAGCCTGGGTGACAAAGCAAGACCCCATCTCTACAAAGAAAAACAAAAAGAGGAATTAAGAAGTCATTTGGTTTTATAATCATTTAATGAAGAAATATTTTCTTCATTTACAGATATCAGTATTATCATAGTGGTTCCTTAAAGTATCAGGAAGAAAATTGGCAGGTTCTGGTACCTGGGGACTTCTGACTGTTTACATTTAAGAAGGAAATGTTCTTTGGGAAGCCGAGGCAGGTGGATCATGAGGTCAGGAGTTCAAGACCATTCTGGCCAAAATAGAGAAACCCCGTCTCTACTACAAAATAAAAAAAAAAACATTAGCTGGGCGTGGTGGCGGGCGTCTGTAATCCCAGCTACTCAGGAGGCTGAGGCAGGAGAATCGCTTGAACCCGGGAGGCAGAGGTTGCAGTGAGCTGAGATCGTGCCACTGCATTTCAACCTGGGTAACAGTGTGAGACTCCGTCTCATAAAAAAAAAAAAAAAGAAGGAAATGTCATAGGCACCTGTATTTTTATTATTACTGTTTTTTTCTTTGTACTGTACTACCACCTAATTCATTTTTCTGAGAAAATTAATCCTCATTTATCCTTTTATTCATCAGCTTCAAAGTATTCTTAGCCCATTACCTTGGAAAAGTTCAAATTGTTCACCTTGGTGTGAGGCCTTTTACAACCTGGCTCAGATCTGCCTTTTTAGTCTCAGGTACACTATTGTGTTATAAGGAGCACTCTCTTCTTGGTGGGATGGTGGTCATTCACCTCTAAACATACATTGCCTCTTTTAATCTTTACATCTGTTTTCTTTTTTTTTTTTTTTTTTTTTTTTTTTGAGACGGAGTCTCACTTTGTCGCCCAGGCTGGAGTGCAGTGGCGTGAACTCGGCTCACTGCAAGCTCCGCCTCCCGGGTTCACGCCATTCTCCTGCCTCAGCCTCCCGAGTAGCTGGGACTACAGGCGCCTGCCATCGCCCGGCTAATTTTTTTTTGTATTTTTTAGTAAAGACGGGGTTTCACCGTGTTAGCCAGGATGGACTCGATCTCCTGACCTCATGATCCTCCCGCCTCGGCCTCCCAAAGTGCTGGGATTACAGGCGTGAGCCACCGCGGCCGGCCTTACACCTGTTTTCATACTATGCCCTATTTATAAAGTTGAATACTCACTGCTTTTTGAAATCCCACCCATAATTAAAGGCCCAAACTAAACACTTCCTCCAGATCAATGCAGCACAAGTGATATCTATATCCTAAGAATTCAGAAGCCTTAAAATATCCATTCACAGTTTTTTCTCCATGTTTGTTGTGTCCTCATTTCTTACCTTCTCTTTACTACATCATATGTTTTTTTTTCTATCCCTGATTCATTCATTTAATCTCTCTCTCTGTTTGATTTCCAATATTTTGATGTTCTTTATATGAGACTCACTCAAGTTATAGTAGTAGTTACCTTATAAAACAGAGCCAGGAAAGGTTATGATCCATCAATTTAAAGAGTAAATTCAAAGGATAAAATAGAATATGTTTTAAAATGTACTCAGGGAGTTTCCAGAGGAATAGACCTAAGTTATATTTTTGAAAAGTTAATGTACACTGACAGAATTGTCAATTTAGAGGATGGATGACGACAATTAACATTTACTGTGCATATTGTATGTCACTTATTATATGTTAGGTGTTTTACAAATGTTATTTCAACCCTCAATGCTGTTAGGAAGGTAGTGTTGTACATATTATGAACACTGTAATGGAAACTAACGTTTGGAGAGATTAAGTTGCTAGTTAACGTAGTAAGTTGCAGTTCTAGGATTCTAATGCAGATGTGATAGTCTTCAAAACTGACATTCTTAAGCATCAGTGAATGAAATTGTGTGTATTGGCATATTTAAAGTTATAGTATTCATTTCTTTGCTTTTTTTGATTCATAAGTAAGTTAACATATCCCTAATAAATTCTTTTTTTCTTTTTAAAAGATTGCAGCGTCTTATGGAAATGTTATCTCCATTTTTGAACCAGTTAACCTACCAAAACAAAAGAAAAATTTGGTCAGTAATTTATGATTTCTTCTTTTAGGAATTGAAATGTTTTAAGTATTGAAAGAGTGTAAAATCAGAGTGATCATTGAGTAAATCGGTATTACTTATATACTGTAATTGAACCTACATGTTAAATTCCATTTTGATGTTAAAAATATATTTAAATTTTTCATTGGAATAGAACTAAAATAAATTGTGCCAATGAATTGTTGAAATGCTTTATTATTTTATTTCTGACATTTTTAATTTTATAATATTTCAAGAGTCAGTAACCTAAAGTTTGGCACTACTTTATTGCTAGTATCAAATACCGTTGTCCAGCCATATGTGGTACTCTTTCCTTTGTTTTATAATCTACCTTTATACAGGTTTTCTGCCTCTTCAGGGCTTAACTTTCTTGCATTATTTAGATCATGTAATACAGTCGTTAACAGGTCAATGAATGTTTTTCTTTATAAGCAAGCTGTACTCAGAAATAGTTCTGAAAACTGGTTACCCAATAATTTATAAATATTCGAATCATGTTAGCAGATTTTATAGGTTCTTTAATGCTTGTGCCTGTAATCCTCTCTATTTGGGAGGCTGAGGCAGGAGGATTGCATAAGGCCAGGAGTTTGAAACCAGCCTGGGCAAGATTTTAAAAAAAGTTTAGCCAGGCATGGTGGCACATGCCTATAGTCTCACCTGCTCAGGAGGCTGAGATGGGAGGATCGTTTGAGCCCAAAAATTTGAGGTTGTGGTGAGCAATGATGGCACCACTGCATTCCAGCCAGGGTGACACAGTGAGACCCTGTCTCTAAAAATAAAAATAAAAGCAAACCGTCTGAAAGAAGATAAGTGTAGTGTCATTGAAAGAGCAGTGTAAGGGAGCTAAATGATGAGAAATTATGAACACAAGGAAACAACAGACACTGAGGTCTACTTGAGGGTGGAGTGTGGCAGAAGGGAGGGGAGCAGAAAAGATAACTATTGGGTACTGGGCTTAATACCTGGGTGATGAAATAATTTGTACAAGAAAATCCCTTGACACGAATTTACCTATGTAACAAATCTTCACAGGTACTCCCAAACCTAAAATTAAAAGATTTTTTTTTTTTTTAAAAAAAAAGAAAGAGCAGTGTATTGGGAGTCATAGGACTGGTTTCTATTTCTGGGTCTATCTAGCTAGTTGGTCTTAGGTAAGTCAGCCTTAAGAAATTCTTTGCTTAACTCTCAAATTGATTACTATCTATTCAGTCTTGATGGGAATATTATTAGGCTAACATGTCAAAGATGGTTTAGGAATGTATTAATTATAAAGGACTAAACTGTTTTAATAGCAGACATACCTTTATATATCTTTTGATAGTTTTCATGTCATCTTCACTTAGCTCATTAGTATTTTACAAATTACTTCAAACCTAGTTTGTGCAGCCATTATTTCTTCTTTTTATGAATAAGGCAGTAGAGTAGGCTCAAAGAATATAGTGACTTGACAAGTGAAGCAGCTGTTAAGCCACAGAACTAAGAGTAAAACCATCTGTATTGATTCCTAGGTGTGAGTGTTCTTTCCTTACCTTGTGTTAATGAAAACTATTTTCTGAGTTAATTGATATTTATCTTTAAATTTCATAGAAATAGTGTTCACACTTCTGATTTCTATTTGTTTTTATAGATTGCCTAGTGAATCCACTATTTGAGCCTCTTAAAGCCTTAAGAATTAGTAATTGGCAGTACTAAAAAGAATTTTTTAAGGCGATTACCCCACCCAGCCCAGAACAGTGTATTTCAGTACTCAATAAATATTTATTAAATAAAATAAGTAGCTTTTGAAAATCAGTATGTTATGTTAAAATGCCTTTATTGGGAAGGATAGAATAGAGAATTTCAATGTTTGCCCATTTTCTCCTTTCCTAATTATAATTGATGAATGTAATGTATAAAACTCAAAAAGAGGCTGGTTTATTGGCTTATCAGCACTGACTTTGCAGAAAGGACAATAAAAAACTTGATGAAGAAGGGCAAAAGTGGATCAAATGGTGAAGTTATAGACTTGAAAGATGTATAAAATCTATGATTCTAAAATATAGTTTCAGAATGTTTAGATCCTTGTAAAAATATATTCTTTCCTTTTCTTTGTATATTATGGAGTATTCTTGTGAGGTGGTGGTCTTCATGAGAGTTGCACATCACAACTACCATTGGATACATGTGCCCAAATCCTGCTCTGGGAATTTCTACATCTGTAGCTGTGGGATTGTGTCTATGCACTTATATGTCTTGTTCTAGAGAGGGTTCTGGTATGTACTGTGATTGAAAGACATTCCTGCAAGGCAGTGTTTCATGAAAGCATATTCTGTAGGTCACCTATGTCAAAATCACCTGGGGTGTTAAAGTACAGGTTTCTGTGCCCCATCCTGAAGCTTTTGAACCTGAATTTTTGGGCACAGGTCTCGGAAATTTGAATTTTTAGTAACATCTCAGGCTATTATTTGTTGTACCAAAGTTTGAGAGCCACCACATTAAGAGAGTATGAATCTCAATCTGTAATTGGGCTGTGAACTCAACTTAGTGTAGGCCACAACCCGAATTTAAAAAGAGAATGAAATAGAGAAAATATCAGAGTATGTCACATGTAATAAGGACAAACATAGGTTATATTTATTTGTATGTGTGTGTGTTCTGGGTCAGCATACATTGTGTATTTCTTACTGATTTGCAGGCAGAAAAAAAGGGAAAAATTTCGCTTTAAGAAGTTGTAAGGCCATAAATTATATAGTAGTATCAAAATGTTACATCTTTTATTCTGAATTTTCCCACATACTATTATGATCTCAGATGGGGACAAAACAGTAAAAGAGAAGGAAATGTCAAATAGTAAAGCCACAGACACATTTAAAATTAACTTTTTAACTGTAATAATAAAGTAATAATTAAATCTGAGGCTATTAAGACTGTTATCCAAGGTAGCGTATGGTTATTGATTGTTTATACTAAAGATAGCATTTTGACCACCAGTTATGGATATTCTCTCACATACCTTCTTTATCATGTGTTCTCTATTTTTGTTGACTGAACTGAACATTTTGTTATCTTTAAAATTGACTGCCTGTGTTATTGTAAGAATAACAAGCATAAACGTACACATTTGACAGAGAAAATATGCCAATCATAATGGGCTAAATGACTTTTCTTAATTTTAGGAATTATATAGTCAGTGGCAGAAAAGTGGCCAATTTTTTCTGGAATCAATAGCACACAATATAACCTGGGATCCCACAGGTAAGAAAATAAGCAGGATTAACTAAAATGAAATATCACTTGCCTAGTTGTTCTTATTTTTATTACTCTTATGTATTTCACTTCTGCTGGGTGTGAGGTTGTGGGGAATACCAAAGAAGTAAAATGGATTATGCCCTTTTAGAGTTTATACTGAAATGAAGACAGATATGCACTGTAAGAAATGAGAGAATGTTCTAAGTGCCATAATAGGATACCCATTGTTTTTGGAAAGAGATATTTCTCTGGAGAATTAACGTTTCATTGAAAAGGAGCCTTTGGACCTGAGAGTAAACAGACTTTAGCAATGAGAGTTGGGTAGATGGAACAGGAAAAAAGTGAAATTTAAGAAAATATATGCCAGGCGTGGTGGCTCACGCCTGTATTCCCAGCACTTTGGGAGGCTGAGGTGGGCAGATCACCTGAGGTTGGGAGTTCAAGACCCGCCTGACCAACATGGAGAAACCCTGTCTCTACTAAAAATACAAAAAATTAGCTGGGCATAGTGGCGCATGCCTGTAATCCCAGCTACTTGGGAGGCTGAGGCTAGAGAATCGTTTGAACCTGGAAGGTGGAGGTTGCAGTGAGCTGAGCTCATGCCATTGCACTTCAGCCTGGGCAACAAGAGTGAAACTGTCTCAAAAAAAAAAAAAAAAGGAAGAAAATATAATGAATATATGTATCAGTTATCTATTTCTGCATTAGAAAAGCATCCTCCAAAATGATGGATGGCTTAAAACATCCATCATTTTATTGCTTATGATTCTTTTGGTCAGGAAGACTCTGTGGGAATGGCTTGTCTATTGTTCCATGTGGTAGTGACTGAAGCAGTTTATCTGCAGCTAAAAGATCCAAGAAAGGCTTTGTTCACATATCTGGGCCTTGCTGCTTGCTATCTACTGGAATGCCTTTGTTCTCCTCCACATGGCCTCTTCTGTGGCCCTCTGTAGCAGGGCAGCCTGGATTTTACATGGTGGCTGCATTCTGAGAGTGAAAGTAGAAGCTGCAAGGAAGTCCCAGAATGTTATTGCTGCCACATTATATGGTCACAGGTCCAGCTAATATTAAGGGTTGGGAGACATAGACTCCCCCTCTTGATGAAAGATATGGCAAAGTCATATTACATGGAGGCATCAACACAGAGAGACATAATTTATTGGGAGCCATTTTTACCATTCTACGAAAGTGAGGGAAGGCACAGAGAGAGAAAGCATAAGATACATTATAATAAGGATTAGTATTTCACTGGGCTGAGTCTCAGTGGTGGTAAGGAGATAAGACCTTACCATGTTATAGGAGACCTTTAAAGTCATGCTAAAAATTTGAATTTAATTCTTTATGGTTGTCTAAAAACTATAGGTTTTCAAAAGAGGCTAGTCATACAAGATTTATGGTTTTGCGAGATTTGTCTGCTAGCAGTGAGTTAGAAGGGTCAGTGGCAAATGGAACAGGAGAAGGAGTGACCTTTGGAGAGGTTGTATTCTCATTAGTCTGGATGAGAAATAAGAACTTATTTCAATGCCTTTTCCATAGTAGGTGTTCAATTAATATTAAATGAATTAATGAATAGTGAAAGGTATACATGGATATGAAATGTGTTTAGGCAGTAGAATTGACATTACTTAACAACTGGATTTGAAATTACTTTGAGAGTATCTATGACCACACAAAGAGTAATATGTAGGAGTTAGAGGTAGTGGAACATAAGGTATTAATTGGATATGTGGACCTTGAGAAGCTTGTATATCATAAAGCAATATATAGACATTTGAATCTAGAACATAAAAAGTTATCTTTGGGGCTGGGCACGGTGGTTCAAACCTGTAATATCAGCACTTTAGGAGGCTGAGTGGGGAGAATTGCTTGAGCCCAGGAGTTTGAGACCAGCCTGGGCAACATAGGGAGACTCCATCTCTACAAAAAAATTTTTGAAAAGTTAGTCAGGCTTGGTGGCTGGCACCTGAGGTCTCAGCTATTCAGGAGGCTGAGGTGGGAGGCTTGTTTGAGCCCAGGAGGTTGAGGCTGCAGTGAGCCATGATTGTGCTACTGCTTTCTAGCCTGGGTGACAGAGCAAGAACTTGTCTCAGAAAAAAAAAAAGAAAAGTTATCTTTGAGACATAGAAGTCATCAGAGAGAGATATAAAACTATTGGTAAACTGATTAATGCCTTTCTTTTGTGTCCAAATTTAATATTTTATGTTGCCTAATTCATAAGATTTTCTGTTTTAGACTTTTTATGCTTTTTTCCTGCTTTACTATCCATAATATCCTGCTTTAATATCTGTAATTTAATATCTGTAATATCTAATTCTTAGAGTTTGAAATCAGTATACCATATTATATCTTACCTACTTTTGTTCCATTCCATACCTGGGATTAAGTTTATATTCTGTATTAAATTCTTAATCTTTTATGGGATATCTTAATGTTATCTTCAGTTTATATTAAGCAAAAGAAAAGTTGTATCTGTTGGTAAGTTCAAAAGTGGAATAATCAACATATTTAAATGGAATGTTTCATTACTTCTTGTGCTTTTTTTTGGCCCCTGTCTATGAAACCTTCTGTCTAGTTGCTCTACTATTTATTGAGCTTCTGCTTAGTGCCTGGCCTGTGCTAGAGACTTTGTGCATATTATATAGCTAATCCTTACAACAACTGTATTTAAACCTCAAATTTTATAGATGAGAAAATTGAAGTTCAGAAATTACCCAACTAGATCAAATTCACATGGCTAATTAAGCATCTTACTTGGGATTTAGACACAGGGATTTCTGATCTAAAGTCTATGCCAGAGATCCACTTTCCTTTTGAAACAAGAAAACGAGGGCGAAGCATGCTGGCCCATACCTGTAATCCCAGCAGTTTGGGAGGCTGAGTTGGGAGGATCGCTTGAGCCCAGGAGTTTGAGACCAGCCTGGGCAACATAGCAAGACCCTGTCTCTTCAAAAAATTTAAAAAAGTGATTGTTCTAGAAATACACAAATCTATAGTCTTAAATTGCCAAGGTGAATGCCATCTTTATTGTCAGCTTTTTTGCCAAAATTGCTTGTCTTTTGTATGGATGATAGCACGGCCTTCTACTTAATTCCCAAGTCATAGAGTTGGAATCTGTCCTTTAACCCTCTTGTTTTTTCTCTGTATTTATTTGGTGTCAAATCTTGACAATTCTTTTTTTCATTTTTTCTTGAGACAGGGTCTTGCTCTGTTGCCCAGGCTAGACTGCAGTAGCACAATCATAGCTCACTGCAGCCTTGACTCCCCAGGCTTGAGTGATCCTTTCACCTCAGCCTCCCTAGTGTCTGGTACTACAAGTGCGTGTCTAACTAATTTTTGTAATTTTTTTCTGTAGAGGCAGGGTTTCACTATGTTGCCCAGACAGGTCTTGAACTCCTGGGCTCAAGCAGTCCTCCCACCTTGGCCTCCCAAAGTGGTGGGATTACAGGTGTGAGCCACTGCACCCAGCCTTGACAATACTTTTTGAAATGGCTTTCAAATGCTTGCTTTTTAAATATTTGGTTGAGATCCTCATTATTTACCATCTGAATTTTTTTTCCTTTTTTTTTGAGGTGGTGTTTCGCTCTTGTTGCTCAGGCTGGAGTGCAATGGTGTGATCTCAACTCACTGCAACCTCTGCCTCCCGGGTTCAAGTGATTCTCCTGCCTCAGCCTCCTGAGTAGCTGGGTTTACAGGCATGCTCCACCATGCCCGGCTAATTTTGTATTTTTAGTAGAGATGGGGTTTCTCCATGTTGGTCAGGTTAATCTTGGACTCCCGACCTCAGGTGATCCACCCGCCTTGGCCTCCCAAAGTGCTGGGATTGCAGGTGTGAGCCACCGTGCCTGGCCTACCATCTGAATTTCTATAGTTAATTAACCAGGTTTAATAGTTTAATAGTTGGTTAACCACACACTTATGGTTTCCCTGATGTTGTCTGTCTCTGGAGTTGTTTTCTAAAAAGTATTTTTAACCTTCTTTGTATACTAGAGTCTTTGAAATTTCGATGTAAGTTACATATTATCTTTCTGGAAAAATGCACATATTGTATGTGTGATTTTTGTATGTTATCTCAATAGAGGGAGACTCACAGGCCTCTCCATCTGTTGACTGCCCCTCTTCCAGTTAAGCCCTCTTGTTCTGAAATACAGATCCAATTTTGTAACAACTCCCCCACAATCCCCCACTGCCACTTGAAAATCTTTTACTCCCAACTACCTATAACAAAGTCCAAACGCTGTGAACTTGAAAAACTCTTCACAGTCTCACCTTGGCATTTTTTCCGTAGTAATTTTTTTTCTAGCCTATCTGTGTACGTTATTCGTTAACCTATACCAGATTAAGAGGCATTCTTGGGAAAATACATAAATTTATATGTCTTCATGCCTTTGTTCATGTTAGGTTTCCTTTCTGAAATGCCTGTCTCTTCTGCTTATTCATCCATTAAGGACCAGGTTTCATTTCCTCACTTTTCCTGGCACTTTTACTACAGGTACACATTAATGTCTCCTTCCTGTGGGCTTCCATAAAGCTTTGCATGCATTTCTATCATGTATGTAACACTTCCACATGGTATCATATTTCCATGTCTTTCTGCTGAAATATGAACTCATGAAAAACGACAATGTTTTGTTTGTCATTGTATTTCCAATGTCTAGCACAGTGCCCGGGACAAAGAAGATGCTCATTAAATACTTGTTAAGTGAGAGATTATAAGATTTCTTCCTTTCTATCTCAAGCTATTTTAACGAAATTAAAATACAGCCTTCTCCTCCGTTCTTCAAAATTTTTTTTGATATTTGACTTTTTTTTAGAAGTTGTTTTATATGAAATTCTTGAGCATGTAAATTAAGTCACTATTAAATACCTAAATAATAAATGAGGAATAATATTTTTTTTAGGCAGTCGTCTTTTAACTGGTTCCAGCTATTTGCAACTCTGGTCCAATACTAACTTGGAGAAGCCAACTGAAGATGAAAATTTAAATAAAACAGATCTTAACTTTGGAGATTGGAAATGCATTTGGCATTGCAAGTAAGCAATTAATCAGGGGAGTAAACTGATAAACCTGTTGTTCTATGTGGTTTTATTATAAATGTATTTTAGTTGTGTAAAACCACACTGACATAAAAAGTATTGATTTTTAGTCTATGATATGCTTTTTCTTATACACAGATAATTCTCTATTTCCCGTGTTCTACAAATACATTTTTTAAAAATGTCAATTAAAATAGGAAGAAACAAATGTGTAAGGCTTACATGAAGACCATTAAATACAAACTTGCCAAATTATATGAAAAGATAGATGACTTTCATGCTTTTGAATGGAAGACTTCCTATTCTGAAGAAATCTATTTTTCCCACATAATCTATATATTGAACATAATCCTTGCCAAAATCTGAGTGGAATTTCTATTAAGCATAGTTCTAAACTCTACTTAAAAGGACAAATATGGGAAAGTCAGAGAAATTCTGAAAGAAAAGAAGAATGAAGATTTGCAGTATAGTAAAATGAATTCTAATGCCACAGATGATCAAGCATTTTGTTATTGATGTAGGAACAGACAGATTAGGATCCAGGATTAGACTCTGGAGTGCAATGATGTGAGGCTTACTGCAACCTCCACCTCCCTGGTTCAAGCAATTCTCCTGCCTCAGCCTCCTGAGGCACTGGGATTACAGGCACGCGCCACCACATCTGGCTAATTTTTGTATTTTTAGTAGAGACGGGGTTTCACCATGTTGGCCAGGCTGGTCTTGAACTCCTGACCTCAGGTGATCTGCCCGCCTCAGCCTCCCAAAGTGCTGGCATTACAGGTGTGAGCCACCGTGCTCAGCCTTAAGATAGTCTTTTATAGCAGGGAAAACTAGCTAGCTCTGTAGACGGGAAATTAAATTAGAGTCTTTCATACCTGATACCAAAACAAATGTGAGATGGAAAAAATTTCTATAAAATGAAACAAAAATATTAGAGGAAAATACAGGTGAAATTTTATATTTTAGAGCTACATTGTCCAGTATGGTAGCCACTAATTACATGTTATTATTGAGCACTTGAAATGCAACTAGTCCAAATTGAGATGTGCTGGACTTCAAAAATTTAGTATTAAAAATAGTGTAAAATATCTCTAACATTTTAAAAAATATGTTGAAATGATGTTTTTATATATTAGGTTAAATAAAAAATATTAATTTTGCCTGTTTTAACTTTTTTTAAAAATGTGGCTGATAGGAAATTTAAAATTACATATTTGGCTAACATTTGTCATTTATGTTATATTGCTGTTCGACAAGAAATGCTGCTTTAGAGTTAGGGAAAGACTAAGAATGACACCCAAACTGGAAATGGATAGGATAGGAAAAATTAATAGTTCTAACCGTATCAATAAAACATTTCTATAAAGCAAATTGTCCATAAGGGAAGAAACACAAACATGAGGAGAAATATGTGCAGTTTTGGGCAAATGCGTTTTTAAAAGTAGGCCTTAAATTAGTTAGAAAAGAACAGGTATAACAATAGTAAGCAACATTGGGCAATGGAGAGAAAATTTTAACAAGATATAGCACATATTAAAAATAAGTGCAATAAGAGGTGATCTCACTTGAAATCAAGAATGTGAAATGTTCAGAAAAAGGATGAATGTTATCTAATAGTGTTTAGAGAAATAGGTGCTCTTGTATACTGTCAATAAAGCAGTACAGTTGATATTATCTTTATTTTTTTTTTTTGAGACGAAGTCTCGCTCTGTCGCCCAGCCTGGAATGCAGTGGTGTGATCTCAGCTCACTGCAAGCTCCGCCTCCCGGGTTCATACCATTCTCCTGCCTCGGCCTCCCAAGTAGTTGGGACTACAGGCGCTCTACCACCATGCCCGGCTAATTTTTTGTGTTTTTAGTGGAAACGAGGTTTCACCATGTTAGCCATGATGGTCTCAATCTCCTGACCTCGTGATCTGCCTGCCTCAGCCTCCCCAAGTGCTGGGATTACAGGCATGAGCCACCGTGCCCGGCCTGATAATATCTTTCTAGAGCACATTTTGGAAGTATGATTCAACAGGCTTAATTTTTTTCATACCCTTTAAATAAGATTGCCAGGTTTCATTCCTTCATTCAACAAATATTTGTTGAATGGTTCCAGTCAGCTTTAAAGATGCTTAGAATATTGCTATGAACAGATAGGGGTAGATAGAAAATAAACCAGTAAACTGGTGTAACAGGATTTAAGTGAAACTGACTAGGTTTATATGAAGTGGTGATAGCATAAATATCACATACCAAAGTAAGGCAGACGTCCCATATGTAGAATTTACAGAGGAGATTTCAAAGGAGCTCGTTCCATGTATTTTGCACCCCTCAGATAGGTAATGGGTTAACATGTAGAAAGGGAACAGAATTTTGCATAAATAATTCTTTAGAAAGAGCTGTAGGCTGGGCTCGGTGGCTCACGCCTGTAATCTGAACACTTTGGGAGGCCGAGGTGGGTGGATCACCTGAGGTCGGCAATTCAAGACCAGCCTGGCCACCATGGCGAAACCCCGTCTCTACTAAAAATACAAAAATTAGCCAGGCGTGGTGGTGCATGCCTGTAATCCCAGCTACTTGGGAGGCTGAGGCATGAGAATAGCTTGAACCCGGTGGTGGAGGTTACAATGAGCCGAGATCACACCACTGCACTCCAGCCTGGGCAATAGAGTGAGACTCCATCTCAGTAAAAAAAAGAAAAAAATAATAATAGTATTTTGTCTTAAGGATATCCTTAGGATTAACCAGATGTTCTAAAAATGTGTGTACAGGCATGTTCACTTCTCTTTTTTGTTCTTGTTGCAGCAAAAATTAGAAAACAGCAGTGAAAAATTATTTGAAATCATTGTATGTATATATATGTAAACATATACAGTGGAATATAAGCCAGTAAAGTAATAATGTAGATCTGTACACCTGCACACATATACACATCTTTTGCATCTATATGCAAAGATGTTCATGACATATTTTTGTTGTTGTTGTTGTTCGAGACGGAGTCTTGCTCTGTCACCCAGGCTGAGTATGGTGGCGTGATCTTGGCTCACTGCAACCTCTACCTCCTGGGTTCAAGCAATTCTCCTGCCTCAGCCTTCCAAGTAGCTGGGATTACGGGGGCATGCCACCACGCCTGGCTAATTTTTTGTATTTTTAGCAGAGATGGGGTTTCATCATGTTGGCCAGGCTGGTCTCGAACTCCTGACCTTGTGGTCTGCCCACTTCAGGCTCCCAAGGTGCTGGGATTACAGGCGTGAGCCACTGTGCCCAGCCCATGACATATTTTTTTAGTGGGTGATAAGTGTGACTTCAGTTTCTAGCCCTACTTTTCCCACCTTTTCCTGCAGAAAGTAGAGAGAGTGGAGAGAAGGATTTGGAAGTTTATGTATTAAAATGTTAACATTGGCTTTGTCTGAGGAAAGGATGTGGTGGTACTGGTGAAAAATGTAAATGATTTCATTTGGTTTTTATCTACCTGTATCAACTTTTCTGTAATGTATTATGCTTAAAATCAGAAAAAAAAGTTATTTGTATCTGAAATGAAATGTGACAGAATTCCTCTTTGGATATCTTTATAAATAAATTTAGAATTGACCTATCTAATCATGCATTTGAGCAAAGAAAAGGAAAGCAGTGATAGTGGTGAGTGTCTTGAGATCAGTATATATGAGTAGCTGTAAGGGAAGGCAATGAAGAGAAATGAACCAAAGTTCCTTTGAGAAGAAAAGGCAAGTATCTAACAAGTATATAGGTGAAGCTGGTAGGCTGAATTCCTAATTGTTGCAAGTCCCCTGTTAACCCACACATAATCTTTAATTAGGTAAGTATTACCCTAAGGCAAACTTATTATATATTATCCATGAAAATGTATGTTGGCATATAGGGATCCATGGTTCTGGAAACTAGATTTTCAGATTTAAAAAATGAAACCATTCTCTCTCATTCTAAGGGAATGAAAGTTACAACTTTTGTTTTAGGCTTTAAAGATTTTGACAAGCCATTCCTTCCATGAGTCTATGGGTGTATGTTTTTATATTTAAAATTTATCTTACTAACTAGTTCATTTTTCAGGTACACAAAGATGTGGGTGTGAAACTTATAACATTTTCTGTCTTTTGAACCAATTGCTGATTTATAATTTTGAGAATATTGAACTTTTTCTTTTTAGTTTTCATTGCAAATTATTCCTTATCTGTTTAATTTACAGAACTGCTTCCCAAGTTCATTTAATGAAATTTTCACCAGATGGAGAATTTTTTGCCACTGCTGGGAAGGTAAATTGTGAAAATGCTATTGCCAAATTATGTGTTTATAGTTTACTTTGAAACTTTAAAAACATCAACTGGCTTCATTCTTTTATTTATTTAACTTGAAAATAATAGTTTCCATTAAAAATTGTTTTTTTTGTTTGTTTGTTTTGTGATGGAGACTCACTCTGTCATCCAGACTGGAGTGCAGTGGCACGATCTCGGCTCACTGCAGCCTCTGCCTCCCAGGTTAAAGCGATTCTCCTGCCTCAGCCTCTCAAGTAGCTGGGACTATAGCCCCACACCACTATGCCCGTCTAATTTTTGTATTTTTTAATAGAGACGGGATTTCACCATATTGGCCAGGCTGGTCTTGAACCCCTGACCTTGTGATCCGCCCACCTCGGCCTCCCAAAGTGCTGAGATTATAGGCGTGAGCCACCATGCCCGGCCATTAAAAATTTTAAATAGCAAAAATTGACTCCATTATTGTGGTGTTAAAAGACTGTGTGATATAATTGAAATTACATAGACTTAGGGGCAGATCTGGATATAAATCTGCCATTTACCAGCTTTATCACCTTGGGCAAGTTAATCTTATTGAGCCTTTCTTTTCTCATGTGTAATATGAGGATAAAAACACCTACCTCATAGGTCATTAATCGTAGGATTAATTTAGACAATATATGCAGTATAGAGTGACCGGCACAGTGCCTTTCATGTAGTATACAATCAATAAAGCATAGCTTCAATTTATATTACCTTTTAGCTGATGTGTATTAGGCTGTTTTTAATATATAAGACTTCATAGGCTTTCTAGAAAGATACTAGTAACCATTTCTTTAGTGTGTATACTTTATTACCTGTCTATTTTAAAGCAATGTATTTCTTTGAAGTTATTTTTATTCATTGGTTCATAGAGCATTTCACGAGCTGCTAATAAGTCAAATTATTGTTCTCATGGCTCAAAGCATTCTGCAAACTAAGAGTGTAAGTTACTCTAAAACCACAGTAAGGTTTTTGTTTTTTAGGAGAGAAGTTGAGCTGTTTATTCTGATTGACTTTACAGGTGGGAACTCAGTTATAGCTTAAAAGCAGTACCTGGTACATTCTAGTCCCCTTTGCTTTTCCTTTATTTCCCAAATTATGACTATAAATTTGATTGTACAAAGAATATTTTATATAGTATTTATATATTAACTCATTTTTTTCACCATCAACATTTTCTTTGAAAAGTCACATGAAAATTCATGAAAAGTATCTCTTTTTTTCAATAATTAGCAGTCTTCATAAGTCTGCTAGTGGTGTTGATTACTTATTTAATATTTGGCTTACTGGAAAAGACGTCCTTAATTTTATCTTTCAGTGTTTCCTGAATGACTCCATTCCCCTTACTCTAGTAATTAGCAAGCATTTTTCTTGAACACAGAATACACACATTCACACACTTCAGTTTTTAAAGCACAGTTAGGCAATGCTAATAGAAAAGTGCCAGAATCAGAATTTTCTTAATTCCTCTGTGCTCAACGTCTCTTCCCATCCCCAAGTTCTTGCCATTGGGGAGAAAATTCTTACTTTTGCTATTTGATTTAATCTTTAATTCTGATCTCCATGATTTTCTGTTTTGTTTTTTTTTTCCTTAGGATGACTGTCTTTTGAAGGTTTGGTATAATGTAGAAAACTGGCGGACAGCTGTTACTTCTCCAGATGGAAGTTCAGAAAAACAATCCCAAGGAGAAATTGACTTTTCTTTTGTGTATCTGGCCCATCCTCGAGCAGTAAATGGATTTTCCTGGCGTAAAACAAGCAAATATATGCCTAGGTCAGTGGATTGGTCATTTCCCTCCACATATTAAGGGAGCATCATCTTTGTTACTTTGATTGCTTCTCTCACTTTTGAGAGTCCATAGTTACAGGACTTCTGAGCCTATGAAGATTAGAGTAATATTAAATCGTCTCTGGCCTGCACATCTCTGGCTGTGGCTCAACTATGTTTGATGCTTAGGATAAGAGCCGTATTAAAGGAGTTTAAGCTGGGATAGTTTACTCCATATCAGATGTCTTTAAGTCACAGAGTTGTACATATTTTCTTTTTCTTTGTGTTTTGTGTCTAATTCTGTCATCTATTTTCTCCAGATTGTTGTTTGTTTATATTTTTACATAAATACTCTGTCGTCTTGTACCTTCTAGTATGTCTTCCCTGGTTTTCTTCTTTTAAAAAATAGCTTTATTAAGAGGATATATCATGAGTTCTTGTATGTTTATTTGACTACACCCAGCATATGTGAGGAAAAGAGAGAGTAGGTTAATACCCTACCTTATTCTTCTTTGAAACAGCTATAAGTTTAACCACAAAAGCACACAGTGACACACACATACATATCCTCAGTATCTTCTTTTTTTTTTCTGTAGTTCTGGAAAGAGTTAATGTAATACTGAATTTTAGTAGGTTATAGAGACCTATTACTTAAATACAGGTATAAATTCCCTATTTTTGTTTGTTTTTTATGTGTTTTTGTTTTGTTTAGTTTTGAGACAGGGTCTTGCTTTGTCACCCAGACTGGAGTGCGGTGCCCCAGTCATGGCTCACTGCAACCTCTACCTCCTGGGCTCAAGTGATCCTCCCGCCTCAGCGTCTCAAATAGCGGGGACTACAGGTGTGTGCCACCATGCTGGGCTAATATATTTTTTTCTTTTCGGATTTTTTGTAGAGATGGGGTTTTGCCATGTTGCCCAGGCTTGTCTTGAACTCCTGAGCTCAGGCGATCTGCCTGCCTCAGTCTCCCAAAGTGCTGGAATTACAAGCATGAGCCATGTGCGCAGCCAGAAATCCCATTTTGTACTATATGGCCATTTTCAACTTGGCCACACCATGTGGCATTTTTTCCCTAGCTTTTCACTGTTCTATGAATTTTGCTGACTAGATGTTTTGAGCTATAGTGTAGCTATAGCCAGGACAGGGATAGAGAAAAGAGAGTGAGAAAAAATGGAGGGAGATGGGTGTGAGGATGGGGAAAGGAGGAGAAACAAGGGGTTGGGGAAGGAAAGGAAAAAGATGCTAGGAAGGGAGAGGTAGGGGACAGAAGGAGAGAGGTAGAAAGGGAAGGTGGCCTGGAAAGGCTGTGAAAGCAAAGAATGGTGGGAGAGAGAAGCCCGGAGAGGAGGTAGAAAGGGAGAAGAAAACAAGGAAGTAGACAGAAAGAGGAGAGGGCGCCAGAGGGAGAGAGATGCAAGAATGGAGGAGGGAAGGAGAAGGAGAGAGCAACCAATACAAATTATGCTGTTCTCCCTTCTGTTCTGCAACTTCTTTTTTAGTCAGTTAGGTAAGTTTAACAAAGTGGCTACTAGACAATATTTTGATTTCTCATTTACTTTAACTCACTGAGTTACTGATAAAACCTGCTGATTGTTCCGTTTTTAAAAATCAGATATGTATGCTGGAACAAGTTACTACTACAAAATATTGTGACTTTTTCTTTCTTTCTTCTAAACTTACTGAATTCCCTGATGGAAGGTAGTCCTTGCTGATAGGGTTTCAGGCTTTGAGCTCTTGTTGCTTGTTGGACTTATTAACATATATGTAATTGATTTTTGCTTTTATTTTAAGGAGGTGGCAAAAAGGAAATTAACTGAAAGTCAAGGATGACTAAGGAGGGGGAAGTGTTTAGTACTTTATCATGAATATTCAATTCTTGCATTTCACTGCTTTGGGCATCTGTTAGGTAAGGAGAGAATAAGTGTACTCAGTAGTTACTGTAGCTTTTTGTGACAGTGTGCAGGTGCCTTTATAGGAAGTAGAAATGAAGCATATGATATAATTCAAAGAACTATCCACTCAATAAATCAGAAAATCTTATTAGAAGATGTGGTTATTTCTTATGTGTCAACTGAGAGATTGTGGCTTAATCTCAGTCTTTGTTTTTTTAGATGTAAAAAGAATCTTATTGAGTGCTGGGATGGTGGCACACACCTGTAATCCCAGGATGAGGCGGGAGGATTACTTGAGCCAGAGGATTGCTTGAATCCAGGAGTTTGAGAGCACCCTGGGCAACATAGTGAGACCACATCTCTTAAAAAAAAGAAAGAACGTTTGGCAACATTATTGAAACAAGAACTACTGAATTCTAGGCAGAAAAGAAATAGGTTGGCAAGCATTTGCTGTGATGAAATCTGTACATATTGATATTTTCTTCATTGGTACCTTAGTTGGTACATTTAAGTAATTACAGAAACATCGTAGAATTTCTGTGATACTATGTGAAATTTGTATTTTTGCTTCTAAAATCTTTTCATTCCTTAGGGCTTCTGTATGTAATGTACTGTTGACTTGCTGCAAAGATAATGTGTGTCGTCTTTGGGTAGAGACATTTTTACCAAATGATTGTTTGCTATACGGAGGTGACTGCAGCCATTGGACTGAATCAATTAATTTAACAAATAACTTCAAGAGAAATGCTTCCAGTAAAGAACGAGTTCAAAATGCTTTAGAAGTGAGTGTTTTTGTTACATTACTTACTACAAGTTTTAAAACCTTTGGTACATTGCCTTTTTGGTAACACAGTAATGTTATAAAAAAACTATATCCTAGGAAAATAATTCTTAGAAAATTTTCAGTTCTATTTGGTTCAAAAAACATATTTTTATCTAGATTTTGTCTGGAACACAAAACTACCTATAATTATGAAGTTACTCTTAGGTTTACTGATGATGATAAAAGGATGATTACATTTGACTTGGCTGAAGTAACATGAAGTAAAATCTGAGAATGCAGAGATTTAACTCTGAAAATAACTTATTTTTTCTTTCTTAGAGCTTGAGTAGTTTGTCCTATTCTGTTCTTCTACCATTTTATCTTTAGAAAACCCACCCCACCCCCAGAACTTGGGGTCTTTACAAATTAATATTGAAAGTAAAAGTCAATTTTTGATTTTTGGACATGCTAAAGGTAGAATAGTAATACATTTGATCGTAGCCTAAAGGCTGAGAAACAATAGTAGAATAGTAATACAGATTCTTCCAATTTTTTTTTTTTTTTTTCTGAGACAGATTCTCACTCTGTCAACCAGGCTGGAGTGCAGTGGCATGATCTTGGCTCACTGTATTCCTGGCCTTAGACTCCTGAGTAGCTGGAATTACAGGTGTGCATCACCACGCCCAGCTAATTTTTGTATTTTTAGTAGGGAGAGGGCTTTACCATGTTTGCCAGGGCTGGTCTCGAACTCTTGACCTCAAGTGATCTACCTGCCTCGGCCTCCCAAAGGACTGGGATTACAGGCATAAGCCATGGCGCTCGGCCTATTATTTTCTTAATATTGAAAACGAAGTGATTTTATTTTTTGTGGATTTTTTTTTTGGGTGGGGGAGTTGTTTTGTTGTTGTTTTTTGAGACAGAGTCTCTGTCTGTCACCCAGGATGGAGTGTAGTGGGGCGATACCAGCTCACTGCAACCTCTGCTTCCCGGGTTCAAGCAGTAGTCCCTCCTCAGCCTCCCGAGTAGCTGGGATTACAGGTGTGTGCCACCACGCCTGGCTAATTTTTGTATTTAAAGTGGAGATGGGGTTTTGCCATGTTGGCTCAAGTAATCCTCCCACACCGGTTGGTCTCGAACTCCTGGCCTCAAGTGATCTGACTGCCTTGGCCTCCCAAAGTGCTGGGATCACAGGCGTGAGCCACCATGCCCGGCCCTGAAAACAGAAGTGATTTTGAAACAATTTATCTTTGAATGCTTTGTATGATTATGCAGCAACAATTTTTCTAATTTGAATAGTATTCTGATGCCTCAGAATATAATAAATTCTGTATTGATTCAACAACGAATAGAATGGTTACATGTAGTAATAGCTGAAAGAAGTTACTGACCAGGAATCTGAAGACTTGTTCTACCTTTTGCCCTGCCTCTTCTTAGCTAGATGATCTTGGGTTCTATATAGACCATTTTATCATATGAAAGATGGGAATAACAATATTTGCACTGCCTGCCTCATGGCATCAAATGGGATGATCTCTATGAAAATGCTTTGTAAATTATGAAATGTTCCATGTGCAGTGGTAATATTATTTAATACTGTGTGGTCACAAGGAGTTAGCTATAGACAAAAGACAGTGTATGTAGAGATATCAGTCACAAACAATAGTATTGGGAAAAAAATTTTTAACATTTGATTTTAGGAAATACATTTTAAGAAAATAAGCCTAATAAAAATTGCAAAACACTGTGTGAGGATTAAGAGAACAGCCAGGTACTTTAAGTCATAACTTTATTCTTCAGGATTCAAATTTGCTATACCAAAATATTGAAAGGTGTTTTTACATATAAAATGTTAAAAGGCGTTTTTACATATAAAACATGTAAAATGTTCTGAGCTAGGATATATGTAACTTCTGACAATCATTATATAACCTATACGTGTATGACTTTTGACAATATAGGTATTAGTTTTGTTTCTATTCACACAGGTAAATCTGAGACATTTTCGTAGAGGTCGGAGGAGATCACTTGCTCTTGTAGCACATACGGGATATCTACCACATCAGCAGGATCCTCATCATGTTCACAGGAACACTCCACTGCATGCCAATGCACTTTGCCACTTTCATATTGCAGCCAGCATCAACCCAGCCACAGGTAATGAAACATTGTTCAAAACATGTTTCTGAAATTGAATAGATTGATTTTATAACAACTAAGTTATACTTTTAGTTTTCAAATAAGTAAAATATTGGAGGTGACTGTCTTAGCCTATTTTTCTTTTTTTTTTCTTTTTTTTTAATTTATTATTTATTTTTATTGATCATTCTTGGGTGTTTCTTGCAGAGGGAGGTTTGGCACGGTCATAGGACAATAGTGGAGGGAAGGTCAGCAGATCAACAAGTGAACAAAGGTCTCTGGTTTTCCTAGGCAGAGGACCCTGCGGCCTTCCGCTGTGTTTGTGTCCCTGGGTACTTGAGATTAGGGAGTGGTGATGACTCTTAACGAGCATGCTGCCTTCAGGCATCTGTTTAACAAAGCACATCTTGCACCGCCCTTAATCCATTTAACCCTGAGTGGACACAGCACATGTTTCAGAGAGCACAGGGTTGGGGGTAAGGTCACAGATCAACAGGATCCCAAGGCAGAAGAATTTTTCTTAGTACAGAACAACATGAAAAGTCTCCCATGTCTACTTCTCTCTACACAGACACGGCAACCATCCGATTTCTCAATCTTTTCCCCACCTTTCCACCCTTTCTGTTCCACAAAACCGCCATTGTCATCCTGGCCCGTTCTCAATGAGCTGTTGGGTACACCTCCCAGACGGGGTGGTGGCCGGGCAGAGGGGCTCCTCACTTCCCAGTAGGGGTGGCCGGGCAGAGGCGCCCCTCACCTCCTGGACGGGGCGGCTGGCCGGGCGGGGGGCTGACCCCCCCCACCTCCCTCCCGGACGGGGCGGCTGGCCGGGCAGAGTGGCTCCTCACTTCCCAGTAGGGGCGGCCGGGCAGAGGCGCCCCTCACCTCCCGGACGGGGCGGCTGGCCGGGCAGGGGGCTGACCCCCCAACCTCCCTCCCGGTCGGGGCGGCTGGCCGGGCGGGGGGCTGACCCCCCCACCTCCCTCCCGGACGGGGCGGCTGGCCGGGCGGGGGGCTGACCCCCCCACCTCCCTCCCAGACGGGGCGGCTGGCCGGGCAGAGTGGCTCCTCACTTCCCAGTAGGGGCGGCCGGGCAGAGGCGCCCCTCACCTCCCGGACGGGGCGGCTGGCTGGGCGGGGGGCCGACCACCCCACCTCCCTCCCGGACGGGGCGGCTGGCCGGGCGGGGGGCTGACCCCCCCACCTCCCTCCCGGAGGGGGCGGCTGGCCGGGCAGAGGGGCTCCTCACTTCCCAGTAGGGGCGACCGGGCAGAGGCGCCCCTCACCTCCCGGATGGGGCAGCTGGCCGGGCGGGGGGCTAACCCCCCCCACCTCCCTCCCAGACGGGGTGGCTGCCAGGCGGAGATGCTCCTCACTTCCCAGACGGGGTGGCTGCCGGGCGGAGAGGCTCCTCACTTCTCAGATGGGGCGGCTGCCGGGCGGAGGGGCTCCTCACTTCTCTGACGGGTCGGTTGCCAGGCAGAGGGTCTCCTCACTTCTCAGACGGGGCGGCCGGGCAGAGACGCCCTTCCCCTCCCAGACGGGGTCGCTGCCGGGCAGAGGCGCTCCTCACATCCCAGACGGGGCGGCGGGGCAGAGACGCTCCTCACTTCCTAGATGTGATGGTGGCCGGGAAGAGGCGCTCCTCACTTACTAGATGGGATGGCGGCCGGGCAGAGATGCTCCTCACTTTCCAGACTGGGCAGCCAGGCAGAGGGGCTCCTCACATCCCAGACGATGGGCGGCCAGGCAGAGACGCTCCTTACTTCCCAGATGGGGTGGCGGCCGGGCAGAGGCTGCAATCTCGGCACTTTGGGAGGCCAAGGCAGGCAGCTGGGAGGTGGAGGTTGTAGCGAGCGGAGATCACGCCACTGCACTCCAGCCTGGGCACCATTGAGCACTGAGTGAACAAGACTCCATCTGCAGTCCCGGCACCTGGGAGGCCGAGGCTGGTGGATCACTCGTGGTTAGGAGCTGGAGACCGGCCCGGCCAACACAGCGAAATCCCGTCTCCACCAAAAAAATACGAAAACCAGTCAGGCGTAGCGGCGCGCGCCTGCAATCGCAGGCACTCGGCAGGCTGAGGCAGGAGAATCAGGCAGGGAGGCTGCAGTGAGCCGAGATGGCGGCAGTACAGTCCAGCTTCGGCTCGGCATCAGAGGGAGAGCGTGGAAAGAGGGAGAGGGGAGACCGTGGAAAGGGGAGAGGGAGAGGAGGGAGAGGGAGAGGAGGGAGAGGGAGAGGAGGGAGAGGGAGAGGGAGAGGAGGGAGAGGAGGGGGAGGGAGAGGGAGAGGAGGGAGAGGGAGAGGAGGGAGAGGGAGAGGAGGGAGAGGAGGAGAGGTAGAGGGAGAGGGAGAGGCCTATTTTTCATTGTAGCAAGCTCACTGATTTCTGTTTGTTTGCCCTTTAAGGCCATGACTTGACTTGTGATTTAGGATCTTGATAAGGCATTGAAGTTCATTATTAGTTTATTCAAAAATTGATATTTGAACTGTTACTTAATAAAGGTTAGTACTACAGATATAGTATTGTATTTTTTTAATTTTTATTTTTTATAGGCATGGAGTCTCACTGTTTTGCCCAGGCTGGTGTCAAACTCTTGGCCTCAAGCAATCTTCTTGCCTTGGCCTCCCAAAGTGCTGGGATTACAGGCGGGAGCCACTGTGCCTGGCCTTTCTTTACCTTTCTTTTAAACCATAGATTTGTTTTGGAGAAAATTGTTTACACTCCTTGAGTTCATTCTAGCCTTTACAGTTTAGCAGACACCAACATGATCCAGGTTTGATTTAATGTGATACTTAAATTTTTGCTTACTTCTACTAATTAGGGATTATTTGCAGCAACTCACTGGATTAGTACATCAGTGTACTCAATTTAACATTCATATCAAAAGTAACACCAAGGAGCTGGGCATGGTCACTCATACCTGTAATCCCAACACTTTGGGAGGCTGAGGCAGGCAGATCACCTGAGGCCAGGAGTTCAAGACCAGCCTGGCTAACATGGTAAAACCCCGTCTCTACCAAAAATACAAAAAAAAAAATTAGCCAGGTGTGGTGGCAGGCACCTGTAGTCCCAGCTACTTGGGAGGCTGGGGCAGGAGAATTGCTTGAACCTGGAAGGCAGAGGTTGTAGTGAGCCGAGATTACACTACTGCACTCCAGCTTCCTGGGTGGCAGAGCGAGACTCCATCTCAAAAAAAAAAAAAAAAAGTAAGAAAGACCAAGGAACAAATGCTTTTTTAGCTGTGTGACTGTCTTGAATGCTTTCCTTGAGCGTGAGAAGGGAACCTCAACTTCAGTCTTAATGCTAACAAATAAGCAGTCCATCTTAGAATTAGCTCATTAAAGAGGTTGATAGGTCAGTCTATTAAGTAAAAACTAGTTGTTGTTGATATTAAGATACATATGTTACTAGTTCCTTTGACATTATGGTGATGACTTTTTTTTTTTTTTTTTTTTTGAGACAGAGTCTTGCTCTGTCGCCAAGCTGGAGTGCAGTGGTGTAATCAAGGCTCACTGCAACCTCTGCCTCTCGGGTTCAAGTGATTCTTCTGCCTCAGCCTCCTGAGTAGCTGGGATTACAGGCATGAGCCACCATGCCTGGCTAATTTTTGTATTTTTAGTAGAGATGGTGTTTCACCATGTTGGCCAGGCTGGTCTCGAGCTCCTGACCTCCTCGTGATCTGCCTGCCTTGGCCTCCCAAGGTGGTGGGATTACAGGCGTGAGTCACTGCACCCAACCAACATTTTTCTTTTATTGTGGATCAGTTTAAAATTTGCTTGTTACCAAAATTTGTTATAAATTAAGATACTTCTATTAACAGAGCTACAAATTATAGACATTTTATCATGTGAATATTTTTCACTGTTAAACATTTATGGTTAAATAAATTATACTGTATGACCTAGGACATATAATTTAATCTCCTTTGCAATAGATACATTAAATTTACCGTTTAAATCTGTTACTGTTAATAATAGTGGCAAACATTATGTTGGAAGTCTTCTTTTACATCACAACATTGTTATGTGAATTTTTGACAGTAGAAACAAAAATAGAGAACTACAATATATGAATATAGCTAAATACAGAATGGTGACTTTTTTCTCTTCAAGGGTAAAAAGACTTTTTTTCTCTTCTAGTGAATTAGACTGCATAAATAGAAAAAGATTGATTCATTAGCTTTACAGTTTTGCCTAGGAATGATCTATAAATGCATTTCCCCACCTGCTGCTTACGGAAAGTATAAAAAGGAAGTTAAAGGAAAGTTTCCTTGTTGGTTACTACCATAAGAAAGGTGCTATATTCTATTTTAGCAGGGCCACTATATGGAAAATATCTAAATTAAATGTTGTTACAAAAATGAATTACTAATGAGATTCTAGCTAAGGAGGGCACTAAATGTGGATTTTGTGTGTGTATATATATATGTAATTATTATTATTGTTATTATTTTTGAGATGAAGTCTCACTCTGTTGCCCAGGCTGAAGTGCAATGGTGTGATCTCGGCTCACAGCAAACTCCACCTCCCGGGTTCATGCCATTCTCCTGCCTCTGCCTCCCAAGTAGCTGGGACTACAGACGCCCGCCACCACTCCTGGCTACTTTTTTGTATTTTTAATAAAGGCGGGGTTTCACCATGTTAGCAAGGATGGTCTCAATCTCCTGACCTCGTGATCCACCCACCTTGACCTCCCAAAGCATTGGGAATACAGGCGTGAGCCACCGCGCCTGGCCAATATATATTTAAAAAATCCAAAACAAACAAAGGTTGCTATAAAAAAGCTCTGTATGTACTGTAAGCATATAGGTTTTTTTCTTTTTTTCATGTGTGTTTTTAAACAATGGAAGAGTCAACTGTGTTAGACTAAATTATGTTATTGACTGGGTTCGATGGCTCACATCTCTAATCCCAGCACTTTGGGAGGCCGAGGCGGTGGTGAAGTCAGGAATTTGAAACCAGCCTGGCCAACATGGTGAAACCCCGTCTCTGCTAAAAATACAAAATTAGCCAGGCGTGGTGGTGTCTGCCTTTAATCCCAGCTACTTGGGAGGCTGAGGCAGGAGAATCGCTTGAACCTGGGAGGCGGAGGTTGTAGTGAGCTGAGATTGCGCCATTGCCCTCCACCCTGGGCAGCAAGAGTGAAACTCTGTCTCAAAAATAAAATAAGGTAAAATAAAATAAAAGCATTATTGTATGTGCTGCATTGAATGGAACGTTTATATTATAATTATCAAAAAAGTTTGCGTCATAGCAATTTATCCTCATTGAAAACCTTGCAGCATCCTTTTATTTTGGAATATCCTCTCAACAGTCATACCACCAGGACATGACTGTATAACAATAAAATATTCTCTTGCATTAAATTGGGGATATCTATTCAATAAAAGACAAAAAAGAAAATGTAGGAAGTGTACTTAGAGCTGTTACTTTCTAAGTGCCCAACACCGTGGACAATTCAAGCATCGTAATCTCTGTAAATAACAATAACAAAAAAAATTTTTGTCCTGCTGTTAAAATCCATCATTATAGACAAAACTGGTGAAGATTGATTAGACAGATTCATCTAACACTGATGTCCAAGCTGGCGTTGGCAACTAATGCATAACTGGTGGTCAATAGAGATTTTGAAAGATCTTCACTTTCTATTGTTCTTTTCCAGGGGTCTTGAAGAGTTCTGTTCTAAAATATGTTGTTGAGTTGAGCTTCTCAGTTTGCTTTTTCATTCTCAAACTGGTGACGTTTTTCCTCTAATTCTTTGTGCTGTGCTTAAATTCCTTTTTGCTCTTGGCACCGTTGGAGCTCAGTTTCAGAGTCCTTCAGTTTTTGAACTTTTTTTTTTTTGACCTTCATCTTGAACGCCTGCTTCATCTTTGTCCCCATCTTCTTCATTTTAGCTACATGCTGTCTTCTTTCCTCTTCCATTTGTGCCAGAGGGCTCTTAGTAAGCTGCCCTTTATTCTTGTTGTTTTCAACTCCATTGTAAGTCAGGTGCCATTTTTCTGCTTCTGTGGTTTTCGTAATGGGCATTATCAGGAACATCTTTCAAGTCTTGTATGTGTGTTCCTATCAAGATACTCCTTAGAATTGTAAAATTACAGTGCTCACCATATTCAACATCAGCAACACCCTTAGGATACTGCCTTCCTCTGACTCTCTTGCCATTAACTTCAATGGTAGTATTATTGGCTACCACAGCAAGTGGTAAACAGTCCTTTATCCTTTTTTTTTTTTTTTTTTTGAGACAGAGTCTCGCTCTGTCACCCAGGCAAGCCTGGTGATAGCTGGTTGTCCAGGATAGAATTTTAGTTCAACTTTAAACTTACCGAATTACTCACAGAATTTTACTTAGTCTGGTAATCTGGAGTGCAGTGACCGATAGCTCACTGCAACTTCTGCCTCCTGGCTTCAAGTGATTCTTGTGACTCAGCCTCCCAAGTAATTGGGATTACAGGCACATGCCACCATGCCTGGCTAATTTTTGTATTTTTAGTAGAGATGGGGTTTCGTCATGTTGACCAGGCTGGTCTCGAACCCCTGGCCTCAAGTGATTTGCCTGCTCTGGCCTCCCAGAGTGCTGGGATTACAGACATGAGCTGCTGCACCCAGCCAGTCCTTTATCTTTTTAACAAGTTTATTTTCTTCATCATGTGTTTTTGGAAATTCATATATTTAATTTTATGTTCTTAGATTTCTTTCATTATCTGTTTTTAAACTATTGGCATTTCTCTGGTATCAGCATGTCTGCTTTGGCAATAAGTGGGAATGATATTCACTTTTTCAAGCAAAAGCTTCATAAACTTAGTATCAAATGGTTTAAGTCCATGTCCTGAAGGAGAAATGAAGTATAAACAACCCTGCACCCTGTTATGAGGCATCTGACATCTGTTTTATCATGATTCTCCATTTAGGTGGTCCTCAATTTACTATCAGTGTAGTCAGTAACCAACAATTACTATTACCCATTGCAAGTCTAAATCATGGGATATCAACTCTTGTGAGCAGCAACTGAACACCACCTTCTTTGATTAAAACTTTGCATAGTTCCACCTGCACGGTCTTTTTAATTCTGTGAGAAGAATCTGGATACTCTGGAGAATACAGAGTGAAGAATAATGAGTTGATTAATGTAAAGTTTCTGAATCCAGATTTCCCCACTGCCATAAGTATGAATTCCAACCCTCTCTTCACTGATTTTCTGGATATTTGATTTGGGAGACTGGAAAATCCCACGTAGACTTCAGGGTTCTTCCGTTGAGCTACCATGCTGCTGTTGATGCTTCTCTCCTCAGCAGCAGATCTCTTGCTGACTGACATACCCTCCCCACTCCATGACTAGCCCCAGCTGGAAATCTTATTTAGAGGTTAAATAAAATGTGTTCCAGAGATTTAAAGATAAATGAAATATTATAAATTTGTTCAGACCCGTAGAATGTACAACACCAAGAATGAACCCTAAGGTAAACTGTAGACGTTGGGTGATAGTGATGTGTCAGTGTAGATTCATCAATTGTAATAAATGTACCACTTTTGGTAGTGGATGTTGATAATGTGGGAGGCTATGCATATGTAGGATGGGGAATATGGCTGTACCTTTGAATTTTGCTGTGAACTTAAAAATACTCTAAAAAATAGTATTTAAAAAATCTTAAAATAGGCCAGGCACGGTGGCTCACGTCTGTAATCCCAGCACTTTGGGAGGCTGAGGCAGGTAGATCACGAGGTTGGGAGATCGAGACCATCTTGGCCAGCGTGGTGAAACCCTGTCTCTACTGAAAATACAAAAATTAGCTGGGCGTGGTGGCGTGTGCCTGTAATCACAGCTACTCGGGAGGCTGAGGCAGGAGAATGGCTTGAACCAGGGAGTTTGCAGTAAGCCAAGATCACACCAGTGCACTCCAGCCTGGCAACAGAGCGAAACTCTGTCTCAAAAAAACAAAATCTCAAAATAAAATTAAAAAGTGAAAGAGAAGGACTTTCAGGCAAACAAAATATAAATGTAATAGTAATAAAAATATGAAACATGGATGTTTCATATGCTAGAAGGTAAAAATTTTAATTTTATCTTTTTTTTCTCTTATAGACATTCCACTTCTTCCATCTATTACATCTCTGAGTCTAAATGAAAATGAAGAGAAGACCGGACCTTTTGTTGTACACTGGCTAAACAATAAAGAACTGCATTTTACTTTGTCCATGGAAGTTTTTTTACAGCAACTTAGAAAAAGTTTTGAACAACCATCTTCTGAGGCCAGTGTAGAAGATTCTAATCAGGCAGATGTAAAATCTGATGAAGGTAAACTTTAAGAGGAAAGGAAAATTTAAAGTTTTGCTCAAAATAGCAAACATTTTCATATTAGGGTAAAACTAGCTACTTGTAATAAACTTTAAAGTTGCAATGACATGATCCAAACATGGACTAGCTCATTTAATAATCTAATGTAGATATTTCTGTTATAGGTAGCTTTCTTCCACATGGTTATTTAAGGACTGGGGGTTCTCATTCTTCTGGTTTTGTTAGCCCTTAGGACTTTCCTATATAAAGGACTATCTGTAGACTAGCAGCATTGGTGTTACCCAGGAGCTTGTTAGAATGCATGTCTCAAGGTCCACACAGACCCACCAAACCAGAATCTGCAATTTAATGAAATTTCCAGGTGATTTGTATGTACATTAAAGTTTGAGAAGCATTGAAACTAGGACATTAAATTTCTCTGCCTTTGGCCTTCAGTTGGTATAGAGAGAGAGTTAGAGAGAAAGAAAGCATAGCTATTTGTCAGCTACCTTGATTGACGCATATCACTTACACTGTCATTCAGCTGGCAAGAACATTCAGCTGGAATTCACAGGGCCCGTGTAGTTCCTGACTCTGTAGCCTTTATATGCTGAGAAATGGAAAGTAAGAAACTGTGGTGTGCAGCTAGCCATCTCTGTGACAGTCTGTGGTTCATAAATGTGTTTGGTTTTTTTTTTTAAAGTTTTGTTTTAATTTGTTTAATTTTTAATTTCAAGATGGTTTATGATCATTAGGTAAGAAAAATCAAACAGGTACACAGATAGTTATGAAGTTTCCACATTGTTAAGTTTGATAAGTATCCTTCCAGTTTGATTCTTTGCTTATGCTCACACAAACATCTAAATACAGACACTTAAAAGTTGTACTGTGGGTGTGCATTTTTATACAGAAATAATGTTCTGCACTTTGTGTTTTTTTTTTGTTTGTTTGTTTTTTTTTGATGGGGTCTTGCTCTGTCACCCAGGCTGGAGTGCAGTGGCACAATCTTGGCTCACTGCAGCCTCCACCTCCCGGGTTCAAGCAATTCTCCTGCCTCAGCCTCCCGAGTAGCTAGGATTACAGGCATCCGCCACCACACCTGGCTAATTTTTTTATTTTTAGTCAAGACAGGGTTTCACCATGTTAGTCAGACTGGTCTCGAACTCCTGACCTCAGGTGATCCATCCACCTGGGCCTCCCAAAGTGCTGGGATTACAGGCGTGAGACACCATGCTCGGCCTGTGCTTTGTTTTAATTCAGTCAGTAATGGGCAGTTTTTCATATCATTGTATTTAACGGCTGCTGAGTATTCCATGTCTAAGAGAAATGTCTAACAGGTCTTCTATTGATAAACATTTAAATTAATTTAAATTGTTTTTCATTATTCTAGGTACAATGACTTGTCTTTTTCTTTTTTCTGTGAGTTTTTCTATAATCTTGATTTCTAGATGGGGAATTTCCAGGGAGTGTAGCAATTTAAAATATCAATAACTTCTGACAAATTGCCCTCCAGAAATGTTTTACCAGTTTATACTTCCTCTAAGTGTATCTAAATATATGCTTTACATCCTTATCAACATTGGATGTTTTCATTATATTACTTTTTTTTTTTTTTGCCAGTTGATAACGGGACAATGGACATCTTGTTTTACTTTGCATTTTCTTGATGCAAATTAAGCAGAATATCTTTTATTATATTTTTGCCCTTCTGTGGCTTGCCTTTTAATACCCTTTATCTAATTTCCTGCTGAGTTTTTTTTTTTTTCTTATTGATTTGTATATCTTGACTTACTTTTTAAATCTGGTAAACAGTCAAAACTTAAAAAAAATATATCTCTTCAGAGAAAGGCTCTATATTGCTAACCAGGAATTGGGGGAGGGTGAGGGGACTGGGATTTTTGAAAGAGGAAAGAATATACATATTTACCTGTATTGATAAGTTGATACACAGTTTATTTTTTGTTACTAAGGTGTTGAAGGAAACCTGGAAATTGGCACCATAAATGCATTTCCTTGAAATGATTTCTTTAAGATGCCATACCAGTTACAAGTCCATACACCTAGAGGATAACTAATGTAGCATACTGAGGTTTGGATAAACCTGGTACTTTAGAGATAAAGTACAAATTACACTCAAATAATGTATTTTAAAAACTCAGTCCCAATTTTAGTTCCAATTCCAATTCCTTCTTTTTACCATGAGCAAAACTGAGGTCCAGAAAAGTAGTGTGTGTTACTAAAGGTTAACTGAGTGGTTAAATATAGAACATCTGCATTGAGAAGCCAGTTTACTTATTTTCCAGTTTAATATTAGGTCTTCTACCAGTAATCCACTGACTCAGTCCTGTATGGCTACTGATTACTCAGTGAACTTCAGTGACCTTATATTCCTGGAGCAAAGTTACTTTTAATGCAGAGCCCATTTCTTATTAATATGAAAACTGTTATGTTTTTCATCTTGAATCCATTTATAAAGATATTTGTGTGTGTGTTTGTACTAATTGTATTAGTTTTGCTAAGGCATTTTATGTTCCTCACACTCAAGGCAAAGAGATAAAACATAATCTGAAGAAAAATATATACTTCTTCAAAATAAAAAGAGTCTTCTTCATTATGCAGATCTGGGCATATTGTACAATACTTAATGGCTCAAGGGGATCAAAGTACCAGTTTGATGCTGATTCACTAAATAGAATCTCATTCATATTTGATGACTGGACTGTTTGCGGGCTGTGATAGATTGAACCATTCTGGTGATATCCCCAGATCTCACTAAATAAGAAAAGGCTCTACACTAGAATATGTGACAATTGATCTGGCTATAAATTATGTCTATAGGCTCTTTATTATTATAAGGTGGCGAAAGAGGCCCCTTTCTTGAGCACATGTTTAATAAAAGTATTATTGTCATCTATAGATTGCTGGATTGATTTTGTGTTGTTATAATGAAGATAAGGTGCATATACCACTGTCAGATTAAGAAAGTTACATAACTTGGCCGGGCACAGTGGCTCACGCCTGTAATGCCAGTACTTTGGGAGGCCGAGGCAGGTGGATCACGAGGTCAGGAGTTCAAGACCAGCTTGACCAAGATGGTGAAACCCCGTCTCTACTAAAAAGTACAAAAATTAGCCGGGCGCAGTGGCAGGCACCTGTAATCCCAGCTACTTGGGAGGCTGAGGCGGAATTGCTTGGACCCGGGCAGCAGAGGTTGCAGTGAGCTGAGATCACGCCACTGTACTCCAGCTGGGGCAAGAGTAAGACTCCGTCTCAAAAAAAAAAAAAAAATGGAGCAAGTCCCTTTTCTGGGTTGACAATTAGTCCTATATTGGCATTGCTGCTGGCTATGAAACTCACCACCAAAGGTAAACGATTAATTTGAACTACTTGGTAGGTGTTATGGTAACAAATGATACTTTTATTTTTTGAAAGTCCAAGTTTTCTCCTTTCATCTGTGCAAGGGCAAAAGTAGATAAGAAACTAGATCTCAAAGTATGCTCTGGAGCATTATCATTAAGCATTACATTTACTGGTTTACTTAAAGTATATTGCAAAGAATACGGATAAAGAGATGTGTAGGGTGAGGTGTGGCGGAAGGGGTACAGAGCTTCCATGCTCTCCTTAGGCATGAGATCTCCATGTGTTCAGCTATCCAGAAGCTCGGTAATTCTTAATTTATAGTAATAACCTGTTTGTATTTACTTGGTTCATGAACTCTTTTGCTTATAGAAACTGATGATGGTGTTGATGATCTGAAAATAAATCCCGAAAAGAAGGAATTAGGCTGTGATAAAATGGTACCAAACTCAAGTTTTACATCATTATCGTCAGCTGCCATTGATCATCAGATTGAAGTACTTCTGTCTGAATGGAGTAAAAATGCAGATATGCTATTTAGTATTCATCCCATGGATGGTTCTTTGCTAGTTTGGCATGTGGATTGGCTGGATGAATACCAGCCTGGTATGTTTCGTCAAGTACAGGTACTACTGTTATTTCTGGAGAGCTACTTCCTTGTTTATGTGGGTACTATTTTCTAATACCTCTTTATATAATTTTATATGTTCTAACACTTGCTTTCTTGATTCTAGGTGTCCTTTGTTTCCAGAATTCCAGTAGCTTTCCCCACAGGTGATGCAAACTCTCTCTGTAAAAGCATAATGATGTATGCCTGTACCAAGAATGTTGACTTGGCTATTCAGCAGGGGAAACAAAAACCTTCTGGCCTCACCCGTTCCACATCAATGCTTATTTCTTCTGGTCACAATAAATCATCTAATAGTTTAAAATTAAGTATTTTTACGCCTAATGTTATGATGATATCAAAACATGCTGATGGTTCTCTGAATCAGTGGCTGGTCAGTTTTGCCGAGGAATCTGCTTTTTCTACTGTTCTCAGTATTTCCCACAAATCCAGATATTGTGGTCATCGTTTTCATCTTAATGATTTAGCTTGCCACTCAGTATTACCATTATTGCTGACAACATCACACCATAATGCATTAAGGACACCAGATGTTGATAACCCAGAGCAACCTTTTGATGCTCTAAATATTGAAGAATGCTCTTTGACACAACAAAATAAAAGCACTGTTGACGTGGCATTTCAGGATCCCAGTGCAGTTTACAGTGAGCTTATTCTGTGGAGGGTTGACCCAGTTGGGCCATTGTCTTTTTCTGGAGGAGTTTCTGAGCTTGCCCGGATTAATTCTCTTCATGTTTCTGCCTTTTCCAATGTGGCATGGCTGCCCACTCTTATACCCAGTTATTGTCTGGGTAAGTATTCTGGTTTTTATTACAGTAATTTAGATTTGCTGACATTATCATCAAAGGGTGAAATTTTAATATTTGTAAATACTTTCTAGGTGCATACTGCAACTCTCCTAGTGCATGCTTTGTAGCCAGTGATGGACAATATCTGAGATTATATGAAGCAGTTATTGATGCTAAGAAACTTTTATCTGAGCTTTCTAACCCTGAAATTTCTGTAAGTAATGTCTTTTAAAACAGCTTAAGTATATAATATTATGTTTTCAGATAGTTTATATTTATTGGGCATGTTCTACAATTGTGACCTATAATTTGTAATAAGCATTTGTATCTTTGTTTTATTTTTTCACATTTGTACTCTTGTAATGATTTAAAGCTCCTTTAAAAGGAAACCATTTCTTTCACTCTTTGAAAGAAAGTAGAGTCTCATCTCCTGTAATATGTTTCTGTAACACTTCTTTACTCATAGATAAATGAGGACTACTGACAGTATAATGTAGAAGTTATATCGGCCCCCCTGCAATTATTTTATAGGCAGGAGGAGCTGGAACAACAGGAATAGAATTTTAATCTTAAACATGAAAAGAAAGAGCCCTTAGCTTGGTTACAGTTCAGACAAGAGTTCTTTCAGTATTGTTGTAAGGCTTTTGCCTTATGACAGGCCACATTTGTTCTCATACCCACCTAATAACAACCTTCTAACTGCATTGTCTTGGGACATCCAACAAGCAAGCGTTTCCACTTTTCTGGTTTTGGCGATTTTTCTTTTGGTATCCCCAGAGGCAGCCTTCGGCTGTACCAAGCTTTCTATTTAGGAGATTCAAGCCATCTCCCTGACTACCAATTAATGTATTTGTTAATGCTCGGCTTACAGAGTTGCATAAATGTCAGTGATCTGTTCCAATCCTGTTTTTTTCTGTAAGTTAATTTTAATGCATAATTTTGCAGAACACAAGGTTTTCCAAAGCATGTATATAGTATTACAGTAGAAATGTATATATTTTGGGGGGGGTCTTCTATTTATCAGGCATTTTTAAGTAATGGGAATTTAGATGTGAAGAAAACAGGTAAAAATTTGTATCATAGAGCTTATATTCGGGTGAAGGGAGATAGGAAGAAAACAGATAAAAATATATTAATTAAAAATACTATGGATAGAAACAGTGTTGCAGAAGAATTAGGAATTGCCAAGTAAGTTGCTGGTCAGGGAAAATTTCACAGAAAAAGTACTATTTGATTAAAGATCTGAAGGAGATGTGGGAACTAGATACGTAGATATTTATTAAAGAGAATGTGATTTGGGAAAACGGACAGCCAGTTCAGAGATCCCAAGGCCGGAGCATGTTTGGTATGTGATAAGGTTTGGCTCTGTGTCCCACCCAAATCTCATCTTGAATTATACTTCCCACGTGTTGAGGGAGGGACCTGGTGGGAGGTGATTGGATCATGGGGGCAGTTCTCCCATCCTGTTCTCATGATAGTGAGGGAGTTCTCACAAGATCTGATGATCTTAAAAGTGGCAGTTTCCCCTGTGCACGTGCCGTCTCCTGACACCTGTGAAGAAGGTGCTTGCTTCTCCTTTGCCTTCTGCCATGATTGTAAGTCCTGAGGCCTCCTGAGCCATGTAGAATTATGAATCAATTAAACTTATTTATAAATTACCCAGTCTCAGGTATTTCTTCATAGAGTGTAAAAACAGCCTACTACAGATAATTGGTACCAGGAGTGGGGCACTGCTATAAGGATAACCCAAAATGTGGAAGCGGTGTTGGAACTGGGTAACAGGCAGAGGTTGGAATAGTTTGGAGGGCTCAGAAGAAGACAGGAAGATGTGGGAAAGTTTGGAACTTCCTAGAGACTTGTTGAATGGTTTTGACCAAAATGCTGATAGTGATACGGACAATGAAGTCCCGGCTGAGGTAGTCTCTGATGGAGATGACGAACTTACTGGGATCTGGAGCAAAGATCACTCATGTTAATGCTTTAGCAAAGAGACTGGTTGCATTTTGGCCCTGCTCTAGAGATCTGTGGAACTTTGAACTTGAGAGATGATTTAGGTTATCTGGCAGAAGAAATTTCTAAGCAGCAAAGCATTCAAGAGGTCACCTGGCTTATTCTGAATGCATTCAGTTATATGTGTTTACAAAGAGATGGTTTGAAATTGAAATTTATGTTAACTTACGTTTAAAAGGGAAGCAGAGCATAAAGGTTTAGAAAATATGCAGCCTGACCATGTGGTAGAAAAGAAAAACTCATTCCTGGAGAAGAATTCAAGGGCTACAGAAATTTGCATAAGTAACCAGGAGCTGAATGTTAATAGCCAAGGCAATGGGGAAAATGTCTCTGGGACATGTCAAAGATCTTCATGGCAGCCCCTCCCATCAGAGGTCCAGAGGCCTAAGCGGGAAAATGGTTTCATGGGCCAGGCCCAGGGCCCAGCTGCTCTGTGCAGCCTTGGGATTCAGTGCCCTGCCTCCCAGCTGCTCTAGCTCCAGCCATGGCTAAAAGGGGCCGTGGTACAGCTGCGGCTGTTGCTTCAGAGAGTGCAAGCCCCAAGCCTTGGCAGCTGCCACATGGTATTGGGCCTGTGGGTATGCAGAAGATGAGAGTTGAGGCTTGGCAGCAACCACCTAGATTTCAGAGGATGTATGGAAACACCTGGATGTTCAGGCAGAGGTCTGCGGCAGGGGCGAAGCCCTCATGGAAAACTTCTACTAGGGCAATGCAGAGGGAGAAAGTGGAGTTGGAGCGTCCCACAGAGTCCCCACTGGGGCCTCATGGAACTGGGAGAAGAGGACCACCATCATCCTCCAGACCCCAAAAAGGTAGATCCACTGACAGTTTGCACCATGTGCCTGGAAAAGCCATAAGCACTCAACACTAGCCTGTGAAAGCAGCCACAGGCACTGTACCCTGCAGAGCCACAGGGGCAGAGTTTCCCAAGGCCGTGGGAACCCACACCTGTGTCAATGTGCCCTGGATGCAAGACATGTAGTCAAAGGAGATTTTGGAGCTTAAGATTTAATGACTGCCTGGCCAGGTTTCAGACTTGCATGGGGCTTATGGCCCCTTTGTTTTGGCCAGTTTCTTCTATTTGGAACAGAACATTTACCCAATGCCTGTGCTCGCATTGTATCTTGGAAGTAACCAACTTGCTTTTGATTTTACAGGCTCATAGGCAGAAGGGAGTTCCCTTGTCTCAGATGATACTTTGGACTTGGACTTTTGGGTTAATGCTGTAAGGAGTTAAGACTTTGGGGAACTATTGGGAAGGCATGATTGGTTTTGAAATGTGAAAAGGGGATTTGGGAGGGGCTTGGGTGGATTGATATGGTTTATTGCTGTGTGCTCACCCAAATCTCATTTCGAATTATAATTGCCACATATCAAGGGAGGCACCTGGTGGGAGGTGATAGGAACATGGTGGCCATTTCCCTTATGCTGTTTGCATTATAGTGAGCAAGTTCTCACAAGATCTGATGGTTTAAAAAGTGTCAGTTTCCCCTGCATGCTTTCTTTCCTGCCACCTTGTGAAGAAGGTGCTTGCTTCTCCTTCATCTTCCGCCATGATTGTAAGTTTCCTGAGGGCTCCCCTGCCATGCAGAACTGTGAGTCTGTTAAAATTACCCAGTCTCAGGTATTTATTTATAGCAGTATGAAAATGGACTAATACAGTATGTAAAGGAACAGCAAAAAGGCCACTGTGGCTGGAGCAGAGCATGTGAGGTGGAAAATAGTCAGGGATAAAGTCGGAAAGTTAGCCTGGCCAGGTCATATGAAGCCTGATAGGCCATTGTGGTAACTTCAGGTTTTACTCTGAATAACATGGAAACTATAGAAGAGGTATGAAATGATTTAGGTTTTAAATGATTCCTCTGGTGGCTATATAGATTAGACGTGGGATGCGGAAGTAGATCCAGAGAGACCAATTTAGGAACCAATTACAGTAGTCCAGGAGAGGGAAAAAAGGAGCTTAGAATATAGCAAGTGGTAATGGCAGAGATGATAAAAATGGCCAAATTCAAGATGTTGTTTAGAACATTGAATAGCTATGAATGGACTGGATGCGGTATGTGTGAGAAAAAAAGAGGACTCCCAAGGTTTGTGATTGAATATTAGGAAGAACAGAATTGCTGTGAATTGAGATGTGGAAGAATGTAGAAGTAGCAGGTTTTGAGGGGCAGGGAAATTCAAGAGTCTGGCTTTGGTCATATTAATTTTGAGATGCCTGTTTGACATCCAAAAGACATAGTAGGTTAGTATCTGGAGTTCAGAGAGAGGTCTGGCCTGAAAATATACAGTAGTTGTCAGCATATAAATTTGAAGTTGTGGAAGTGAATGAGATTGCCAAGGGTGAGACTATAGTTAGAAAACAGAAGTGTTAAGCCAGGAACGATGGCTCATGCCTGTAGTCCCAGCACTTTTGGAGGCCGTGGCAGGTGGATCACTTGAGGTCAGAAGTTTGAGACCAGCTTGGCCAACATGGTGAAACCCCATCTATTAAAAATATAAAAATTAGCCAGATGTGGTGGCAGGAACCTGTAGTCTCAGCTACCTGGGAGGCTGAGGCAGGAGAATCACTTGAAACTGGGAGGCAGAGGTTGCAGTGAGCCAAGATGACACGACTGCACTCCAGCCTTGGGTGACAGAGAGAGACACCATCTTAAGAAGTAATAGATTGAATGTGTGCTCACTTCAGCAGCACATAAACTGAAATTGGAATAATACTGAGAAGATGAGCATGGCTCCTGTGCAAGGATGACATGCAAATTCATGAAGTGTTCCATATTTCTCCAGAAGAGACTGGGGACCTATATTCAACATCCTTAAAGAAAAAAAAGTCTTCAACCAAGAATTTCATATCTAGTCAAACTAAGCTTCCGAAGTGAAGAAGAAATAAGATCCTTTTTAGATAAACCAATGTTGAGGGAGTTTGCCTTACAAGAGGTCTTGAAGGGAGTAGTAAATATTGAATGGAAAGATCACTACCACCTAATATAAAAACACACTTAAATATACACAGACCAGTAACACTATAAAGCAACCACACAAGCCAGCATAGTAACCAGCTAACAACATAATAACACAATCAGATCCACACATGTCAGTGCTAACCTTGAATGTAAACAGGCTTAATGCCCCACGTAAAAGGTATAGAGTGGCACACTGGATTTAAAAAAACAATGGTATGTGGTCTTCAAGAGACCCCTCTCACATGTAATGACACCCATAGGCTCAAAATAAAGGGATGGAGAAAAATCTACCAAGTAAATGGAAATCAGAAAGAAGCCGGGTTGCCATCCTGATTTCAGACAAAGCAGACTCTGAACCAACAAAGATTAGAAAAAGACAAAGAAGGGCATTACACAATGGTAAAGGGTTCAATTCAACAAGAAGACCTAACTATGGTAAATATATATGCAACCAACACAGGAGCACCCAGATTCATAAAACAACTTCTTAGAAACCTACAAAGAGACATAGACTCCCACACAATAATAGTGGGAGCCTTCAACACTTCAATGTCAGTATTAGACAGCTCATCGAGGCAGAAGAGTAACAGAGATATTCCGGACCTGAACTCAACATTGGACCAAATGTATCTGACAGACTGCTGCAGAACTCTCCACCCAAAACAACAGAATATATATTCCTCTCATTGCCACGTCACATACTCTAAATTGGACCACATAATTGGACATAAAACAATCCTCAGCAAATGCAGAAGAACCAAAATCATACCAAACACACTGTTGGACCACAGTGCAATAAAAATAGAAGTCAGGATTTAAAAAATAGCTTAAACCAGTCAATTACATGGATATTAAAAACATGCTCCTGAATGACTTTTGGGTAAATAGTGAAATTAAGACAGAAACCAAGAAGTTCTCTGAAAGTAATGGGAATAAAGATATAACATGCCAGAATCTCTGGGACACAACTAAGGCAGTGTTAAGATGGAAATTTATAGTACTAAATGCCCACATCAAAAAGTCAGAAAGATCTCAAACTAATAACCTAACATCACTACTGAAAGAACTAGAGAAGGAAAAACAAATCAACCCCAAAGCTAGCAGAAGATAAGCAATAATCAAAATCAGAGATGAACTGAAGGAAATCGAAACACAAAATACCATTCAAAAGATCAGCAATTCCAGGAAATGGCTGTTTGAAAAGATTAATAAGATAAGTACGTTGCTAACTAAGCCAATAGAAAATCCAAATAAACCCAATTAGAAATTACCAAGGGAATGTTAACCACTGACTCTACAGAAATAAAAACAATAATCAGAAACTACTACGAACACCTCTGTGCACACAGACTACAAAACCTACAAGGGATGGATAAATTCCTGGACATATACCCCCTCCTAAGACTGAACCAGGAAGAAATTGATTCCCTAAACAGACTAATACGAGCTCCGAAATTGAGTCAGTAATAAATAGCCTACCAACCGAAAAACCCAGGATCTGAGGGATTCATAGCTGAATTACACCAGATGCACAAAGAAGAGCTGGTACCATTCCTACTGAAACTATTCCAAAAAATTGAGGAGGAGGGACTCCTCCCCAACTAATTTTTTGAGGCCAGCATTATCCTGATACCAAAACCTGGCAGACACACACACACAAAAAGAAAACTTTAGCCCAATATCCTCTATGAATATCAATGCAAAAATCCTTGACAAAATACTGGCAAGCCAAATCCAGCAGCACATTAAAAAGCTAGTTCACAGTGATCAAGTAGGCTTAATTCCCGGGATGCAAGTTTTGTTCAACATATGAAAATTAAATGTGATTTATCACATAAGGAGAACTGAAGACAAAAAACACATAATTTTTTTGATAGATGCAGAAAAGGTTTTTGATAAAATTCAACATTCCTTCATGTTAAAAACTCTCAATAAACTAGGTGTTGAAGGAACATACCTCAGAATAATAAGAGCTATCTTTGACAGACTCTCAGCCAACATCATACTGAATGGGCAAAAGCTGGAAGCATTCCCCCTGAAAACTGACACAAGGAAAGGATGCCCTGTCTTGCCACTCCTATTCAGCATATTATTGGAAGTGCTGGCCACAGCAATCAGGAAAGAGGAATAAAAGGCATCTAAATAGGAAGAGAGGAAGTAAAACTATCACTGTTTGTACATGACATGTTTCTATATCTAGATAACCCTATGTCTTGGCCCAAAAGCTCCTAGATCTGATAAACAGCTTCAGTAAAGTTTCAGGATACAAAAATTAATGTAGAAGAAATGACTAGCATTCCTATACACCAACAACAGCTAATCTGAGAACCAATTCAGGAAGACAGTCCCATTCCCAACTGCCACAAAAAGAATAAAATACCTAGGAATACAGCTATCCAGGGGGGTGGAAGATCTCTACAATGAGAATTACAAAACATTGCTCAGATAAATCAGAGAAGACACAAACACATGGGAAAAACATCCTATGTTGATGGATAGAAAGAATCAATATCATTAAAATGACCATACTGCCCAAAGTATGGCCCAAAAATTTACAGATTCAATGCTATTCCTATCAAACTACCAACAACATTGTTCACAGAACTAGAGAAACCTATTTTAAAAGTCATATGGAACCAAAATAAGAGGCTGTGTAGCCAAGGCAATCGTAAAAAAAAGAACAGAGCTTTGAGGTATCATGTTACCCGACTTCAAACTATACTGCAGGGATACAGTAGCCAAAACAGCATAGTAGTGGTACAAAAACAGGCACATTGACCAATGGAACACAATAGAGAATCCAGATATAAGACCACACACCTACAACTGTCTGATCTTTGACAAACCTGACAAAAACAAGCAATGGGGAAAGGATTCCATTAATAAATGATGCTGGCAGAATTGGCTAGCCATATGTAGAAAATTGAAACTGGATCCCTTCCTTACATCATATACAGAAATCAACTCAAAATGGATTAAAGACTTAAATGTAAAACCTAAAACTCTAAAAACCCTGGAAGACAATCTAGGCGATACCATTCTGGACATAGGAATGGGCAGTGATTTCATGACAAAGACATCAAAAGCAATCATAACAGAGTAAATAGACAACCTACAGAATAGGAGAAAATATTTGCAAACTATGCATCTGAGAAAGGTCTGAATATCCAACATCTGTAAGGAACTTAAATTTACAAGAGAAAAACAGCTCCATCAAAAAGTGAGTAAAGGACATGAGCACTTTTCAAAAGAAGACATACGTGTGGCAACAAACATGATAAAAAGCTCAATCACTGATCATTAGAGAAATGCAGATAAAAACCGCAATGTGGCACCATCTCACACCAGTCAGAATGGCTATTATTAAAAAGTAAAAAAAAAAAAAAAAAAAAAGATGCTGATGAGGTTGCAGTGAAAAGGGAACACTTACACAGTGTTGATGGGAGTGTAAATTAATTCAACCGTTGTGGAAAGCAGTACTGTGATTCCTCAAAGAGCTAAAAACAAAACTGCCTTTTGACCCAGCAATCCCATTACTGGCTATGTACCTAGAGGAGTATAAATCATTCTGTGGTAAGGGCACATGCAGGCAAATGTTCATTGCAGCATTATTCACAATAGCAAAGACATAGAATCAACCCAAATGCCCATGAGTGACAGATTGGATTAAGAAAATGTGGTACATACACATGATGGAATACTGTGCAGCCATAAAAAAGAATGAAATGATGTAATTTGCAGGAACATGGGTGGAGCTGGCATTCATAAAGCAACTTCTTTATGGAGGCCATTCTTTAAGGAGGCCATTATCCTTAGCAAACTAACAGGAATAGAAAACCAGATACTGCATGTTCTCACTTACAAGTGGGAGCTAAATAATGAGAACTCATGAACCCAAAGAATGGAAAAACAGACACTGGGGACTTCTTCATGTTGGAAGTTGGGAGGAGGGAGAGGACCAGAAAAAATAACTCTCGGGTACTGGGCTTAGTACCTGGATGATGAAATAATCTGTACAACAAAGCCCTGTGACATGAGTTTAGCACACGTACTCCCAAACCTACAATGAAAGTTAAAAAAAATTAAAGATTGAATGCTGGAATGCTCGGTTAAAAGTAGGGTGGAAATACAAGGGTGAATGTGGTGTATAATGGAAGGCAAAAGAAAAAAAATATTTCAAGGAGGAAGAAGGAATGATTACCAAGATCAGATACTGCTGATAAAGGAAGTCTGATAAAGATTTGAAAATAGACCACTGAATTTAGCAGTGTGACCTTGACTAAAGCAGTCAGGACATGAATGGCTCAAGAGATCAGCATATTTGAATAGTATGTAATCTTGTTTCTTTAGCTCTATCCTTCCTATCTCAAAATTAATGTTTAAAAAGCACTAATTATTAGAACATTTCTAGGAGATTGAAATCAATTTTTCACATTTATGGATGTAATTTTTTTCCTTAACAGTTATCAAGCATTACTTTTATTTTTCTCTGTACCAACTGAGCTGTAATGCTTTTTCATTCGTTTGTTAATTCCTATAAAGACTAAAGACCTAGAATTTTTATAGTTGAAAGGGACTATATTTAGGCCCACTTGAATTTTATTGTTATTTATCTGTTATGCTTGAAATTTTGTTATTTACTCTTATTTGCATATGAATTGTTTAGTAAATTATAAATTTTTTTAAAAAAAACAGAAATATGTTGGTGAAGTCTTTAACATCGTCAGTCAACAATCAACAGCCAGGCCAGGATGCATTATTGCATTAGATCCCATTACCAAACTTGTAAGTATTAATTTTGGGGGGGAGGTATATTAAAAAAAAGTTTATGAAAGCATTTTGCATAAAATCTATATATTAATGTAATTTGAAAATTTGCTATATATTTACAGGTAGATTCAGTAATTAACTCATCACATAATAGATAACATATTATTGTATATTTTACTTCCTAGACTTCAAACTAGAAAACAAATTATCCTCATTACTATATTCACAGCCAAATAAATTTTCAAACTTTGACTCAAACATATTAGAAATATTATCATATTACCATTAGATTTAATAAAGTGGTGTTAGGTTCCTCATCCATGGTTATTGAAAATCACTGAAAAGAAAACTAGGTTCCAATTTGTGGCTAAATAAAAAACATTGGTGGATATTATTTCTTACTTATAAAGACTCATTGTAATGAAAGCAAATCATCTTGACCTAAATTTTTATATTCATCTGTTTAATCTAATGGAGGTGCCATACGCTTACGTTCTGCTGAACTTTTGACTTCTTATTCTGCCTTTAAATATCTCATTATGAAGTATTATTTTTCTGGCTATTTAGCATTAGGTAAATAACACATAGGTCAACTTACGTTGATATTTATTTATATTCAGCATGGCAGAAAAACCCAACTGCTTCATGTTTTTGAAGAAGACTTCATTTTGAATAACCTTGAGAAGAAAAGCCTTGGCAAAGACAGCATTTTATCTAATGCAGGTAAGGAAGAATTATTTATGGAATGAGAAATACTATGTACAGTATGTTAGGCAGTTAATAAAGATGAATTGGTAAAATGCTTTACATTGTCTATTTGAAGTAAAAATTGGGGTAGGTTTGTTTATTAAATATTTATCATAAATATGAGTATCTTTTTATTCTTAACCAGGTAATAAATACGAACAAAATTAAAGGGGCATCTTGGTTGTATGTTTTTTAAACTGCATAATAGAAATGCTTTATTATTAACATATGAGAGCTTTTTGCATGGATGGGGTCCTACCCATCCATTTGGATATTATGGACCTCCTGCCTTTTGAAAATTTATAATTTAAAGAAGTAGCTTAAAACTTCAAGCTAGAAGGTCCTTAATTTAAAAACTAATTGTCTTAATTAATGCTTTTATAATAAAAGTTTTTAAAATGTTAAACTCCTCTCATCAACACTTTACATGAAGGCACACTGAGTAAAATAAAGCTACAGTCTCTTGGTCATCACTTGCGATTACAGAGCCAAACCAAACTCAAAAATGGCATTCTTGAATATCACAATCTTATAAATCAATTATACAGTATGTGCCTGTTGCACAAAGAAGTTATCAAGATTCATATGTTAAATATCTTCTCCATTTGTTCAGACTTTTTTCTTCTCTTTTACATCATGTCTTTCTGCCACCTTTTCCATTTTTCTTTTATGAGAAGTACTCCTTAGAGTTCTGCACTTTTATGTTGACATCTAATTTCTTACCATTGCTTTTAGTCTTCTATCAGTTTTCTCTGAGTTAATGAGCTGTGCAAATACACTTTATGTGTTTTTTAAAACTCTGAACATGTTGGAAGTATGCTAAAAATGGGGATTAAAGATATCAGGCGTAAGAGATAAGATTATTTATTGTATAAACAAAACTATCCTTTTCATATTAAAATATTAATGAACATGTTAATATTGTTAACAATTTAAGTCTCTTTAAAACTTTTAAAAGAAGTTACTCTCCTTTGCATAATAAGGTTGAGTTTTTCTGTGTTCTTCTTGTATTCTAGCATTTGCTTTTTTCGGATTCTTCAATTTTTAATGTATTTTAATTCTCTTTAAGGCTAAGATTTTTCTTAAAATATTCAGGAAATTTTTACTTTTACCCAAAAACTATTATGTTCATTATTAGAGTTTCCTAGAAAATACCTAAGGAGTTAATGGTTTCATATCTTTTGCTCTATTATGAAGAAGAAAAATGTTTTACAAATATTTTCATTATTGGAGCATTTTTTGTTGTTAGTGAAATTATCAAAACTAGGATTGATTTCTATTCTGTTTACTTTTGTTATAATCTTTATCCTTTTCTCTTAATTTCTGTATTTTGGATGCCTAACTTAGAATACATTACCAAAGTTACCTTTTCATTTAGTCTCTCAATACAAGATGATTTAAAACATTTATGGTTACCTTTTTTAATTTTTTTGCTATGCAAATTTATAAAAGGGCAAAGTCTTTGTGCTCTAATAATACCTGCTTTCTCATGTTTTACATGTTCTACGATTTATTTTGTTTTTATAATGTAATTTTCGTTTACCTAATTGTGCACATAGTGAATAATAGATTATAATGAAGAAAACTTGGATTAAAATCTATTGTTAAAAAGGTTTTTCAGGCAATAATAAATCATTGATTTTTCTGATGTATTTTAAAAAGATATGTTTATTTTGAGCAACTCGTGTGCTGTTTATGCAATTTGGGAGAAGACAAATTTTCTTGAATGATATGTTTTATAATGAAAACTTATGGTTTGGCCATTGGATAAATATCATGAAGTCATCCATTATAGAACTTATTCATTTGAAAAATGTTTGGCACCACCATTTCATCATGATATGTTGAGTTGAAGTACATATTACATAGTTCCTATCTGTTTAGAAATTTCCTACTTCTTATGGTTTAATCTTTGTGAACAATTTGATGATGATGACTGTAAACCTATCAATTCAAACATGAAATAGCATACATATTATTGTAAAAATTTTAAGTTAATACAAATTCATGTGGTAAAGGATTTGAATATATTTTATAATACCACTTGTGTTTGAAGCCTTAGGTAAAAGTTTTTAATCTTCTTTTTTTAAAGTCCAATTATTTTAACTTGGCATGTTTAGCAAGTTGTCTCTTTTACACATAGTAACAGTGAAAAATATCATTAATACCAACAGGCAGCTCACCTAATGGATTTTCTGAGAAGTTCTACCTAATTGTAATAGAATGCACTCAAGACAACCGTTCACTGTTACACATGTGGAATTTACATCTAAAGTCAATTCCTGTCTCATTAGGTGAGTCTTTTGTGTGTGTGTTTGTGCAACTTTAATAGGTGTAAGTTAACAAATTACACAAAATTAGATAATTTGGGACATATTTCTTAAAGCCATTCTCATTAAATGGTGATAACTGTAGATTATTCAATTAATTCAAAAAGCTTTTCTTATTTTCTTTCTGTGAAGAATCATATTAATATGTTTACTATTTTATCTTTTACAAGGCAGTTTTGGATTGTAAAATGTAACAATCGTAATATTTATAGGGTTCCCCTGCCTCAGTTTTTGGTTCTTTTCTTATGTTTTGTAGATGAAAAAGTAGATACAAAATTATCCGAAGCGGTTTGGCAGCCAGAAGAACATTATTCTTCTTCTCCAGAGAAGATCCTATCTCCTTTTTCACAAAAGTATCAGGCTTGCAGAGCAAATCTCCAGAGTACCAGCAGGTTGACTCTGTTTTCAGAAATGGTTTATAGCCAAGAATTGCATTTACCAGAAGGAGTTGAGATAATAAGTATTAAGCCATCAGCAGGTTTGTAAATTTTATGAAAAGAGACTAATTTTGTAACACATGAGTATTTACCAGGTATTTAAAAATAGGTGCTGCAACTATCTCTTAAATCCACACAGAACTAGAAATGGAAATAATATATTCAAGTACCCTAAATTGAAGACTTATAGTTCTCATTATGTTTTCAGATTACTCTGACATTTATCAGCCAGTTCTAGTCTTAAATATTGATTTCTAAAACAAATTTTCTTTGTCTTTTTGGGAAGACAAAGGGACAGTTTCTGGAGCGGAGATGGTAACTAAGTTGTACTTTATTTGCAGACTTTGATGGTATTGGCAATAGCTGCCTGGAGCCATGATTCTGATTGTGTGGTTTCTGCTATATATTTATTATCCTTATTCCAGAGCAGTGGTTTTCAAAGTGTCCCCAGGCCAGCAGCATCAGCGTCCTGGAAACTTGTTAGAAATTGGCCACTCCATTTCTTGGGCCACCCAGGGTTACTGAATCTCAGACTCTGGGATGGGGCCCAGTGGCCTGGACTTACAAACCTTTAAAGTGATTCTTATGCTTGCAAAAGGTCAAGAACCACTGTTCTGGAGTATCAAGAATACTAATCAAAAATACAAATTAAGGCTTATGTTTTAGGAAACTAATAGTGCATGATTACTTTAAGTCTAAGCAAATGTTAAGTTGTAGTTAGGAATCTTCTCAGCATTTGTTATGGCAAATATACCTCAATCATGAAGGGCCCTGTAAAGTGACCATTCAGTACTTAAGTAAACATAGGCCATTCACATTTATATTGAAAAATGTGAAAGAGAAGGAGCCAGTGAGTGTTGACAAATTTAAAAAAATGCATTGATACCTTTAAAATTAGATTTATAATGTATAAAACTAGCAAAGAGCTGTGAAACAAATTCGGGATTAACTAGAATTAAATTCTGCCTATGCCTAAGTTGTTTGATTTAGGCCCAAGATGTTTAACCTTCAAGAATTGAAGTAAATTATCTCAGAGTTCCCTTTCAACTCTAGGTTTTGGTGATACTTTCTTTTTATATACCTTTCTGATGTCATTAAAAGCCTCTTTCTTACTATTCTTGCTGCCCCTTTTTAACTTAAATAAATATAGGCTGTCTATTATGCAGTTTAAAAAACATACAGCCAAGATGCCCCTTTGATTTTGTTCATATTTATAGTAGTTAATACAAAAGACTAAAATCGTAAGTACATAAAAACAGAAGTATTTAACCAAATTTGACATTTTGTTAACGGATTATTTTTATTTTAGGACATCTGAGTTCATCTTCTATATATCCTGCATGCAGTGCTCCTTATTTATTGGCAACTTCATGTTCAGATGAGAAAGTAAGATTCTGGAGATGCAGAGTAACAGATGGAGAATCTGCCACGTCAAAGAATGGAAAAATTGATCTTGCATACATTTGGGAAGAATGGCCATTACTTATTGAAGATGGACTTCAGAGCAATAGTAGTATAACTGTACCTGGTAGGCCTGTAGAAGTTAGCTGTGCACATACAAATCGTTTAGCAGTAGCTTATAAGCAGCCTGCATCTAATAGTAGATCTTCCCAGGACTTTGTGATGCATGTAAGTATTTTTGAATGTGAGTCAACAGGAGGTTCATGTTGGGTCCTTGAGCAGACAATTCATTTAGATGAGTTAAGCACAGTATTGGATTCTGGCATTAGTGTTGATAGCAATTTAGTGGCCTATAATAAACAAGACATGTATTTATCTAGTAAAGAGAATATCACATCAAACACAAAGCATTTAGTTCACTTAGATTGGATGTCTAGAGAAGACGGTTCTCATATCCTGACTGTAGGAATTGGATCAAAACTTTTTATGTATGGACCCCTGGCTGGCAAGGTACAAGACCAAACTGGTAAGGAAACCCTGGCATTTCCTCTCTGGGAGAGTACCAAAGTTGTGCCCCTTTCTAAATTTGTACTATTACGAAGTGTGGACCTAGTTTCTTCTGTAGATGGCTCCCCACCTTTTCCTGTTTCTTTATCGTGGGTCCGGGATGGCATCCTTGTGGTAGGAATGGACTGTGAAATGCATGTGTATTGCCAATGGCAACCATCTTCTAAACAAGAACCTGTTATAACAGATTCGTACAGTGGGAGCACTCCATCTATAACAAGTTTAATAAAACAGAGTAACTCCAGTTCTGGGTTACATCCTCCAAAGAAAACTCTGACTCGATCCATGACCAGTCTTGCACAGAAAATCTGTGGAAAGAAAACTGCATTCGATCCTTCAGTGGATATGGAAGATTCAGGTCTTTTTGAAGCAGCTCATGTACTTTCCCCGACTCTACCTCAGTATCATCCCTTGCAGCTTTTGGAACTCATGGATCTTGGTAAAGTTCGGAGAGCCAAGGCCATCTTGTCCCATCTTGTTAAGTGCATTGCTGGGGAAGTTGTGGCTCTGAATGAAGCTGAATCTAATCATGAACGCCGCCTTAGGTCTCTCACAATCAGTGCTAGTGGAAGCACTACCAGAGACCCCCAGGCATTCAACAAGGCTGAAAATACAGATTACACAGAAATAGATTCTGTTCCTCCACTTCCTTTATATGCCTTACTTGCAGCAGATGATGATAGCTGTTACTCATCTTTGGAGAAATCTAGTAATGAGAGTACGTTAAGTAAATCAAACCAATTATCTAAAGAAAGTTATGATGAGCTTTTTCAGACTCAACTTCTAATGACTGATACTCATATGTTAGAGACAGATGAAGAAAATACAAAGCCTAGAGTTATTGACCTTTCACAGTACAGTCCGACTTACTTTGGACCTGAGCATGCTCAGGTTCTTTCTGGCCACTTACTTCATTCTAGTTTACCAGGACTCAGCCGGATGGAGCAGATGTCTTTGATGGCCTTAGCAGATACAATTGCAACTACAAGCACTGATATTGGAGAAAGCCGAGACAGAAGCCAAGGTAAAACTAAACTCCGTACTGATAACATTTTTACTTACTTTCACAGAAAATAATTTTAAATAATTTTTATTAAAATGATGCCATTGGCTAGGCACAGGGGCTTATGCCTGTAAATTCAGCTCTTTGGGAGGCTGAGGCAGGAGGATCACTTGAACCTAGGAGTTTAAGACCAGTCTGGGCAACATAGTTGAGACCCCCATCTCTATGAAAACAAAAAAAAATTAGCCAGATATGGTGCCTCATGCCTATAGTCCTAGCTACTCAGGAGGCTGAGGTGGGATGATGCTTGAGCCCAGGAGGTTGAGCTGGCAGTGAACTGATTGTGCCACTGCACTACAGCCTGGACAATAGAGCAAGACCCTGTCTCTTAAAAAAAAAAATACCATGAAGGTTTTTTTTGGAAACATCTTTGCTACCTTCACAACAGTTTTAACTTTTTTTCCCCCCGAGACTATCATAAACAGCAAACTCTTAATATGCACTATTTATCCTGTAAATCATAGTACTATGAGCGAGTGCACAAAGACTCGTTATGCTGTTCATTTTTACTAATTTTCTGCTCAATAGTATAAAAGATCCAACTGAATCTTTCTGAGTTTAGCAAAATTTAACAGATTCTTATTAAACAATTATTTTAAGTACCTAAAAATGTGGTTTCTGGGTTTTTTCCCCTCATTTTGTAATAATCCACTATTAACAATTATAATTTGGTTTTTAAAACATTGAGTTTTTTTTAAATTAGCATTAATGTATGCTCCTACCTAGAAAAGCATAATGTAATTAGGTCTTTTCCTCACCCAGAGAGCATTTAAAAAAAAAATACTGCCAAGTTATGAACAGTTTGCCATAAAATCTCAAGTAAGTTCTGAAATGAACAAATTGAGCCTTGTAGACCATATATACGTCAGTATCCCTTTGAATGAAACTTGAAAGGAAAATATAGGGTAAATTTAATATAATAACAAAATTTAAATTTAAGAAAAATTAAGTTGGTTATGAATCTTGACACTTTTAGAGATATTACTAGTAGATACTATTTTTGATGTGAATATGTTATAGGTGTTTTATGTTTTTAGTTTTTGCTTCAAGGAAAAAATATCAGGCCCTCCCACCATAGAACTGTTTCTCCCAGTGTTAACAGCAGATTATTGGGGTGGATGTATGATTCGAACAAACTGTATTGGTTAAAGATAATACTGTACATGTGCCACAGAAAAGGTTAAACTGTTCAAAAATCAGTCACATTTTAATTTAAATAAGATTTCAGTCAGAAGAGGTCAGTTTATAAAGAGTATCAGATTCTCTTTATTCTCTTTATTATTTTTCCAATTGTTTATACTATTTTTTCTGTAATGTAAAATTCTGTAGAAAAAGATAAATGTTAGAAAATATTTTACACTGATAACTTTTTTCTTGGTCAGGTTAAGAATGTTATATGCCTATATTGGGTGTTCTTTTGCTTACAATTTTTTTTTTAATACATTGCTTCCCCTTTCTCCCATTGCAGGTGGAGAAACTCTTGATGAATGTGGGTTAAAATTTCTTTTGGCTGTTCGACTCCATACCTTTCTTACAACTTCCCTTCCAGCCTATCGAGCTCAACTCCTTCACCAAGGTGATTTTGATAGTAATCTATTAAAGGGAAATAAAGCGAGTAGAAAATGAGAGACTTGGGAGTTTTTAAACTTGTTTTTACCCAAAAATGATAATGATGACATATTTAACATATTTTAAGTTTCCTTTATTTGTTAAAATGTTTATTTTGTCATAATCTTTGCTTAAAACATTGGAATTTTTAATGGTAGGCAAAAGGAGTTAATGAAGAAACATACTGGAGATGTTCTGTGTTATGTTTTTAAATGCATGATATGTTCAAGGCAAATTAGTATTGTTTCATTTTCTTTAATTTCTTCTTTAGATTGTCTTTTCTCTCCTTTTTTTTGACATTTATCTAAATTCAGTTTTTCCACCAAACATTGAATAACATTTGTGTTATAATACATTCTCAAATTTTAAATATTTCACAGAGTACAGAATATTGAAAGTGTAAATTTACCCACACTTAAAACTACTGATAAAATATGTATTTCAGATATTAGTTTAGTATATTTCATGTATTCTATATTTAGTGCTGTATTTCAGATACTGTTAGTTCTCTTACTTTGAACTATCTTAGACTTTGAACTGTCTTAGCATAACGTAATAGATTCTTATTAAACGATTATTGTAGGTACCAGAAAATAACATTGTCTTAGAGAGTTCAAAGTAAGAGAAATCTCACTTAAGTTCACTTAAACAAAACAGCATGTTTTTTGGCTCATCTCCCGGGAAGTTCAAGAAATAGAGCTGACTTTCAGCATTATTGGAACTATAGGTTTAAAAAGTGTTATTGGGACTTTGCAGTTTAGCCTTTTAGCCTCTGCTCCTTGGTCTCAGTCTCTTGCTCGTACCTTATGTCTCTGTCTCTTTGTTTCTCTCACTATTTTCTTTTTCTCATTTTGCATATAGCTTTGAAAAAAGTAAAGTTGAAAATTCTAAATCAAATTCTTTTTAGTTTTTTTTTTTTCTTTTTTGAGATAGAGTCTTGCTCTGTCACCCAGGCTGGAGTACAGTGGTGTGATTTCCGCACACTGCAACCTCCATTTCCTGGGTTCAACTGATTCTCCTGCCTCAGCCTCTCGAATACCTGGGACTACAGGCGCACACCACCACGCCTGGCTAATTTTTGTATTTTTAATAGAGATGGGGTTTCACCATATTGGCCAGGCTAGTCTTGAACTCCTGACCTCAAGCAATCCACCTGCCTCGGCCTCCCAAAGTGCTGGGCATTATGGGCGTGAGCCATCTTGCCAGGCCAAATTCTCTTTAAAATTTTTAGATTGTAATTTAGCACATTAAAATTGTATGTATTTATAGGGTACAAAGTAATGTTCTGATATATGTATACAAAGTGGAATGATTAAGTCAAACTAAACATATCCATCACCTCAGATATGTAAAATATTTGTGGTAAGAATATTTGAAATGTACTCTCTTAGCAATATTGAAATATACAATACACTATTATTAAAGGTAGCTACCATGCTGTGCAGTAGATATCAAAAATGTATTCCTCCTAACTGAAACTTTTTACCCTTTGACCAATGTCTCCCTTCTCATCCTGTCCCCAGCCTTGGGCAAATACCGTTTATTCTCTGTTTCTTTGATTTCAATTGTATTCGATTCCACAGATAAGTGAGATCATGCAATATTTGTCTATGACTGGCTTATTTCACTTACTGTAATGTTCTCCAGGTTCATCCATGTTGTTGCAAATGACAAGATTTCGTTTTTTAAGGCTGACTGGTACTCCAGTGTATATACAGGCATACTCCTTTTTATTGTGTTCTGCTAGGTTGCATTTTGCAAATACAGCAGTTTTTACAAATTGAAGCTTTGTGGCAACCGTTTGTTGAGCAAGTCTTTCAGCACCGTTTTTCCAACAGCATGTGTTCACTTCATGTCTCTGTGTCTCATTTTGGTAATTCTCACAATATTTCAAACTTTTTCTGTCATCTGTGATCAGTGATCTTTGTTACTATTATAATGGTTTTGGAGTGCCATGAACTGCGCCTATGTAGGACAATGAATTTAATCAATAAATGTTGTGTGTACTGTGGCTACAACACTGATCAGCCATTCCCCTGTATTTCTCCCTCTGCTCAGACCTCCCTATTCACTGAGACATAACAATATAGAAATTAGGACAGTTTAACAACCCTACAATGTCTTCTAAGTGTTCAAGTGAAAGGAAGAGCTGCATATCTCTCCCTTTAAATCAAAAGCTAGAAAGGACTAAGCTTAGTAAGGAAGGCATGTTGAAAGCCGAGATAGGCTGAAAGCTAAGCCTCTTGTGCCAAACAGTTTACCAAATTGTAAATGCAAAGGACAAGGTCCAAAGGAAACTAAACGTTCTCCATTGAACACATAAATGATAAGAAAGCAAGGTAGCCTTATTGCTTATGTGGAGAAAGTTTGAGTGGTCTAGATGGATCGAACTAGCCACAAGATTCTCTTATGCCAAAGCCTAATCCAGAACAAGGCTGTAACTCGTCTTAATTTCATGAAAGCTGAGAGAAGTGAGGAAGCTGCACAATTAAAGTTTGAAGCTAGCAGAGGTTGGTCCATGAGGTTTAAGGAAAGGAGCTTTCTCCGTAAACTACAAGTACAAGGTGAAGCTAGGTCTTCTGGATAACATGCTGAAGCTTCTACGTCATTCAGCACTTGCTTCAGCATGTTTTCCAGAGGATCTAGCTAAGATAATGGATGAAGGTGGCTACACAAAAGGACAGATTTTTAAAGTACATGGAACAGCCTTCTGTTGGAAGAAGATGCCATCTAGGACTTTCGTAGTTAGAGAGCAGTCAGTGCCTGGCTTCAAAGAACAGACTGACTCTTGTTAGGGGCTAATGCAGCTGGTAACTAAGTTGAAGCCAATGCCCATTTACCATTCTGAAAATCCTAGAGTGTTTAAGAATTATGTGAAACCTATTCTGCCTGCGCTCTACACATGGAATAGCAAAGCCCAATGGCAGCACCTCTGTTTATAGCATAATTTACTGAATATTTGCAGCCTACTATTGAGACCTTCTGTTGAGAAGAAAGATTTCCTTTCGAAATATTGCTGTTATTGACAGTGACCTGTTCACGCAAGAGCTCTGATGCAGGTGTACAAGGAGATTAATATAGTTTTTATGCCTGCTAACACAACATTCATTTTGCAGTCCATGAATCAAAGAATGCCTCCAACTTTTAAGTCTTATCATTTAAGAAATACATTTCATAAGGCTATAGCTGCTATAGATAATTATTCCTCTGATGGATCTGGACAAAGTAAATTGAAAACCACTGGAAAGGCTTCACCATTCTAGATGCCATTGGGGACATGTGTAATTCATGGGAGGAGGTCAAAATATCAACATTAACAAGAGTTTGGAAGAAGTTGATTCCAGCCTTCACAGATGACTTTGAGAGGTTCAAGACTTCAGTAGAGGAAGTAATTGCAGATACGGTAGAAATAGCAGGGGAACTAGAATTAAAAGTAGAACCTGAATATGTGACTGAATTGCTGCAATCTCAGGGTAAAACTTCAGCAGAGCCAGGCACGATGGCTCATCCCTGTAATCTCAACACTTTGGGATATTGAGGTGGGAGGATCGCTTAAGGCCAGGAGTTTAGGATCAGCCTGGGCAACATAGACGCCATCTCTGAAAAAAATTTAGGTAGGTTTAGTGTTACGTGCCTGTAGTCCTAGCTATTCAGGGAGCTGAATAGGAATATCACTTGAGTCCAGGAGGTCAAGACTGCAACGAGCTATGATCACACCACTGCACTCCAGCCTGGGCAACAGGAGGAGACCCTGTCTCAAAAAAAAAAAAAAAAAACAAAACTTCAGCAGATGAGGAGTTGCTTCTTAAAGGATGAGCAATGAATGTGGTTTCTTAAGGTGGAATCTATTCCTGGTGAAGATGCAGTGAACATGGTTGAAATGACAACAAAGGATTTAGAATAGTCTGTAAACTTAGTTGATAGAGCATTGGCAGGGTTTGAGAGGACTGACTCCAATTTTGAAAGAAGTTCTAAATTCTATCAAATAGAATTACATGGTATAGAGAAATCTTACATAAAAGGAAGAGTCCATCTATGTGGCACACTTCATTGTTGCCTTATTTTAAGAAATTGCTATAGCCATCCCAGCCTTCAGTAACCTCTACCCTGATCAGTCAGCAGCCGGTAACATCAAGGCAAGATTCTCCATCAGCAAAAATTATGACTTGCTTAAGGCTCAGGTGATTGTTATGTTTTAGCAATGATGTATTTTTTAATTAAGGTATGTACACTCATTTTAGACATAACGCTATTGCACAGTTAATAGACCACAGTATGATGTAACCATAGCTTGTATATGCACTGGGAAACAAAAAATTGTGTTACTCATTTTATTGCAATATTTGCTTTATTGTGGTGGTCTGAAATCGAACCCATGGTATCTCCAAGGTCTGCCTATATATACGATATTTTCTTTATTAATTTATTGATGGATACTTAGGTTGAATTGATAACTAAACTATTGTGAAGAAAACTTCACTTAACATTGGAGTGCAGCTATCTCTTCAACATACTGATTTCACATCCTTTGACTATATACACATAAGTGGGATTGGTGGATCATGTGGTAATTTTGTTTTTAAATTTTTTCTTTTTTTTTTTAGTTAAAATTTCTTTTCTTTTCTTCTCTTTTAATAAAACATTGTCCCAGAATATTTTTAGATATTTGAGGAACCTTCATACCCTCTTCCATAATGGCTGTACTAATTTATGTTCCCATTAGCAGTGTACCAGGCTCCCCTTTTCGCCACTTCTTTATGAAAACTGTTTGTTTTTTTCTCTTTCTGATAATAGACATTCTAGCAGGTGTGAGTTGTTATCTCATTATGGCTTTAATTTGCATTTTCCTGATGATTATAGATATCAAGCGCTTTTTTCATTTATCTGTTGGACATTCATATGTCTTCATTTGAGAAATATCTGTTCAGTTCATTTATCCCCTCTGGTTTTTTTTTTTTTCCCCCAAGAGTTGAGGGTCTTACTCTGTTGCCCAGGCTGGAGTCAAACTCCTGGCCTCAAGCCATCCTCCTGCCTCAGCCTCTCAAATAGCTGGGTCTACAGGTGTGCACCACTTGTGCCTGGCATGCCTATTTTTTAATTGAGTTGTTTTCTTGCTATTGGGTTACTTGAGTTCTTGATATATTTTGGATATTAACTCCTTATCAGATATACAGATTGCAGATATTATTTCCCAATCCACGGCTTTTCTCTTCACTCTGCTAATTGTATTCTTTGCTATGCAGACATTTTCAGTTTGATGTCATCCCATTTGTTCATTTTTGCTTTTGTTGCCCGTCCCTTTGGTGTGATATCCAAAAAAATCATTGCCCAGACTGATGACATGTAGTTTTCCCTCTGTGTTTTCCTCTAGTAGTTTTACAATGCAGGTCTTATGCTTAAGTATTTAATCCATTTTGACCTATTTTTGTATATGGTGTAAGATAATGGTCCAATTTCATTCTTCTGCATGTGGTTATCTAGTTTTCCCAGCACCATTTTTTGAAGAAACTATCCTTTCCCATTGTGTGTTCCTGGCACGTTTGACAAAAATCAATTGAGTATAAATGTATGGGTTGATTTCCGTGCCTTCTATTCTGTTCCATTGGTCTGTTTCTGTTTTTACACCAGTATCATGCTATTTTGGTTACCCTAGCTTTGTAATATAGTTTGAAATCAGGTAGTGTGATGTCTCTAGGTTTGTTCTTTCATCTCAAGTTTACTTTGAGTATTTGGTGTTTCTTGGTATTCCTAATGAATTTTAGGGTTTTTTTCTTCTATTTCTGTGAAAAATGACATCAGTATTTTGATAGAGATTGCGTTGAATCTGTAGATCATTTTGGATAGTTTGGACATTTTAACAAATTAAAAATTTAACAAATTAATTTTTCCAATCTGTGAACACTGGATATCTTACCATTTATTTGTGTCTTCAAATTTCTTTCATCAATATTTTATAGTTTTTATTTTAGAGCTCTTTTATCTCCTTGGTTAAATTTTTGTTTTTAATGAGATGGGGTCTTGCTGTGTTGCCCAGGCTTTTCTTAAACTCCTGAGCTCAAATGATCCTCCCACCCTGGCCTCCCAAAGTGCTAGGATTACAGATGTGAGCCACCGGCCTGGCCGATATATTTCTAAGGTTTTTTTTTTTTTTTTTTAAGTAGCAATGATTAATGAGATTGTTTTGTTTATTTTTAAAATCAGATCAGATAATTTGTTGTTACTGTATGGAAATGCCACTGCTTTTTGCATTTTAATTTTGTATCCTTCATGTTTAATGTAGTTGTTTATTAGTTCTAACTGTTTCTTTGGTGGAGTCTTATGTGTTTTCTGTATGTAAGATTGTGTTGTTAGCAAACAGTGACATTTTCACTTCTTTATTTCCTATTTGGATGCCTTTTTATTTCTTTCTCTTGTCTAAATGCTCTGGCAGGGACTTCTAGTACTATCATAATTGAGTAGAAGTTGTGAGAGAGTGCATCCTTGTCCTCTTTCTGATCTTAGAGGAAAAGCTTTTGAATTGTCACTGTTGGGTATGATGTTTAGCTCTGGGCTTGTCATTTATGGCCTTTGTTGTGTTGAGGAACATTCCTTCTACACCTAATTTGGGAGAGTTTTTGTCATGAAAGGATGTCGAATTTTATCAGATGCTTTTTTTGCATCAGTTGAGAGGATCATATGGTTTTGTCCTTAATTTTGTTAATATGAACAGAATGACATCAGTTAATTTGCACATGTTGAGCTAATCTTGAACCCATGGCATAATTCCTACTTGATCACAGTGGGTGATCCTTTTATTGTGCTGTTAATTTGGTTTGCTGGTATTTTGTGGGGGGTTTTACATTTGTATTTATCAGGGATAATGGCCTATAATTTTTTTTAATTCATTTTGCCTGGCATTGGCATAAGGGAAATCCTGGTCTCATAAAAAGAGGAACTTTTCTTTCCTTTCTGTTCTTCGGAGGAGTTCAAGAAGGATTGGTGTTAGTTTTTCTTTAAATGTTTAGTAGAATTCACCGGTGATGCGATCAGATTCTAGGCTTTTGTTTTGATGGGTTGATGGGAGACTTTTTTTTTTTCTTTGAGACAGAGTCTCGCTTCTGTCACCCAACGCTGGAGTGCAGTGGTGCAATCTCGGCTCACTGCAACTTCTGCCCCCGGGTTTCAGGTGATTCTCCTACTTCAGCCTCCTGAGTAGCTGGGGTATTTTTAGTAGAGACAGAGTTTCACCATGTTGGCAAGGCTGGTTTGGAACTTCTGACCTCAAGTAATCTGCCTGCCTTGGCCTCCCAAAATGCTGGGGTTACAGGCGTGAGACGCCATGCCCGGCCTGATGGGAAACTTTGTATTACTGATTTATGTCCTTACTCATCATCAATCTGTTCAGATATTTTATTTTTTCATATTTCAGTTCTGGCAGGTTGTCTGTGTCTAGGAAGTTATCTATTTCTTCTGGGTTATCCAATTTGTTGGCATATATCTGCATATTAATCTCTTATGATTATTTGTGGTATCAGTTGTAGTGTCTCTTCGTTAACTTCTAATTTTATTTTTAGTCTTTGGTTTATTTATTTATTGAGATAGAGTCTTGCTCTGTCGCCCAGGCTGGAGTGCCGTGGCGCCTCGCAGCTCACTGCGACCTGTGCCTCGTGGGTCCAAGCGATTCTCCTGCCTCAATCTCTCAAGTAGCTGGGATTACAGGTTTGCTCCACCACACCCAGCTAATTTTTGTATTTTTAGTAGAAACAGGGTTTTGCCATGTTGGCCAGGCTGGTCTCGAACTCCTGGTCTCAAGTGATCTGCCTGCCTCCGTCTTCTAAAGTGCTGGTATTACAGGCATGAGCCACTGCGCCTAGCCTTTCTTTTTCTTAATCTTGCTAAGGAGTTGTCAATTATATTTATCTTTCCAGAAAACTGGAAAGTGTTCAGGTTTTTTTCCCCTGTCATTTTTCTAGTTTATACTTTATTTATTTCTCCTCTGATTTTCATTTCCTTTCTTCTGCTAACTTTGGGCTGAGTTTCTTCCAATTTTTGTTCCTTGATGTATAATAGTAGGTTGTTTATTTGACAGAGATATATATATATATATGGGGGGAGGCACTGAATGCTGTAATTTTCTCTCTTAGAAATGGTTTTGCTGCATCCCATAAATTTTAGCATATTCTGTTTTTGTATTTGTTTGTCTCAAGATAATTTTTAATTTCTCTTTTGGTTTCTTCTTTGACTCATTGTTTTTTCAGGAGCATGTTGTTTAATTTCCACAAATTGGTGACTTTTCCAAGATTTCTCCTGTTATTTATTTCTCATTTCATACTATTGTGATCAGAAAAGATACTTCATATGATTTACATACACTTGAATTTTTTAAAACTTGCTTTGTAATCTAACACAGTATCTATTCTGGGGAATATTCTTTGTGTGCACAAAAAAGAATGCGTATTCTCTTGCTGTTTGGTAGAATGTTCTGTACATGTCTTTTAGGTACATTTGGTCTAAGAGACTAAACATTCTGTCTGGATGGTCTGTCCTTTGTTGCAAGTAGGGTATTGAATCCCCCTATTATTACTGTATTGTAATCTATCTCTCCCTTTAGTTTCTTTAATATTTGTTTTCGAAGTCTAAGTGCCTCTGTTGTTGAGTACATATATATTTATAATTATTAATATCCTCTGGATGAATTGACCCCTTTATCATTATGTAACATACTTCTTTGTCTCCTTTCACAGTTTTTGACTTAAAGTCTATTTTGTCTAAGTATAGCTACCCCTATTCTATTTCGGTTTCTATTTGAGTAGGATTTATTTAAATAAGAATAAATTTATTTTAATTTTCCTCTATATATTCAGGTAGTTCACTGAACTTTTTAAGTGGATTATTCCAAATATTCGTCAGTCATTTCATAGATCTGTTTCCTTTGGGTTCATTATTGGAAATTTATTAGTTTGTTTCGAGATATAATGATTCCCTGATTCTTCACCATTCTCGTGTATTTGCTTTGGGGTCTGCTCATTTGAGCAAGCTATCTGGCCAAGATAGAGCTTCACTATTAAACCTAGCCTCTGATTATGCGTGGTTCAGCCTGAAATGACCCCAGGGAGGCAGGGCTTGCAGTTGGGTTCTCTAGGTGGCTAGGCCCCTGCCTTTAGGTTCTGAGGTTGGATGTTGCTGCTCTCTAGGTTCTGCTGTCTGGCAAGACCACTGTCAAGACCACTGGCTGGTCTCTGCAGTCAGTCAGACCTGCTGGCTGGGCACTGCGATAGCCTCTAATTGGGCTGGGTTACAGGATGTGTTCTCTGGCCAGGCAGTATTATCGTTTGGGTTCTGAAGTTGGGCAGGGTTGCAGGCTGGCCCCGAGGTTAGGCAGAGTTGTTACTCCAGATGGACAGATTCAGAGGCTATGTTTTATAGAAATGCGTGTTTGAAGCTTGCCCTCCTGCCTGAACGGAACCTTGGTGTGAGGTCTGGGGCTGGGCCAAGCCCCTGTTTGGCCTCCCAGGTTGGGCAGGCCTGTCTTCTAAGGAAATACACAGTGATCGGTGTCTCCCTGCCTGGGTAGGACCTGGGAGTGGTGTTTGAGGCTGAGCCAAGCCACTGTTTGAACTCTCTGGTTGGGCAGGTCTAGCCCCTGAGCTTTGCTGAAATATGCTGAGGTAGATGTCTACCAGTCTGGGCGGGGCTTTGGGGTGGGCTCTGAGGCTGGTTGTGGAGGTTGGCCATTTAAGGACTGAAGCCAGGTTGAATTTTTTACCATGCTTCTGGAAGCAACCAGCTTGACTTTGCAGGTAGGATAGGCTATTGGCTGTTACCTCTAATTGGATGCTACCACTGGCAGGAACACAGAGCTACCACCAACGTCTGCAGGCTAGTTGCTATAAGGTCTACCTCCTTTCTTTGTTTCTACGCAACACCAGATGATCTAGCTGTGACATTGCCCACATTGTTTCCCTTGAGGTGAGACCAGCGTGAGCTTCCTGGGAAACATTTTAGAACACTGGGGAAGCTCAATGTCTGACCGTGGCTTTCTTTTTCCACTGTACAAACTGTGGATCTAGGGAATTTTCTTCTTGTACCGCAAGCAAATCAGCTGGGATGGGAACAGGTGATGTGCTCAAAGTGAGACTGTTACTCTTACCCTTCTACTGCAGTTTTTGTTTGGTTCTGTGGTCCTCGCAGGTGTCTCAGCTCATTCCCAAGTTTGGGGGTAAAATGGCATTTTCTAATCTGTGGCTAGTTGCTACTTAAACTCTCTTTGTGCAGGGGTGTCTGTCTTTTGGGGCTTCTATAACAAATATCTTAGACTGGGTAATTTGTAAATAGGAACAAGTTATTTTTCATATTTCTGCAGGCTGGGAAGTCCAAGATCAAGACACCAGCAGATTTGGTGTCTGGTAAGGGCTTGATCTCTGCTCCATAGTTGACACCTTCTTGCTACATCCTTAAATGATGGAACTGGTAAAAAGGACTACCTATGTCTCTTGATCCCTTTTATAAGGATGTTAATCCCATTCACGAGGGCAATGGCTAGTTATCTCCTTAAGGCTCTGCCTGTTAATGCTGTTACATTGCAGGTTAAGTTTCAACATGAAATCTGAAGGGATATAAATATGCAAATCATAGCAAGGAATGAAACCTGGAACTTCTATTCCTGCCATCTTACTGATGTCTAAATCAGATTCTTTAATTATTTATGAAAATGTATTGAAGTTGCTGGAGAGATAACAGGAATCCAAAAATTTGATTTAGAATAATAGTCCATTCACAATGTAGGGTTTTTTTGTTTTGTTTTTACCTTTCATTTATTTTCAAAGTGTTCCGTATAGAAAGCATTTCACATTGCTTGGCATGGGAGGTGATTCCTTGCTTGGCTTAGGTTAAAAATTTGAGGCCATATATCTCAAAGCCACATGCTATAATTAATCATTTACTTTACCTAGTAATGCTAAACAAAATGTATTATGAAAAGTGAAAATAGAAGCTGAGCAATAAACATGTGTAGGCCACTGGGTTGAGAGAATTACTGACATAAATGATGTTGTATAAATATACAAATATCTTATTAATATGGTGATATGGAGTAATAATTACTGTGTGCCAGATTCTATTCTAAATTTTATAACTATATTATTTAATTATCAAAACTATGTTATAAGATAGTTCCATGATTATTTGCATTTTTTACATACAGAGAGATTGAGGCATTAAGAGACAACGTAACTTATCCAAAGATTATATGAATATATTATGCTGGTACAAAAGCAACTGCAGTTTTTGCCTTTTTTGATGGCAGAAACCACCTGCAATTACTTTTGTACCAACTTAATAGTCAACAATAGAGCTGGAATTTATTTTTTGTTTTTATTTTCATTTTTGAGACAGAGCCTTACTCTGTTGCCGAGGCTGGAGTGCAGTGGCACGATCTTGCCTCACTGCCATGTCTACCTCCCCAGTTCAAGTGATTTTTCTGCCTCAGCTTCTTGAGTAGCTGGGATTACAGGCACATACCACCATGCCTGGCTAATTGTATGGTTTTGTTTTGTTTTGAAGACGGAGTCTCACTCTGTTGCCCAGGCTGGAGTGCAGTGGCACAATCTCGGCTCACTGCAAGCTCTGCCTCCTGGGTTCACGCCATTCTCCTGCGTCAGCCTATCGAGTAGCTGGGACTACCATGCCCGGCTAATTTTTTGTATTTTTAGTAGAGATAGGGTTTCACCGTGTTAGCCAGGATGGTCTCGATCTCCTGACCTCGTGATCCGCCCGCCTCGGCCTCCCAAAGTGCTGGGATTACAGGCATGAGCCAGCGCGCCCGGCCTAATTGTACGTTTTTTGAGTAGAGACAGGGTTTCACCATGTTGGCCAGACTGGTCTCGAACTTCTGACCTCAAGTGATCCACCCACCTAGGCCTCCCAAAGTGCTGGGATTACAGCGTAAGCCACCGCACCCTGCTAGAGCTGGAATTTAACATATGCATTATGATTCTGGAGTCTTTGCAGTGCTATTCCTAATTCATCAACCTGAACTGCTTGCTTGATGTTTTTTTTTTTTTTTACTAATTCCATGGAATTACATCCACAAAACAAATGTTGACCAAACAAAGGTGAAAAGCAGCTTTGAAGACAGAAATATATCAACATAAAATAATGCTTTAAGTGTTACTCATTTTTTAAAAAGGATCCGAAATACATCAGCACAGTGGAATTTGCCATAAGCATTTTTTCTTTTCCTTTCAAAAAAATGCTATTTTTGCAAAACATATATGTGCTCATTGGAGTGATACAGTTATTTGAAGAAGGAAAAACTTAAAAAAGCCCATATTTCCAATCTTAAACTGTGAGTCTCATAGAAGTTTACACATTTATATTGAAAATATGGAACATACATTTCTGATAATCATATAAGCATATTTATAATTCTTATAAACATCATTTTTTACATTTCTTCAGGCCTGTCTACAAGTCATTTTGCTTGGGCATTTCACTCAGTAGCAGAAGAAGAACTGCTGAACATGTTGCCAGCCATGCAGAAAGATGATCCCACTTGGTCTGAACTAAGAGCTATGGGTGTGGGGTGGTGGGTCCGGAATACCCGCATCTTACGCAAATGCATAGAAAAAGTAAGTGTTTTATTTTGGTGTATAAGTGAATTAATATTTTTTGGACGTTTCTTTAAATGGCATTTCATATCTTCTCTGCCATTACTCCCTCTTGTTTTTGAAGCAGCAAAAGGCTTTTGAATAGTCTTTACATTTCATTTATAACGTGTTTCAAAATATCTAAAGTTTTAAAATGTATATTCTAATTCCCAAGTTTTTAATTGACAAACTTGTTAGTAGTATATGTCTGATTTTTACAAAATAATATATATGTTTAGAAAAATTTAAAAATAGTACAGAAGAACTTGTAATGAAAGGCAATAGTCCTATTATTCTCTGTATCCATTGAAGCCACCACTGTAAGTCACTTTTGTTATTATTTTATATATACATGCACATATTATTCATATACATATTTTTAAAATTTTATTAAACATTCAATGGATATGTGCCAGCCTTTCATATGAAAGAAATTACTTGTTCAAAACTGTTTCTGTGAAATTTTGATCAATATTTTTTGATTATAGGTAGCTAAAGCAGCCTTTTATAGAAAGAATGATCCTTTAGATGCTGCCATTTTTTACCTTGCAATGAAAAAGAAAGCTGTGATTTGGGGATTATATAGGTAGGTAAAAAAAAAAAAAAAAAAGGGTGCTTCAATGTGAAAACCTGTTCATAAGAAGTAAATGAATGAAGTAAGATTTGTTGTTCTTGTTGATGTTGATTCATGTAGATTCTTAGTTGTTTTATATTTAAAAGAGAGATTTCGTAAGGAAAAAGCCCCAAGTGTTTTTCAGAGTGGAAGAAACCTGATGAGGTCAGTTTAATTTGTTTTCAGATTTATCAATCCAGAAACAATATTTTGCTTAAGAACTTCTCATTATGCTCCTATAAAACAAAGGTAATGTATTAGTCCGTTTTCATGCTGCTAATAAAGACATACCCAAGACTGGGCAATTTACAAAAGAAAGAGGTTTATTGGACTTACAGTTCCACGTGGCTGGGAAGGCCTCACAATCATGGCACAAGGTGAAAGGCATGTCTCACATGGCAGCAGACAAGACAAAACAGAGCTTGTGCGGGGAAACTCCTGTTTGTAAAACCAACAAGTCTCTTGAGGCTTATTCACTATCACAAGAATAGCATGGAAAAGACTTGCCCCAATGATTCAGTTACCTCCCACTGGGTCCCTCCCACAGCACTTGGGAATTCAAGATGAGATTTGGGTGGGGACACAGCCAAACCATATCAGGTAACTAAACCAGAAACTTATGCTTGGGACAGGGAAGAAGATGAATTAAATGGTGGAGTCTGGAACAGGCATTTACCTCTGCACTATGGGCCAGCCTACCCCACAAAACTATCTCCTTCCTGTGGGCCCCACCTTCTTTCTGAGCTGAATTCACTTAGAATTTTTCTCTCTCACTTCTGAGCAAGACTGGTGAACATGATTATCATAAATAGTTCATCATTTGTTTTGAGTTTATTTCCAGATGACCCACATGAACAGCGACCTTTGGGGGAAAAATCACGATAACAAATCGGTTTTCTAAGAGACTTGATGATTTACGGTTGTTTTGATTCAAGGCACATTCTTTAGATTTTTATCTCTTAGGTCATTCTCAGATGGCAGGGGTGAAAAGATACTGATGAGTTTCAATGGTGGCACCCAAGTTAATATAAATCAAACATTTTGCATGGATTTAAAAGTAATTTTCACAGTCCTGCTAATGTAGTTTTCTTTGTATTTAGAAAGAAAAATTTTTTGTAATCTCTGAGACTTATATAACAAATGTTTACCTAATATAATTTTTACTGGGAAAAGAAGCAGATACATAGTAAGTTATGAACTGGCAGATGTTTCTATTTAGACTTAGCCAAATCTTAACTTTAGAAAATTGATTCTGATGTAAAGAAAATTGTATTCCAAAATTTTCACACCATTTTTTTTCCTTTATAGAGCTGAAAAAAACACCAGGATGACACAGTTTTTTGGACACAATTTTGAGGATGAGAGGTGGCGTAAAGCAGCTTTAAAGAATGCTTTTTCTTTGCTAGGCAAACAAAGATTTGAACATTCTGCAGCATTTTTTCTTTTAGCTGGTTGCCTCAGAGATGCAATTGAGGTAATGAGTGAAATTTAAATAACAAAGTATAGCAATGTCATCTTTTAAAGCTCCTTAGTGCTTAAATTTTTATTTTTTTAAATTCAACTTTATTGGAAATAACACAAGGCCAAATATCTGAAATAACTGTTAATATTTAATAAAGACATTTAAAATTTTGACTGTTAACTTGAACGGTATTTATACAGAATTAAGATTAACCAAATGGTGTTTGTTAGTTGGTAGAGATAGGTAATTGATTTGACTCTTGAGAATATTCAAAAAATTAAAGGGTTTGTCCTACCAGTTTAAACATATTTGAACCCCATATCTGGCTCTCTATTATTTGATGAATGTTAGAAAATCCTTAACTGATTATTTCTTAGTAAACCTTAAAAAAATTATGAATATTTAAGATACAACATTTCTGTCTCAAATTGCCCTTTTGCTCAGAGTTTCATACAAGTAATTCAAAACAACCTTTTAATATGGAGACTAAAGTCTCCAGGGGCGGATGGAGAATAGTAGAGGTTCAAGACAGAAATAAAATAATATAGCTTAAATTGACGTCATTTAAATTATCCATTGTTTCCTCATTTAGTTTAATTTTTGCACATATATATATATTTAGTACTAGAAGGTAGGTTTGCAGTTATTAAATGTTGTCAAGTAGATTTGCTAAAATCTAAAAGCAAGCAGCATATGTTTTGTTTCTTATCCTTCTTTGCTAATTTTGGATATTTATAAGCCTTTATATTTTTCTAGTTATTAGTGAGTTAACAGAATTTATCCTAAAATGAAACCTGCTCCTGCTTATTTAAAAACAATATTTTTTTTTAAAGGTATGTCTTGAGAAATTGAATGACATTCAGTTGGCTCTTGTAATAGCAAGACTCTATGAGTCTGAATTTGATACATCTGCAGCATATAAATCTATTTTACGTAAAAAAGTTTTGGGAATCGATTCTCCTGTCAGTGAACTGTGTTCATTGAACATAAATATGCATCATGATCCTTTTCTTCGGAGCATGGCATATTGGATTTTGGAAGATTATAGTGGTGCTCTGGAAACATTAATAAAGCAACCTATCAGAGAGAATGATGGTAAGCTGCACTTCTAAGATGTTAATGATTAAGAATATTATTGGTAATTGCTACATGTGCAGATCACTCTATTAGGTGGTAAGGGTAATACAAACAAATTGAATTCATGGTCTTTATAACAGTTTTTGGTTGGTTGTTTGGTTTTTTTCTCCAGAAAGATAAATCCTTTGAAAACAAAGAACGTTGGATTTTCTGTTTTTACAAAATAGATTTACATAAATATTGAACATAAATATTGTCAACACTTGAATATAAACATTTTGAAGAAATACTGTTATAAAGCCAGTTTTTAAATCTTAGGTTGAATTTAGTGTGTTTGTCAATCAGTTTTAGAATTCTTACAGTGAAAAATGTGTTCAGTGTAAAAACAAGTTGACTTAAGTGATGTGATAAGAAAATCTTTAGCTAGATGAACTTTTGACTGTCTTGTTATGAACTGGTAGAGCTTATGTACTCTTTTGAGTCTGCTAGTACCTTTTCTTTTAGAAATCCTCTTTGCTAAAGCTTTCTTAGAGGCCAGTATAAAATGGAATTTTTTATATAGATGCATATAAAAATGAGATTTACTTTTCAGATATGTTTTCATAGATTGAATTGTGTTTGGTAGCTGATAAAATAGGTATTATATTATTTGGAATACTAATTGGAAAAGGGTCTAGTTCATAGATTTTTATGTGCTATCATTTAATCAGGAAGTGGCCTTCGCCTTACTTCCTAAACCTTTGAGAAAGCTGTGTGACTCATTTGTTTAAGTCTCCTAGCCATTTAAGCTAAAGATTTTCAAACTAGCCTCTATGTAATGAAGGGAAAATGTAAATGCCTTTTCCAGCCACTTTCTTTTTTTAGTGTTTTTATTTAAAAAAAAAAAAATTAGACACAGTATCTTGCTTTGTTGCCCTGGCTCATCTCAAACACCTGGCATCTAGCTGTCCTCCCACCTCAGCCTCCCAAAGTCTGGAATTACAGGCATGAGCTACTGTGCCTGGCCCCCTTTCCCTTTCCCTTCCTCTTTCCTTTTGTCTTGTCTTTTCTCTTTTCTTTCTTTTTCTTCTTTCTTGAGGTGGAGTCTCACTCTCACCCAGGCTGGAGTGCAGTGGGGCTATCTCAGCTCACTGCAGCTTCCACCTCCCAAGCTCAAGCAATCTTCCCACCCCAGCGTCCTGAGTAGCGGGGACCACAGGTGTGTGCCACCATGCCTAGCTAATTTTTTTGTATTTTTGCTGGAGATGGGGTTTCACCATGTTGCCCAGGGTGGTCTTGAACTCCTGAGCTCAAAGTGCTGGGATTACAGGCATGAGCCACCACACCTGGCCCTGGCCCACTTTCTTATACTTAACACATATTCATGTAAAAATTGTATTTTGATTTGGGACTAGTACATTTTTACATACTTTTATTATGAATTAAACTTGTATTCTTCTAGAAGAAAATTGCAAAAAATAATAGCGGCTTGGACCAGAATGATTGGAATGGAGGCAGAGAGATGTGGTTGGATTTGGGATATGATTTTAAGATTGATTACATAGGACTGGATTTGATAAGGAGTGTAAAGGAATTAGGAGTCAAAGGTAACTCCTGGCTTTTTAGATTGAACAATAGGTAGATGATATGGGGAAGAATTGTTTTAGATCATGGAGCTTTCTCTGATAAGGTGAACTTTGATCAGAGAACTGGTTGAAATGAGTGAGTTAATCAGTATAGATATAGGTAAAGAGTGGTTTGGGTCAAGGGCACACTAAATAAAAAGGCCCCAAAGCAAGAGTTTATACACATAAGTAAAAATGAAATGTAGGCCTTTGGATATAGGAGTTTAGGTTTTCAGTGTGAAGTTGGGACTGGAGATAGAGATGATGTCCAAGTTATCAGTGTGTAGATGTTATTGAAAGTCATGGGGACTATATGAATTCAACTCAGGGAATATAGATAGAAAATAAGTCAGCAGTTGAACCCTAGGAGACTCTCAGTGTTCAAAGGTAGAGAAGATGAGGAGGACTAGCAAAGCAGACTGAGGAGAAGTGTTCAGGGAAGTAGGAGAAAAAGAACTAAGAGTCTATAACTGGACGTTTTAAATTATCCTAGAATATTACCTGAAGAGACTTGTTTCAATGGGAAAGCATCATAATCTTTGTTTTCCTACTTTGTTAGAACATGTTCATTATAAATGTGTTGTTGTCTCTTCAGTGCCATGGATCATTGTGGCCTATTAGTAAAATTTTGTCAAAAGACTCTTTAGATAAAGGTGTCATAGTAGATAGAGAAAAGACACTACAATAGAAACACACAGTTCATAACTTTTCTTGGCTCATAAAATGAATTTACTTTCAGATCAAGTTTTATCAGCCAGTAATCCTACAGTTTTTAATTTCTACAATTATCTAAGAACACATCCTCTTTTGCTGAGACGTCATTTTGGATCATCTGATACATTTTCCACACATATGAGCCTAACAGGAAAAAGTGGACTGGCAGGAACAATTAATTTAAGTGAAAGACGTTTATTTTTTACCACTGCCAGTGCTCATTTAAAAGCTGGCTGCCCAATGTTGGCTTTGGAAGTATTATCAAAGATGCCTAAAGTCATCAAGAAAACAAGACCTTTTTATAGGGCTTCTAGTTTTCTGGATACTAGTAAAGACTGTTCTCCTTCTTCTCCATTAAAGTTGGATGCAAGGGAAGATAAGTCTTCTGCTGTTGATTGGTCACAGTCACTGATAAATGGTTTTGGATCTTCTTCAGAGGGTTCCTCAGAGAAGCAATCAAACTCCACTCTTTCTTTTGACTGGAGCCAACCAAGTGTTGTGTTTCAGGATGACTCTTTAGAGTTAAAATGGGACAGTGATAATGATGAAGAAAATGAGGATGTCCCTATTTCAATGAAAGAACTAAAACCTTTACAGAGAAAAACAGATAAAAAGTTGGATGACATAAGTTCTAACTACACAGAATCTTTCAGCACACTAGATGAAAATGACCTTTTAAATCCATCAGAAGATATAATTGCAGTTCAGTTAAAATTTAGAGCATGTTTAAAGATTCTCACAGTAGAACTTCGTACTTTATCTACTGGCTATGAAATAGATGGTGGAAAATTGCGTTACCAACTATACCACTGGCTTGAAAAAGAGGTGATAGCTCTTCAGAGGACTTGTGACTTTTGCTCAGATGCTGAAGAACTACAGTCTGCATTTGGCAGAAATGAAGATGAATTTGGATTAAATGAGGATGCTGAAGATTTGCCTCACCAAACAAAAGTGAAACAACTGAGAGAAAATTTTCAGGAAAAAAGACAGTGGCTCTTGAAGTATCAGTCACTTTTGAGAATGTTTCTTAGTTACTGCATACTTCATGGATCCCATGGTGGGGGTCTTGCATCTGTAAGAATGGAATTGATTTTGCTTTTGCAAGAATCTCAGCAGGTATGTAATTTACTTGATAGTCAAAAATGGTACATGTCTAAAACTGTTTTTGGTGTTTCTTTTTTGGTTTTGAATACTAAGACTTGATTTTCTTTATTACGGTTGCTTTAGGGAAAGCTCCCTTTTGTGTGGTCCTTCATATTATGAATTATAGAGTTGTGTATTTATAGTAGTTACAGACGATTCAGTATCAGGCCTTATGACCTGCTTAATTCACACTCCAAAGTGTTGTCTGAATGCCTTTGTAGGGTGACAGACTTCTTATTGCAAGAGGATATTGTCTTATTTTTTTTTTCCCTCTCTGTGCCCCTAAATGTCTTATTTTTAAATATGATTATTGAAATGCTGACTTCTTCACATCCCTTCTAACTCTAAGTTTCTATTATGCTTTTATTTTTTAATTGTTTTGAAGTGTTTTAAAGAGCCCTTGATTTACTGAAGTAATGGTTTGTAACTGTAAATAGTTGGTTAACCTTTTATCCCTCTTTGTTTTTAAGGAAACATCAGAACCACTATTTTCTAGCCCTCTGTCAGAGCAAACCTCAGTGCCTCTCCTCTTTGCTTGTACAGCCAATGCCAAAACAGTAGTTGCCAATCCATTATTGCACCTTAGTAATCTGACACATGATATTCTCCATGCCATAATAAACTTTGATTCACCACCCCACCCTGATATCCAAAGCAATAAAGTAAGTATGCTTGGTTTCAAGCTTTTACTTCATCTGTACAATGATAAAACTACAAGATAAATATTAAGGCTTTTTTTTAAGTAATTTTAAACATCAGACTAAGCATAGCAATTGTTACATTGCCAAGTTTATGTTGATTCCTATTAAAGAAATCTTCTGGTTGTAGACTGGCTTATCTTACTCATGTTACTTACACCCGGTAGAGTTCTTGAATTTTTTATCACAATGCCTAGTTATTTAGTCTAGCTGCTTTAAGAAAAATAGGTACGTATGAGTCCTTTAGTAGTACATTTAACCAAAAAGCTCATTGTTTTTTAAATATAGAAACTTAATATTTTAATGTAAAGGCACTAATATGTAAACGAAGTTTTCCCTTGTTAATACTAAAGAAATCCACATTTTAAGGATAATGTGAACTATTTGCCCCTGTCATCCTTCTAGGATAGGCAGTACTTTGTGAACCAGCTACAACAGAATCAGCTGCAGTGCTTGTTAAAAGTCTGGATTCTCAAGTTCACTCCAAACTTATTCAATCAGTTTGTGAGAGTATGTCCCAGGAATGTATATTTTTAAAGAAGTTCCTTGTGTGATTCTAATGCATGCAACTAATTATATTGTTATAGTTAATTGTCTAATCAACCAAAGCATCCTATTCATCATTACTTTATCTGCTGTTAATGTCATATTTTATCTTTACTTTTCAGACATATTGAAATCCTTTGAAGTATAACTGACTTTGACCATTTTCATATATCCCTAGTGGTTTTTGTTTTTTTTTAATAGTCTATCATGTAGCTCTCATCCACCTCACAGGTTGTATCACACCAATTCGATTTTCTGTTTTCCTGATGGTGGACTGTCCTACAATTTTACCCTCTTTAGTTACCTTAATCCTTGTAATTAAATTTCACTACTTATTTTTCTGTACTGCTCTGTAGTATAAATGCCCATAGTGCTTATTATACAGTTTGGAATTTAATTTCTTTCAGATTGTGCTCATTTTAGCCAAACTATATTTCATATTTAAAACTAATTATAGCATACCTGTGGTGTATCAGTTACCTTTTGCTGCTTAAGAACTGTCCTGAGGCCAGTGTGGTGGTTCACGCCTCTAATCCCAGCATTTTGGGAGGTCGAGGCAGGCAGATCACCTGAGGCCAGGAATTCAAGACCAGCCTGACCAACATGGAGAAACCTTGTCTCTACTAAAAATACAAAAAATTAGCCAGGCGTAGTGGCACATGCCTATAATCTCAGGTGTTTGGGAGGCTGAGGCAGGAGAATCACTTGAACCCAGGAGGCAGAGGTTGCGGTGAGCCAAGATCGCACCATTACACTCCAACCTGGGCAACAAGAGCAAAACTCCGCGCCCACCCCCCGCCAAAAAAAAAAAAAAAACTGTCCTGAAACATTAGTGGCTTAAAAAGCCATCATTTATTTTGCTTATAATTCTGTGAGTTGGTTCATTAGTTCTTTGGTTTGGGCCAGCTATACTAATGTCTGGACTCTCTCATTCATCTTTGGTCAACTGGTGGGTTAGTCAGGTTCTAGATGATCTAAGAAGGCATCATTTACATTTCTGGTGGTTGGCGCATGTTGACAGCACTGACAGGAGAATCTGGGTCATATGTATCTCATCCTCCAGCAGGCAAGCCTAATATATTTGTCTGGATTCACCAAAGAAACAGAATCAGTAGGATGTATGTGTGTGTGTGTGTGTGTGTGTGTGTATATATATATGTGTGTGTGTATATATATATATGTGTGTATATATATATGTGTGTGTATATATATATATGTGTGTGTGTATATATATATATATATATATAATGAGAGAGAGATTTATTATAAGGAATTGTTTTATGTGGTTTTGGAGGCTGAAAAGTCCCAAGATCTGCAGTTGGCAAGTTGGACACCCAGGAGAGCTGATGGTGTAGTTCCGGTCCAAATCAGAAGGCCTGAGAACCAGGAGAGCTATAATTTAAGTTCAGGTCAGAAAGTCAGCAGGCTGAAGACCCAAAAAGAGCTGATGTTTTAGTTCAAGTCTGAAGACAGGAAAAGCAATGACCCAGCTCAGTGCAGTTAGATGCGAGTTACTCAGCCTTTTTGTTCTGTTCAGGTCTTGCCAGTTGAGTCTACTCACATTACAGAGCACAATCTGCTTTAATCAGTCTGATTCAAATGTTTGTCTCATCTGAAAACATTTCACAGACACCCAGAATAATGTTTGGTCAAATGTCTGTGCACCCCATGGCCCAGTCACACCTAGATTTTTTTCAAATGGTAGTTTCAGGGGTTCAAGAGCAGCAAGAATAGAATTTGCAAGGCTTTTTGAGGTGTAGATTCGGAACTCACACTTCACTTCTGTTGGGTCCTCTTGGTCGAACAAGTCAAGCCCAGCTCAGATTCAGTGAGTGGAGAAGTACGTCCAACTCTCTCTTGCAGAAGCTGCAAAATACTGTGATCATTTTTGCAAGCTCCCATATATAGTTTTTGTCATCTTCAATTATATAATATCTTTTAATTCATACTACGTTTTATTGACATTTGAAGGAAAAATTAGCAATTAGATTTGATCTGTCATTCTCCATTTTTATCTACAAAATGACTGGCATACTTCACAATCAGATGAAGAACCTGGTCTTTTAATATTCTAGTCTGGTTTGCTTTCTTACCTAGCTGAAGTTTCTCCTTCATCCTCAGTTCTGCCTAATGTTATGGCCCTTGCCATGCCATGTTTAGAGTCTTCTCTTCCTTAAAACAAATGCCTGACTCCACTGCCTTTCAGTTACTGCCTTTTATACCTTATATCCTTTCTCTTTCTCTTTCCTCTAGTTTCACTCTCTTCAAATTGTTTTTAAGGTAACTAGAATATGTGGTAGCATATTCTTCAGTGACCTGTCCGTTGGTGAACTGTCAGTTATCAGGCTGTTTCTTCACATTTTGGTTGAGGAAAAAGCAGATTGAGTGTTGGAGGGCTTACTTTAATACATGGTTCATGCTCTACTGGAGAGCTGACATCTGTTCCCCTTTGCTCTAGAAAAAGAAATTAGGTAGCAAATGTGTGTTTTATAATTTCTGCTGAAGACTTTAGCGTGTTTTCTTTAAATTTTCTGTAGTAAGACTCATGTAGATAAAAATGAGTGTTGTAGAAAAAAAGGAAATAGTTCATGAAGGCAAAGAATCAAAAATTTTTTCATTCTTTTAAAAATGCTGATTATATTAGGTCTTGAAAAAAAATCTGCACTTTAAAAAGGTTATACTTAAAGTAATTTTGTTTTTGTTTTCCAGGTGTATGTAATGCATACTTTAGCAGCTTCACTTTCTGCTTGTATTTATCAGTGCCTTTGTGGTAGTCATAACTACAGGTAACTATCTTTTTATGAAATTTAAGAATGCTTACAGTAAGCAATGAGGTTTCATATTTTGTATGTTAGTGGTTTAGAACTATATATAACAGTCTTTTAAATAATGCAAAAAGCATATGGTTGAGGTTTTGAGTACTTTTTGTTCATATTTGAAATTTTTATGGCAGATGAATCTCAAACCCTTATTCTGTATAACTTATTTAGCAGCCTATTACTGGTCACTGCCTTATGTCAGACATTGTGATTGGCACTGAGAATTTTAACGCAAATAATATGATAAAGTCTATTTCTTAGGGCCAGTCTAGTTAGAGACAAACATGTGAGTTGATAAATGATATGTATATAATATGGCATAGTACTAAAATGGTAACTATAATAAGACAGTAGATAGTAAAAGGCTCAGGGACCACATGGGAGGGAGTAACTTGGAATTGAGAAAAATTTTACCAAATAATTGATGTATAGGATATTTCTCTGTATTTCTCTTTATGTTATAAAGTTTTACTGAAATTTATCTAGGCTTCAAAAAAATAGTTTGTTACCCTCTGGGGTCTTTCTATATCTATCTTTAGTTGTTTGAAGTACTCTATTTCTTCAAGTATTGTCTCATCTCTCTTCTATCTTTCCTATTAAACAGATATTGCAACTTCTGGGTCATTTCTTAATGTTCTTTAACTTTCCCCTCCTATATTCCATTTCTTTATCTCTTTTTGTTTCATTTCAGGAGAAATTCTAGCTTCATTTTCCAAACACGGATTCATTATTCAGCAATGTCCTGTCTTATTTAGCAAGAATTTATATTTTAGAAATTCTGTTTTTCATTTTCGGGATCTCTTGTTGAATTTAGTATTTGCTTCTGTTTCTATAACATTTCTTGATTAAAAAAAATTATTTTGAGTATGGAGTACTTTACTGATAAGTTGGGTTTCTCAGGTGAAGATCTTTTGTTGAGTTTGTTATTTCTTACATGGTGTCAGCCTTCCTTGTTAATTTTTGGTTGTCTGTCCAGTTTGTGTTTTTGAATTTTCTGTGGGTAGCCTTACTTACCACTCTGGTTGTATATTTCCCAAGGTAACTTCAACTTGATTTCTTTAACCCTCATCCTTCAAGAATTCACTTTCTTATTATTTAGGCTTTATTTTCATTAACTTCTTTTTATCTTTCCTATCTATGATTTCTATAGGAATGAGGGAGTTTTTTTTGTTGTTACTCTGCCATCTTGAAACTGGAAAGTAAAGCAAGGGAAACTACAAAGGCATCAAAATGTTATAACCAATGAGATTTGCCAATCATAACACATTTACACCAATAAATGCGCTATATTTAAGTATATTCATGTACTTAATGTATGATATAGGAATTTCTAAAGGAAATTCCTTATACCATTTTCTGTCAGAATTATTTCATAGTTTATGTCAAGCTGCAGGTTTTTTTGTTCATTCATCTGTTAGTCTTAGCTTTGCATCTTTTACTTGGGGAAGCTTATCCTGAATTCTCAAATTGTGTGAAATACTCCTCTGTATTGCCTTGATAGCGTCATATGCATAGGTTTCATCTTTTAAGAGTAGTATGATAACATTATTTGTGTTTTGTTCCACTATTAAATTTTATGGGGACAGAGACATTGTTATTCCTTATATGCCTAGTACCTGCTACAGTGCCTGATGTAGGGTAGGCTAGCCATTATACATGAAAGTGAGCCTAAACGGACTTCATTTTCAACCAGATAACTATGTTTTTAAGTCAAATATGTAATCTTGCTACTTGTGGTACATAGCGATTTAGTTTTCTCATTTGTACTTATTCTGTCCCTTAAAATGTGTTTTAATTTAGAAAATGTGTATATTTACACTTAAAGGATACTTTGTTTTTATATAGCACTAGACTGTACATTATATTACTTAGATGTACTAGCAGTATAATTAATAAACAAAAATTGATACTCTTGAAAGTAGATCTGAAACATGAAAATATTATATAAAATTTATCATAGATTTAAATATTGTTTTTTTCTCTTAGTTCATTTCAGACGAATCAGTTTACTGGAATGGTATATCAGACAGTACTGCTTCCTCATCGACCTTCTTTGAAAACAGGAAGCTTAGATGAAGCATTAACTCCCAATACGTCACCAGCTCAATGGCCAGGTATAATTTTTATGTATAGATCAGTTTTTTCTTAGTCTTATTTATAATCTTAGATAAGTAGAAAGACTTTTAGTTTTGCCACATGATAATCATTGTTAAATACTGTTAGAATTGATACCAGTTAAGTATTCACCACTCATTCTGAATTACAGTTACTTAACATTAGTATTCCCTTGATCATTATACTAATATAACTCAAATGTTTTGTAATACCGTTTTTTAAATCATTTTGCTTTTGACATACTAGAAAAACCCGTCTATGAAAATTTATCTATGACATCTTAGTCATGAAAGATTTTAATGTTTAATATTAAAGATTTTTAATGTTTCTCTCAAGTAACTCATTTGTGCTTAACTATAATAACCGCTACTAGTCTGTGAATCTAGGGAAGAAAATACAGTATTAACTCCTGATGCAATACATTTTTTCCTGAAATTAGAAAAATATAGTTAATTTTTAAAATTTTAAAAATTTATAGTCAGTGACAGCTATGTTTGTTTGTCGTTCTAGGAATAACTTGTCTAATTCGACTTTTGAATTCTTCTGGCGAGGAAGCCCAGTCAGGGCTTACAGTCTTGCTCTGTGAGATTCTCACAGCAGTGTATCTTAGTCTCTTCATCCATGGCCTGGCCACACATTCAAGTAATGAGCTATTTCGGATTGTGGCCCATCCTCTAAATGAGAAAATGTGGTCTGCTGTGTTTGGTGGAGGTGCACATGTTCCTAGCAAAGAACAGACACATTCAAAAACTTTACCTGGTGAGTTTAAAAAATTTTTTTAGGACTGAAGCTTTATTTATCTGAGTGATATCATTCTCAAACGTAATTACATTTTAATTTAGTTATAGAAAGTTCTGGTTAGAGACCATTTGCGAAAAGCATAAACAAATAGTCATACAGTGAAAATGCAGTATTAAAGTTTCTGGTGCAGTTTTTAATCTTTAAGATATTCCTGTACCAATAATTAGAACGATCTTATGTAAATTTATTAAATATTTTACTACTGAAACTTTCATTTGTTTTGAAACACACTGTAATATTGGTTTTTGTTCTATCCCAAATACGGATTCTTTCTTCTTTCTTTGGCAGGAAGGCACTTTGCTATGCCTAGCCCCCACCAGGTAGTGGTATTCTCCATGGAATGTGTGGGCTTTTCCAAAGCTCTTTCAGCCATCAGTTCTCATAGCCCTCCCAGTCTTGCAGGCAAGATATGAGCTTTAGAAATAGGCTTTTATCATTCAGCTTGCTTTGTGTTGTTTTGAGGGGTTGGGGTACAGTGGGACAGTTTTATTTTGTTTGGCATTTATAGAAAATTGAGAAGTTTCCTTTGATCAAGCCATATTTTTGATTTAAAACAATGATTAGCAGTTTAGAAAACTATCTCTGCTATTTTATTCTGCTTTTAAATTCTTTGTTTTTTATATTTCTGTCCCTTAGACTTTAACATTTTAAAGTGTGTAAAAATAAAACACTGTCAGTGCTAATCATAGAAAATCAGACTATGGCTTGAAATGACTAGAAAAACATTTCAAATTAGGCTGCTTTATGATTTGCATATTATGATTCCGGCCATTGGAGTTTTTGGATTTCTAAGTGTTCATAATACCATGAAAAGTAAATATTTTAAACAATTGTATCCCCGTTTAAAAACTTTCTAATGTTAAAACTGTATTTTTTTCATGTATTAGCCCATGTGTGATAATCTTAGTTTTCCAATTATGGAGGGCATGAGGAGTAGCTTTATTTTTAATACATAGTACTTGAAAACTTATTTCATTCTATATTGGTGTTGAATAAATTGAAAATGTTAAATGTTTTTCCAAAAAAAAAAAAAAAAGCCCTATGCATACATTTGAGAGAAGCTCAGCAAGGTTATTTATCTCTTTATGAGCTTTCATTCACTTCTTCCCTGACGTTTACACTGAACATATGCTTGTACATATAGGTGTATGTGGGCTTGGATATATATGTTTTGGGAGGTCAAGCAGTTGGTGAGGGACATGAGAGAATAAGAAAAGCTTGAATTTGGCTTCATTATTTGGGAAAAAAATTATTGCCAAAATCTTTACCATGATTGATGAATATTCTTTGAATGAAGCTATATTAAAAAGAATTTAGAAAAGTTATTACCTTGTTAAAATATTTAAAAGTTATTAGTAGCAATGTTGGCATATATTATACTTTTCAAAAGCAGTTTCCACTAACCTGTGGCCCTGCATGACTATATAGCAAAAAATCATGATGGCCTAGCTTCTACTTCCTCTCCTTAATTGAAATTGTTTCTTCAGTTACCTAGCTAGGACTCTCATACTTTCTAGTCTGGGTCCTGCCTCTTTCTTCCATCAAGAAAAAACAGGCAGGAATTTCTTTATGTATAATACTTACCATGAGGCAAATTCAGTTTATAACTTTCAGCAGAGTTCAACTAGCTTTTTCTGTAAAAAGCCAAATATATATTTTAGGTTTTGGAGTCCATTTGGTATCTCACAACTATTTAGTTCTGCCCTTGTAGCACAAAGGCAGCCATAGACCATTTGTAAACAGATGAGTACAGCTGTGTTCTAAGAAAACATTATTTATTTGTTGGATTGCAATTTGCCAACCCCTGCTTTACAAGTAGAAGCATTTTATTATTGGTCTATTTGGAATAGAATATTTGCCTTCCCTGTTAAAGGAATTTCAGGTTTTAAGAACAACTGAAGTTAATATTTTGGGAGATAGAGTTCACTGTGGGTCTCTTAACGTATTTGACCTAACCACAAATTGTACTTATGGAATAGTATAAGTGGCATCAGAGGGATAATTTGTAATCTTCCCTGCCATGGCCCTTAGCTTCCTTTAGCCAATCTAGGGGCTAATTCAGTTTTTGCTGTTGTAAAATACTGAAAATGTAGAATCCTAACATGACTTCTCCAGAAACCTGATACCATCCTGCCTATTACTCATCCACCTACCACACTTTGCTTACTACTTTGATGGCTGTTTTATCTCTGTGGTCCCTCCCATTTGCCTTAAATTAAACTCATTTACTTCTCCTTTTTCTTCTTATGCACATCAGATTTCATATGCAAATTTACCTTATTTGCCAAGTTTACCTTTGCTTATTAAAATATTAAGTATTTTGTTTTTGTAACATTCCTTTTCTGTTTTTTAAAAAGTTGTTTATTGTGCTTTTTGTATAGATTTTTTTAAAAGACTAATTTCACATGAAATTTGCCTTGGACTATATTTATACTTGAGATATCTGAATTCAATTAAGGAAAAACTTTCAAAGTCTAAGGGAAGTAGGATCCATAGCTCTGTTGAGTTTAATTTTAAATTAAAAATTGGCAAATTAATTTTGACCATATTTTTAATATGTTCTGAGAAAAATTCATTTGTTAAGACTTTGATCTTGTTGATGTAAAATGTTAAAAAGGGATAAATTATTGCTAAGGAATGTGCAGATATCCATAAAAAAGAAAATGAAAAATACATTCTTACTAGCCATCAGGTCTCAATTTCATCCATTTTTCCTGAGCACAGATATGTGTAAGGAACCATATTGAAAGTCCAGGTTGATCTTTGTATAAGGTTGGTGCAAAAGCAATGGCAAAACTGCAGTTACTTTTGCACCAATCTTATTAACCACTCTAGTTGTTGGTTGTAGGCAAAAATACCATTACATAAATTATTTTGGGGGGGCCATTATAAGTCCGTCATAAGCTGTATCCTACCACTTATTTAACCCCAAGTAAAAAATAAAGTGACCTAAAATTATCTGCATCTATATGTTTAACCTCAGCCAATAATAAGGAATACTTAAAACGTATTGTTCACTTAGTGGTAGGGCTGGATATAGTCATATCCAGGTTATATGGTGCTCATCTGTCCTTGAGTACCCAGAAAGTATTCTAAATACAATCATGGAAGTAACTGAAGGAGTACTTAAAGAAAACATGAATGGTACGATTTGTCCATTTGCTAACCAGAAAAAAAGGAATATATTCACTGAATGATGAAAACTAAAGGCCTGCTGGTTTCAAAGCCAAGCTAATTTGAAAAGGAGCAGGAGGGCTGGATGTGGTGGCTCACACCTGTAATCCCAGCATTTTGGGAGGCCTAGGTGGGCAGATCACCTGAGGTCAGGAGTTTGAGACCAGCCTGGCCAACAAGTGAAACACTGTCTCTACAAAAATTAGCCGGGTGTGGTGGCATGTGCCTGTAGACCCAGCTACTCAGGAGGCTGAGGCAGGAGAATCGCTTGAACCTGGGAGGTGGAGGTTGCAGTGAGCTGAGATTGCGCCACTGCACTCCAGCCTGGGCGACAGAGCGAGACTCCATCTCAAAAAAGAAAAGAAAAGGAGCAGGCAGAAAGAGGAAAGGAAAGAAGCGAAGAGAAAGGGAAAGAAGCGAAGGTCCTGTGGAGTACGGATCCACTGAAAACTAGAGAGAGAAAAATCTCAGAACAGAAAATCAACCAAGACAAGGAACTACTAGCAGCATTGGCTTTCAATATAAAGTAACGTTCAGAAATCTCAGTTTTTTTAAGGCATTATTATGTTGCCCTGAAAACTTACCGAGGCAGGACAGCAACCTGATAAATTTTAGGTTGTAGGTAAGCAGTCCTGTGTGTTTGGATTACTGCTAATCATAATCATTGATGTGCCAAGAGTCTAATTGCATTAAGTAATGTTCAATATACATTGTTGACCAAGGGAATAAAACAGTGTATTTTAGAAAAGTTGACTTGAATCCAGTTAAAATTAATGTGTATTTAAAATTTTTTATCTTTTAAATTTGGCCAGTGAAAGCTGACAAATCTAGAATATTTCATTTTCCTGACTACTCAAACGTGTCAAAGCATTGTATATTGAAGATGAAATACGTGCATATTGAAATACATTGTATATTGAAGATGAAATACATTGTATATTGAAGATGAAATACCCTTAAACATGTTTTCTAAAAGTGTTCCATAAGTTTAGGTACTGTATTATGAGAGGAATTTGAAAGCCATCATTTGTTTTCCTTGTTCTGTTATAAATTTGGATTTAAATTTTCTTTGCAATGATGGCCTCATGAACTAGATTATATTTCTTTCTATATATCTATTATATACTTAATGTATTCTTGTAGTAACATAATATTTAAAGATAAGCTTCATAACTGAAGGAAATTATAGATTTTTATTAGACTCTAGTCTGGCAGGTCAAAATTCTTAACAAAAATGTTAATGTACATAAATTAACTTAATCAAATTTTTTTTGGTGAATTCCACATTATATATTAATGAAGAGTTTGATTTTTCTAATTAACTAAAACTGCAGTGCAGGTATATGTTCATGGAACTCTGAATTGTTTTGTTATGGTCAATTTTAAAGAAGAGAACCAGCTAAGCAATAGCAATTTTCAAAAAATTACTTTTTCTGCTAACAGTTAGAAATCCATACTTTTGCTTTTTATTCTGTATTATAAATAAAGCAGTGTTTTTAAGAATTGTTATTGTGTTTTGTGATACTTGCATTTATAAGAACTGTGAATTACCTCTTTATCTTAATAAATTCATAGTAATGACTTTTTTATGTCTCCAAGTTGAGGAATGGAAATATAAAATGAACATTTTATTTGTGGTAAGCATGTCATATATTTTTTACTATGAGATTGCTAATGATATTCTAGACATAAAGTTTATTTCTGACTTATTACGCTAAAACAGATCAGAAAATCCACTTTTTGCTTTTTCTTATAAAACTTGTGTAAAAACAAAAGTTCTGTATTCAGTAGTCAGTGATTATCACATGTCATTGCTAACATTCCTTTAGCAAAGTAAGCAAAACAGCAAAATATCTTGACCAGAAAAGACTTGAGCATATTAAAATATAAAACAAAATAGGTGATTTAAAATATAATTGAATATGCCAAACATTTAACTGGTGGTTTATTATAAGGAACTTTTAAAAGACTGCTGAACTTCAAAGTAACTAATTCTGTGGAAGGGAATACTTTCCTTTTCTTTTCTTTGTGAGGCAGAGACTCGTACCGTCGCCCAGGCTGGAGTGCAGTGGCGTGATCTCGGCTCACTGCAGCCTCCGCCTCCCAGGTTCAAGTGATTCTCCCACCTCAGCCTCCCAAGTAGCTGGGATTACAGGCGTGCACCACCACACCTGGCTAATTTTTGTGTTTTTTGGTAGAGACGGGCTAGGCTGGTCTCAATCTCCTGACCTTCAGTGATCCGCCTGCCCTGGCCTCCTAAAGTGCTTGGATTACAAGTGTGAGCCACCACGCCTGGCCAGGAGTACATTTTTGTTAGACTTTTCATTGAAGACCATATAATATAAATTTTAATTTAAAGTTTAAAAAGTGTTCTATTCATTCATTTTACAAATGAGTCAGGAAGGCAAATTTTTATACAAGAGTAGAGAAAGCGTAGAAGATAAAAGAAACTCCAAGAAATGTGCATGTATAGATTTTTACATGTAATTATTCTTTTATTTCACTGCTAAAGCCTGATGACAGTAGAAGAAACTAACCCTATAAGAAATGCAACATTCATTTATCTGACCTAGACTCCCTCATTCAATGTTTTCTTCTCTTTTTTTTTTTTGAGACAGGGTCTTGCTCTGTCGCCCAGGCTGGAATGCAGTGGTGTGATCACAGCTCATTTTACAGCCTTGGCCTCTTGGGCTCAAGTGATCCTTCCACCTCAGTGCCCCAAGTAGCTGGGACTATAGGTGCAGGCCATCATTGATTAGCCTAGTTAATTTTTTAAGTTTTATTTTTATAGAGACAAGGTCTCACTATACCCAGGCTGGTCTTGGACTCCTGGACTCAAGTGATCTTCCCACCTCAGCCTCCCAAATTGCTGGGATTACAGGTGTGAGCCACCATGTCCTGCTTAATTCAGTATTTCTGTGTACCTTACTGAGACCAATCATGTGATCTCTCTCTTCAACCCAGTTTTCTAATATTTCTAAGTCCTAAGTCCTGCAGCAAAATGGCTTGAATATATTTTTTCCATTATAGTTTTTTTATTATGACTAAAAACACATGATATAAAATTTAGCAAGTGAACCATTTTTAAGTATATAGTTTAGTAGTAAGTCTATCATGTGGTGAAACAAATCTCTGTAACTTTTTCATCTTGCAAATCTGAAACTATACCCATTAAACAATTCCCCCACTTCATACAATCCCTGGTAATCACTATTCTACTCTGTTTCCAGGGATTTGATTACTTTATATACCTCATATAAGTGGAATTATATAGTGTTTTGTCTTTTTGTGACTGGCTTATTTCACCTAGTGTAATGTTCTTCCATGTTGTAGCTTGCGACAGAATTTCCTTCCTTTTTAATGCTGAATGTTCCGTTGTGTGTGTATACTCCATTCACATTTTCAATAAGTTTGTTGAGTTTGGGTTGAAATCTTATATACAGAACCGTGTTGTGGCATTCAGGGTGATTGAAAAGTAAGTACTACTCTAGGGCAGTGACTTCAGGCTTTTGAAGACATTACCTTATCCATAAAACATGCTTGACCAAATTCTCAATATATGTATATTGATGTCTACTACTATCGATCCAGATGTTAAACATTGACAAAATTTAGTTTCTTCTCCTTACTTTCCTTCTTCCCCTTCTTTCCTCTGCTTTCACCTCCACCTGCCCCCATCTCTCCTTTCTTCTTGTCCCTTCTCCTTTCCCTCTACTTCTTCCCCTGTCACTTTCTGCTCCTCTACCTCCTTCCCTTCTCCTTCTGCCCTTTCCCCCTATTTATCAAAAAATAAATCTAAGTAGAAGTTGTAGTATTTTCCTTCCATATTCTGGTGAATCATTTTGTACAACTACCGTGGAGACTCCCTTGCTCTGTGGTTTGGAGACAAATCACCACTTTCTATTAAGATATTTATTATTTCATTTTTATAGATATTTATGGAGCCATGTTCAAGATACGGTGTATGGTAATGATCCTAGGAAGACTTTGAGGGTCAGTCTTTCTAAAAGCTGGATAGTATCATCTTCCAGACTTTTTTTGTTTGTTTGTTTGTTTTTTTGAGACAGAGTCTCACTTTGTCACCCAGGCTGGAGTGCACTGGCATGATCCTGGCTCACTGCAACCTCTGCCTCCCAGGTTCAGGTGATTCTTGTACCTCAGCTTCCCAAGCAGCTGGGACTACAGGTGCACACCACGACACTTGGCTAATTTTTGTATTTTTAGTAGAGATGAGGTTTTGCCATTTTGGCCTGGCTGGTCTCAAACTCCTGGTCTCACGTGGTCTGCCTGTCTCAGCCTCCCAAAGTGCTGGGATTACAGGCATGATCCACTGTGCCTGGCCAGACTTTTTTTTTTTAATCACTAATCTTATTCTTTGATGATTAAGAAGTACCTTCAATTAATTGCTTCTTTAATCCTTTTATTTTTGGAATATTTGAAGTTTACTTGGAAAATCATGTTTTACATTTAATTTTGAGGATTTGTTTTATACTTAGTGTTCACGTACATTTGTAGTTCTCAAACTTTTTACCTGAAGATAAAGGTTAACATATACCTCTTAGGAGACTGAGGACTTAGACTGAATTGGCTTGCTGAAAGCAAGAAATAAATTTGAAATCTGTTTGTCTTAAACTTGCATGACTTTTATCTTTTCCATATTTGGGGGGCTCAGTTAGAAGGTCCAGACTAATGTGCCTCCTGAAGCTTCGTGTATACTCTGGCACACTCATGAATAGCTCTGTGGATATGGGTGCCTTAGATTGAGAAATAGAGAGTGAGACCTGCTGGTTACTTTAAGTTCAGTTATTTTGTTGTTTGTTTTGTTGTTGAGACAGGTTCTTGTTCTGTTGCCCAGGCTGGAGTGCAATGGTGTGATCTCAGCTCACTGCAACCTCCACCTCCTGGGCTCAAGTGATCCTCCCAAGTGGCTGGGACTACAGGCATGTGCCACCATGCCCAGCTAATTTTTCTATTTTTTTGTAGAGACTGGGTTTCACCATGTTGCCCAGGCTGGTCTTGAACTCTAAGTTCAGTTTTTAAAGAAATGACATTTAAATCTACATTCAGAATATTAATTTCATTGTGCTGATTTTAAATGATAAACTGAAAAGTAAATATTAACTTAATAACCTTCCCCTTATATTTTAGTTTTAATCACAGCAATATATGTGTGTGGTAACAAGTCTAGCAGTACAGAAGAATTTATAGGAAGGAATGTTGTCTTATTCCTCTGCTCCTCCCCTTCCCTATGTGTAGCCTGTTAGCCATTTCTCCATTTCTGTTTTGGGTTCTTTGGGGAGTTACTTTTATAATTCTTAGAAAACCACAGTGCAGATATTCTGAGGGTGAGGAAAGGATTGTTAAGGGAAGGAAGGTGTATTTGTCTGTACAGTCTACTATCTTGACATGGAAGCTTTGTTTTAAAAAGTACGGGAAGGGGAACATCACACACTGGGGCCTGTCGTGGGGTGGGGGGATGGGGGAGGGATAGCATTAGGAGATATATCTAATGTAAATGACGAGTTAATGGGTGCAGCACACCAACATGGCACATGTATACTTATGTAACAAACCTGCACGTTGTGCACATGTACGATAGAACTTAAAGTATAATTTAAAAAAAAAAAAGTGCTTCCTGGGAAAGCAACTGAAACTTATTTTTAAAATTTATGTCAGGACATTATTCTGTTTTTCCTGTGAATGCCTTAGTTTTTCTTCAGCCACTTTGTAGCCTCCCTATACCTCTTAAAATTCATAAATTCTATATTCAAGTTGCTCTTAATTTCTCCCTAATACTATTTTCTTTCTTCTGTTACTAATAAAGTAGCGGTTTTCCCATAATAGTAGAACCATAGGGTTAGTTTGCACCCAAGGAATGGCAAACGTTCTTGATATTTGATTATTAGCATTTTCAAAAACAACCAGTTGAACACCCAGCAGCTATAGTTTTTATCGGTGCCCCTAAGCTTCACGACCAATCTGACCCAGCAGGATTCAAGCATAAAATTGCCTTAAGTCTTCCTACAATTGGAGGACAAAGAAGAGGGAGTAACTACCCTATTGACAAGTCACAGGTCATTTCTTGTTTACTGGGTGGCATCGCTAAGGTCTTTTTAGTTAAAGCATCTAAAGTAATACACATTCATTACTGTGAAACTGCCGATTTTTTTTCCTTTGGTCCTGCTTCATTAAAAGTGTTGTTTTTGTTGTTGTTGTTTTTGAGATGAAGTCTTGCTCTGTTGCCCAGGCTGGAGTGCAGTGGTGCGATCTTGGCTCACTGCAACCTCCCCCTCCCAGGTTCAAGCAATTCTCCTGTCTCAGCCTCCCGAGTAGCTGGGATTACAGGCACGTGCCACCATGCCTGGCTAATTTTTGTATTTTTAGTAAAGGCAGGGTTTCACCATGTTGGCCAGGCTGGATCCTGACCTCAGGTGATCTGCCCACCTCTGCCTCCCAAAGTGCTGGGATTATAGGCGTAAGCCACCGCACCCAGCCAAAAAGTGTTTTAATAAGTGGTTTTATACTTCCTGGTGTTGAGTCTGTAAATTTTAAACATTTCCTCCCAGTGTGGTTAATATTTTCATGTCACGTGACTGGATTCACAGCTTGTAGTTTCAAATGTTTCTGTCTTTAAAAACTCTCTTATATTTTACTTTTAAAACTATTTTTATCTACCAGTGGGTCAGTAAAAGAAAAAAAGAAAACTATTTTTATGACATACTAATCTTGGCAAAAATCTATTAATTTAACATTGTACGTGTTTTTTTTTCAGAGATTGTCTATACTTCTTGGTTCACATGCTTTTTAATAACATAAAAACAAAAACAGCCAGGTGCAGTGGCACAAGCCTGTAGTCCCAGCTACTCAGGCGTCTGAGGTGTGGATATCCCTTGAGTCAAGGGATTAAATCCAGCCTAGGCAACATAAGGAGACCTCCATCTCTTAAAAAAGACAAAACAGTAATGTTAAAGCCAAATGATAAATTGATATATTTATCTTAAAACTTAGCATTAAGTTTTTGAAAGGTAAAAAAATATCTCTATAGTTCTCACTTTTCACTTGATGAGAAGTTGGTAAACTACCGTTTAAGTTTTAGAATGTGTGTTAATGTATGCAGCAGTAATACTGGAAACTTGATTGTTGGTTATCAAATGTTAGTAAGAACAAAGAAAAAAATTTGCACATTTAATCTCACAGTTCCTTTTAAAATCATTTGAAAGATTAAGTAATAATCATGCCACTTTTTAGTAATCTCTTAGAATACTAATATTTTATTCATCTTTCCCTTTTTCTGAAATAACCAAATTACTTTGTTAAACTCAGCTTGACTATAGCTTGTTATAATGCATGTGCATGATGTGTCTGCAAGCTGAGACGCTTCAAACAATAAAACCAAATTGTATTACAGCACAAGTATTTGCATTCCTTTGGAAGGTGAGTAAAATCTCATCGGAGCCATTAAAGGAGAATATTGGTGTGCCTTAATGTGGAATTCTTTGCCTGTGTATTAGATCATGCCTTTGTCTGCAAAATCCTTGATTGTCTACTGATGATTTGCATTTTGTAACTCAAGGTTGATTAAAGATTTGTATAATTTTTTTAATGCTAATCTCTTTAGTATTCTGAGGTAATATACTAAAAAAATACTATCTAATTATAGAGTGTTCACAAAATAAAACAACAAAATTGCATTATTTTCTTCTTTGTAATTCCATTGACTGGAAAATTCTGTCTCTGAGCCGTTTCCGAAAGTTTGAATCAGTTTAAGTAGTTATGGTGCCTGAATTTTGTTTATATTTTCTAATGAAAAATATAGTTTTAGATATAAGGCCACATCATTACCGAAGAATCTCAGAAGGGAGTTGTTGCTTTTAATTAACACTGACATCCCATGATAATCTTTAAAAAAAAGCAAAGTAGAAGGATGTTGGAAATTTCCTATCGTGTTCCTAGTTAAATTGTGGACTGATTTATGGGCGGATATTACATCCTTCTATTTTTCACATACAATAGGTAAGTCAGCATTTAGAGAGTGAGGGACAAATTGAGGAAAAAGCAGAGGTTGCTAGACAGAAATGATTTTTGTCTTCCTCTACTTATTTTCTTACCTGCTGTGTACTTTCATAATCTCAATCTTATTTTTTTGTGTGTGCTTATTTGTAGTTAACCTTAGCTCTTATGTAAACACAGGTGAAATAAATGCAATGAAAATAGTACTTCAGTAACATTTTATTTTCTTTTTGTTAGTTTCTTCACTAGTTGAAGAAGGAGAAAAACAGAACAAACGTTTTAGGCCGTCAAAAATGTCTTGCAGAGAATCTGCCCCACTGACCCCTTCCTCGGCACCAGTAAGCCAGGAGTCACTGGCGGTTAAAGAAAAGTTCATCCCACCTGAGCTCAGTATCTGGGACTATTTCATAGCTAAGGTAATTAAAATGCTATCTAGATCAATATTTTCATAGTCAAATAGAAATGAGAATATCAGAAATAAGTGTCATTTTTGGTGCTTCCAAATGTTTTCCCACTTTGGTTTAGAAAATTTTCATTAGTATCAGGCTACATTCCAAAAATATATACCCTAGAATATTTTGACCATATTTCATATAGTTTTTAAGGCAGTTTTTTGGTAAATTATGACATTTGCATTTTAAACAATAGCTTTTGCATTTTATTATATTTCTTATAAGATAAAAGAGAATTTGCGTAACATCTTCATGTTAATGTACTTGATGGTGATTAAGGAATCAAAGTGCTCTGGTCATCTATTATCCATATACTCTTTTTTATACTACAGCAGTCTCTCATTATTCTGAAATCCATAAATTTCAATTACCAGTGTTAAGTAACATTATTCCCTCAACAACATGGTTCACATTTGTTACCACAGTGTATTAAATATGAGTAAACTTCCCTGCTAGCGCTTCATTCTAGAAATCACTTCGTAAATGTGCACTTTTTGATCAGTGACCAATCATGTCAGTTCTTTTAAAGTCTTTCAGTGATTGATTATGTAGCACCTGTTACTCAGTTCATACACAGCAAAGCATGCAGTTGTTTTGCTTCATCTCCTGTGATAAATCCATATGATAGTGTACAAAATTGGATTTGATCAAAAGAGGGAAATGGCCAACTAAGATGAAAGTGCATCCATAAAAAAAGTGATAGTACTGAGAGTGAAATTCAAGTTGAACATAAATGAAGTTAGAGAGAAAATAGCCAACTGTGGGTATGTTGACAGTGCTGCCATTTGAAAGACTCTAGATGAACAGCCAGAGGAATTTAGTGAAAGTGAACTTATAAATGTAGAAAGTAGTTGTGATAAAATGATGAAGATGTTCAGAGATAGTGACTTTGCCAAAAAACTTTACGTTAAAGGGATTCACAACATTGAAAATGCAAAGAACAGTATGTTGGAAGCTGATAAAATCTTAGAAATGTGACAGTTTGTTTAAGGCACAGAAGAAATGCTTGCTTCATATCCTGAGTTACAGAGATAGAAGGCAATTGCTATTCAAACTACTCTTGATAAAATGTTTTATTTCTTTGTATTCCTAATGTTTTAATTACAGTATGTTAAAATTAGTTTATTTAAAAAAACTTTTTCTATACATTTATAGCTAATGGTAAGAGTTTTTAGGGTTTTGACAAATATCTTTAAAGGTCACAAAACATTTGTAACTTTTCCCATTGATTATTATTGCTCTGTATAGTTTATGCGTGCGTGGTCATTTTTGTAGGCATGCAATACTGTGCAAAACAAGGACTGCCTATATAAGTATCTTTCACTTTTTGTGTCATCAGCCACATCCCTCACATTCTCAATTTCCAGACGTTCTCCTGCACAAATTGACATCTAACTGTAACTGTTCTCTGGTGACACAAGTCTCCCAGGCCTGCTGAGCTATGGCTTTTATTTTTCTCATATCCTAAATGTTTAAGGGTAGTGAAGGGAGTTTGGGTCTCCTTGTTCCTCACTGCCCTTTTTTGAGTCATTTATTCATTCATATATTCAACAAATGTTTATTAAGCACTTCATTTATCTAGGAATATCTTTATTTCACCTCCATATTTTGAAGGAGAGTTTTGCTGGATATAGGATTGTTGGTTAGCAAGGCCTTCTTTAGCTATCTTGTTTCTGAATCTTTTTGTTAAATATTTAGTGTCTGCCCTTCCACCCAATCAATATCACAACCTCAAAGTAGTTGAGATGTTACCTTCCCTAATTGTTTGTTACTGAGATCTCTGTTGCTTTTGATAATGCCTGTGGGCCTAGAATTTTAAAGACAATCCTGTCTGGCAGGGCATCAGAACTCAGTCTTCACAGCCTTCCCTGCTGACCCTGGTGGAACACCTACACCACAGAGATTGGGGTGGGATGGGAACAGCTCCTGACCAAGTTCTTACTGTTTTACCCAGATCAGATCCCATAGATTTTTAAAAATAAATACTTCTCTATGTGTTATATGCATGGGTCAACCATTGTTTGTTTTCTACAATTTTGTTCAATTTTATTGTTGCTTTTTGGAGAAAGGACTTACCAAGCTCTTTACTCAGCTGTTCCAGAAGTTCCACTCTCCCTGCTGTGTTTCTTTGTTGGTCTTCCAAGGTTTTCCAACCTTTTTTTCAAACTTCCTGCATCTCCCCTTCCATCCTATCCTCACTCTTAATTGATGACCTCACCTTGTAAGTCACTGAGAAAAATAAAATCAGACAAAACTTTTTCATCATCCCAATTTAAAGTTACAGATCAATTACATTTGCTCCTGTCTTATTTCCTCCTGTTATAATGGAGAAAGTCCTTCTATCAGACACCTTTTCTCGAGTTTTACTCTGAATTGCATTCTTTCTTTTCTTCTCTACTCTCCCCTGTGTTTTCAGTTCTCTTCCTCTCTGTTGAATCCTTCACATCAGGACAGAAATGTGCTTTAGTATCTCCCATTCCAAACCCCTGCTTTGACCCTGAAACTTTTTCCAGCTGCTATCCCATTTCTCTGTTCCCACTCACATTCAGCTTTTCAAAACTAGACACATTTGCTTTCTACTGCCTTTTTCCCCTTTCATACTTACTTATATAACTTTCTGACCCAGTTACACCCGTTAAAACTGATCTTGTTGAGATTCACGTGATATCCATGTCAAATGTAGTGGAAACTTTTAAATTATTTTCTTATCTGTCTTCTTAGCATCATTCAACATTCTTCACTACTCCCATATTGAAATGCTTTTCTCTCCTTTTCTCTTGATGACAATCTCTTGTAGCTTTTTTTCTTAAACTTACTATTTATTCCTTCATAATCTTCTTTCTTCATCCTTCCTCTTCTGTTTGACACATAAATCTTGGTCTTCATGATTTGGGCATTTTATATCGATTTTTCCCAAAACCTTCCCTCTCATACCCAGTCTTTCCATTTTATGAAATTGTATATTCACCCTTATAGTTGCTCAGGCCAAAAACCTAAGAGTCATTCATTTTTCCTCAACTTCTCTTGTTCTCCAAATCTATCAGCAGACCTGTTGGTTCTTTCTCCAAAATATATCTTAAATCTACTACTTGTCTCTAGCTTCATTACTAACCACCTATGTCCAACCTGCCAACTCCTGTTTTAGTTACTGATGTCTCCATTTCTACCCTTGCCGTTTAGCTTTTCTCTCATAAGAGAGTGATCGTAGTGATATACTTAGCATATAAACCTCAGTACCTGTCTTCTACGTACAACTTATTGGTGGCATTCCCTTACATTCCTTTACCATGGCCTACAAGACCCTGTCTGAGCCGTCATTTGCTATTCTCTCCAACCTTTCTCCCAGCATTTTTTTGCTTAGCAGACTTGATCAAACTACTATTTTCAAACCAAACTCTTTCCCAAACTCTTTCTGCATTATTTTTCCCCTGTCTAAAATGCTTTTCTTCCCTCTTATTATATGGCTTGTTCCTTCTTGTCATTTAGTTCTCGTACTTTTCAAAGAGGCCTTCCATGGTCAGCTTATCTCAATTCTCCTTATTCTCCATTTCTTTTCTTTGTAGCACATAATACAGTTTGTATTTAGTTTTCTGTTATTTGCCTATTTTTTTCCAGTAACATGTAAAAAGTAAATGAGGGTGGTGATTGTATCTGTCTTAAAAATTCTTAAATCCGGTAGAATTCTTGCCGCACAGTGGATACTTAATAAATTTTTGCTGAATGGATGAATAAATAATGGAATAGTATCAATTGATGTCAAAGGCATAGGATGGTAAGATAATAGTTACTTAACTCTCTTATAATGAAGTATCTGCAAATGAGATGAATTATTACTATTAGACTGTATGTTTGAATGTATTAAATTAGATATGTGGCTGCTAAATTTCATGATTTCTTTATTTTAGCCTTTTCTACCCTCTTCTCAAAGTAGAGCCGAATATGATTCAGAGGAGAGTCTGGGAAGTGATGATGATGACAATGATGATGATGATGATGTTTTAGCATCAGATTTCCATCTCCAGGAACATTCTAATTCAAATTCATATAGGTATGGTATATTTTATTTTAAATTTCTTTTTAAAAATAATGGTGTATATAAATAATATTTTTGAAAAAATTACATGTGAAATTAATAGCTTGTTGACTTTATAACACATTATAACCCAGATTTCTTTAGTTGAAATTGTTAAATTCCTTTCCTTAACAATAATTTCTCTGTTGACTTTATAACACATTGTAACTCAGATTTCTTTAGTTGAAATTGTTAAATTCCTTTCCTTAACAATAATTTATCACATACCTTTGGTTGTCCATTAATGGACCATCCGTAATTTGCATCATTCCTCACAGATCTTGCTCCAAGATTATACCTTGCATTTTGGGCTCTAACATAAACAAGTTCTACTGTTTTTGTCTGGAAAATATATTTTCAGTAGAACACTAGTACTATAAGATGTCAATAGGTACTATCTTCAAAAAGTACTCTGTATGTCATACACATGTTCTAAATGCTCACCTCTAGCTCCAATACTGCGTTATTCTTACATTCATGAATGATGGAATATTATCTAGTCTCTATTGATATGTTTACATCTAAAACGTGTATGTTTTACTAAAACATGGTATGTTAATGGTGTGATAAAAAATGTGAATTTTCCAAAAGAAGTAAATATATGAGGGACATTGAAGTCATTCTTTATTTGAAAGTTACCATGAGATTTTTACTTCCTGGTTTATTGAGGTTTTTCCCCCTGCTGAATGAATTTTACTTTTTGAATATATAAATCATTTAAAAGTCAAACTGCACAACTCAACAACAAAAAGGTAAATAATTAAAAAAATGAACAAAGGGCTGGGCATGGTGGCCTATGCCTGTAATCCCAGAACATTGGGAGGCCGAGGTGGTCAGATCACTTGAGCGCAGGAGTTCAAGACCAGCCCAGGCAACATGGCAAAACCCGATCTATATTTCTAAAAAAAAAAATTTTAATGAACAAAAAACTTGAATAGACATTTCTCCAAAGACGATATGAAAATAGCCAATAAGCATATGAAAAGATGCTCAATATCATTAATCATTAGAGAAATGCAGATCAGTTTCCCAATGAGACAACATCTCATATGCATTAGGATGGCTACCAAAAAAAAAACAAAAACAAAAACAAAAAAAATAACAGTGCTGGCAAGGATGAGGAGAAATTGGAATCTTTGTGCACTTTTGGTGGGAACGTAAAATCGTGCAGCAACTGTGGAAAACGGTATACTGGTTCCTTAAAAAGTTAAAAATAGAATTACCATATGATCCAGCATTTCCACTATGGATATATACCTGAAAATATTGAAAACAGGGACTGAAACAGGTATTTGTACTTCCCATGTTCTTAGCAGCATTATTTACAGTAACTGAGGGGAAGAAACAATCAAGTGTGTTTTAACAGATGAATTACTAAACAAAATGTGCTATGTACGTTCAACGGAGTATTATTCAGCCTTAGGAAGGAAATTCTGACACATGCTGCAACATGGATATAATGCTAAGTGAAATAAATCAGTCACAGAAAGGGTTATAGTATGTGATTTCACTTACATGAGGTACCTAGAATAGTGAAATACATAAAGAATAAAAATAAAATAGTGGTTTTCAAGGGCTGGTGGTGGGGGGAGAATGGGGAATGAATTTAGAGTTTCAGCTTTGCAAGATGAAAGGAATTCTGGAGTTGGATGGTGGTGGTGGTTGCACAGCAATGTGAATGTACTTAATGCCCCTGAACTATAAACTTAAAAATGGCCAAAATGGTAAATTTTATGTTTTTGTATTTTACCATTAAAAAATTACTAAAAATTCAATCCTTTAAGAAATAAATATGTTCCACTTGAAATAAAAGAGAACCTGACTTTTTTAAAAATCAAACTATATAAAAATGTGAAATCACAAGTTTTACTTAAACTTCTCTTTACTCTATCCAATTTCTTCTGCACATCCTCTACAGCTAACCACTTTTATTAGCTTCTGGTTTATCCTTCTGTTTGCAAAAATAAGCAAAAGCATCTATCTAAATTTATTCCCCCTGCTTTCTTGCAGAGAGGGTGGCATACTACATACAGTGTTCTGCTACCTGCTTTTTATTTATTACTACATACCGAAACTGACTCCATATTAACACTTAGAGATCCTTCTTCATTCTTCCTTATGGTTACCCTAATATTCCATAGGTCAAAAATAGTTATTCAACAAGTACTCTCCTCATGGACAATTTTGGTTATTTCTACACTTCTGCTATTGTAGATAAAGCTGACATGACTACCTCTATGCATATATTATTTTGTTTTCATAGAGGGGTATGTTCAGGTTGATTCCTGATAGTGGAATTTGTTGAGTCAAAGGGTAGTATACTCTTCTAAATCCCTATAGAAATAGTTAACAGATCCATCGTTGCTTTATTTTTAGTTGGTCCTTGATGCGGTTGGCGATGGTGCAATTGGTGCTCAACAATTTGAAGACTTTTTATCCCTTCGCAGGTCATGATCTTGCAGGTAATAAATAGCTCAACATGAGCTAATGGTGCCATTGCTTTTGACTTACTACTCTGTTGTTTTTTTTTTTTTTTTTTTGGTCTGGACTGGGGGGAAAATTTAGTGATTTCCTGTTACAGAAGTTAGATTTCTTTTAACTAAACCAACCATCTGTAAATGTATCCGTCATACTGTTAGGTGCTTGAGGATGGCAACATCCAAGAAATCAAGGGCACTGAATGTGATGTGATTGACTGTCTTGAGACTCTATTTATACTCTAGCCAAGTGTTGAGGGATTTTACAATGGAGAGAAAACTAAGCAAATGCAAAAGCTAGCAATTATTAACTTCAAAGGAGGAAAAGATTGTACAGGAAAGAAAGGGGCATGATAACATACTAAGTGATTCTGCTATGAACTATAGTTCCCTATATATGATAAGGTAAACACAAAAATACCAATTTAACCAAAGATTTTTATAAGACACTATCATAATGATGGACAGAGGAGTTTATTCTCATTATGCCGTAGTAGTAAATCAGTAGGTCATTTCTAAAATTGAAAAATTAAGTATTAAGCATGTTATTTAGATATAGGGAGGTAAGTAGTAGGAATAACTAAAAGTTGAAACTGAGATCAGTACTCAAGAGTATGGATGGGCAGAACTGCTAAGTGCTGAGTTCCATGGCAAGTATTATTTAATTTTAACTTTATGTATTGTTTTCATTTTCTACAGATCTTAAAGAGTTATATGCCATACAGAAATTAGTCTGATACAAATTAAAGCAGGGGTGTCCAATCTTTTGGCTTCCCTGGGCCACACAGGAAGAAGAATAATTGCCTTGGGCCACACATAAAATACATTGATACTAACAATAGATGATGAGCTAAAAAGAAAAATCACAAAAAATTTCATAATGTTTTAAGAAAGTTTATGAATTTGTGTTGGGCTTTATTCAAAGCTGTCTGGGCCGCATGCAGCCTGTGGGCCATGGGTTGGACAAGTTTGATTTAAAGCGATTAATTTTCCCCACATACATATTTTCATAATCTTCAGATACATTTTTCTGGTAATATTAAGGTCAAAAGCAGTAATGTTGAAATACTTACACAGATTTATGGCATACCTTTTGTAATCCACTGGGTTTCTTTGCCCACCTCACCTTGCACATCTTCCCTGCCAAAGTGTATGTTAATATTTCATCTCAGTCTTTTTTTTTTTCCTGCATCTGCTCTCCCCTCTCTCATTTCAGTCTTTCTTAAAATTGAATATGGCATTTTACTGCATAAGATTAATATGAGTCAATGTTCCCATTTTAGAGCTTCCAGTTAGTTCACCTCTTTGTCATGCGGTTCTAAAAACTCTTCAATGTTGGGAACAAGTTCTTCTCCGACGACTTGAAATCCATGGTGGGCCACCTCAAAATTATATCGCAAGTCATACCGCCGAAGAGAGTTTGTCTGCAGGTCCTGCAATTCTTCGCCACAAAGCTTTACTGGAACCTACAAACACTCCTTTCAAGTAGGTTTTCTTATGAATGCTATTTGGGTTTTTTTGTTTGTTTGTTTTTTGAGATGGTGTCTCGCTCTGTCATCCGGGCTGGAGTGCAGTGGCACAATCTCAGCTCACTGCAGCCTCTGCCTCCTGGGTTCAAGTGATTCTCCTGCCTCAGTCTCCTGAGTAGCTGGGATTACAGGCGCCTGCCACCACGCCTGGTTAATTTTTGTATTTTTAGTAGAGATGGGGTTTCACCATGTTGGCCAGGCTGGTCTCAAACTCCTGACCTCAGGTGATCCACCTGCCTCGGCCTCCCAAAGTGCTGGGATTACAGGCGTGAGCCACCGCACCTGCCCTGAATACTGTTTTTAAGATAGGAGTTTTACTTTTTGTGCTGTACATTCTTGTCATAACTACTCAACCCTGCCATTGTAGAATAAAAGCAACCATAGACAACATGTACACAAATATATTCAGTTTTTGTCCAATAAACTTTATTTCTTAAAATGGTAGGTAGGCTAGATTTGGACTGTGAGCTATAGTTTATTGATGCCTGCTCTAGAACGATGCTTTTCAAAATAGCTGGTCACAAAAGTGTTAAGAGGAAAGTTTATAGCACTAAACAACAAGCAGTCAACAGATTCAGCACAATTCCTGTCAAATTACCAACATCATTCTTAACAGAATTAGAAAAAAATTATTCTAAAATCAGATGGAACCAGTAGAGAGCTGGAATAGCCAAAGCAATCCTCAGCAAAAAGAACAAGGCATCACATTACCTGACTTCAAACTGTACTACAAAGCAACAGTAACCAAAACAGCATGGTACTGGTACAAAAATAGACAAATAGACCAGTGGAACAAAATAGAGATCCCAGAAATAAACTCACATCGTGAGGATTTGTTCTACAAATTATTTCATCACTCAGGTAGTACTAAGCCTGGTACCCAGTAGTTATTTTTCCTTTTTTGGAGACAAAGTCTTGCTCTATTAATCAGGCTGGAGTAGAGTGGCACAATCACAGCTCACTGCAGCCTCCACCTCCTAGGCACAAACAGTCCTCCTGTCTCACCCTCCTGAATAGCTGGGATCACAGGCACACACCACCATGCCCAGCTAATTTTTTGTATTTTTTGTAGAGACAGGGTTTCACCTTGTTACTCAGGCTGGTCTCAAACTCCTGTGCTCAAGCAGTCCGCCTGTCACAGCCCCCCAAAGTGCTGGGATTTTAGCTGTGAGCCACCATGCCTGGCCCCCAGTAGTTATTTTTGTGATCCTCTTTCTCCTCCCCACTTCCCCCTCAAGTAGACCCCACTGTCTGTTGTTCCCTTCTTTGTGTTCATGAGTTCTCAACATTTAGTTCCCACTTATAAGTGAGAACATACAGTGTTTGGTTTTCTGTTCTTGTGCTAGTTTGCTAAGGATAGTAACCTCCAGCTCCATCCATGTTCCCACAAAAGATGTGATCTCATTCTTTTTTATGGCTACATAGTATTTCTTGTATCTGTACCAGATTTTCTTTATCCAGTCTGTCACTGATGAGCGTTTAGGTTCCATTTCTTTGCTATTGTGAATAATGCTGCAGCGAACACTTGTGTGCATGTGTTTTTTATGGTAGAATGATTTATATTACCCTAGGTATATACCCAGTAATGGGTTTGCTAGGTCAAATGATAGTTCTGTTTTTAGCTCTTTGAGGAATCGCCATACTGCTTTCCACAATGATTGAAGTAATTTACACTCCCACTGACAGTGCGTAAGTGTTCCCTTTTCTCTGCAACCTTCCCAGCATCTGTTATTTTTTATAAATAATCTGTTATTTTTAAATGATAACCATTCTGACTGGTGTGAGATGGTATCTCATTGTGCTTTTGATTTGCTTTTCTCAAATGATCAGTTATATTAAGCTTTTTTCTTAGGCTTATTGGCACGTACGTCTTCTTGTGCAAAGTGTCTGTTCATGTCCTTTGCCCACTTTTTAATGGTGGTGTTTGTTTTTCTTTTTTAAATTGGTTGAAGTTCGTTATAGATGCTGGATATTAGACCTTTATCAGGTACATAGAAAGTATTTTCTCCCATTTCTGTAGGTTGTCTGTTTACTCTGTTGATAGTTTCTTTTGTTTTGCAGAAGCTCTTAAGTTTAATTAGATCCTATTTGTCAATTTTTGCTTTTGTTGAAATTCCTTTTGGGGTCCTTGTCATAAAATCTTTGCCTGTTCCTGTGTCCGGGGTGGTATTGCCTAGGTTGTTTGCTAAAATTTTTGTAGCTTTTGGTTTTACATGTAAGTCTTTAATCCATCTTGAGTTGATTTTTGTGTATGTTGCAAGGAAGGCATTCAGTTTCAATCTTCTGCATTTGGCTAGCCGGTTATCCCAGCACCATTTATAGAATAGGGAGTCTTTTCTTGATTGCTTGTTTTTGTCAGCTTTGTCAAAGATCAGATGGCCAGAGGCGTGTCACCTTACTTCCCAGTTCTCTATTCTGTTCCAGTGGTCAATGTGCCTGTTTTTGTACCAATACTGTTCTGTTTTGGTTACTGTGTTTTTGTAGCATACATCGAAATCAGGTAATGTGATTCCAGTTTTGTTCTTTTTGCTTAGGATCGCCTTGCTATTCAGGCTCTTTTTACGTTCCATATTAATTTTAAAATAGGTTTCTCTAGTTCTGTGAAGAATGTTGGTGGTGGTTTGTTAGGAATAGCATTGAATCTGTAAATTGCTTTGGGCAATATGGCCAGTTTAATGATATTGATTCTTCTTCTCCATGAACATGGGATGTTTTT